>NT_187660.1:486808-786808 GCF_000001405.40 Homo sapiens | reverse complement strand
AGGTTAGCGGATCGAGACCATCCTAGCTAACAGTGTGAAACCCCGTCTCTACTAAAAATACAAACAATTAGCCAGGTGTGGTGGCAGGTGCCTGTAGTCCTAGTTACTCAGGAGGCTGAGGCAGGAGAATGGCATGAACCTCGGAGACGGAGCTTGCAGTGAGCCAAGATTGCGCTACTGCACTCCAGCCTGGGCGACAGAGTGAGACTTTGTCTAAAAAAATAAAAAAACAAAAACACGTAAAGAACAAATTAGTCCTCGTGGTAGGCCACCCCCAC
The DNA here is from genome assembly GCF_000001405.40 of Homo sapiens. Taxonomy (NCBI): domain Eukaryota; kingdom Metazoa; phylum Chordata; class Mammalia; order Primates; family Hominidae; genus Homo; species Homo sapiens. Next base: position 786,530 of record NT_187660.1, on the reverse strand, counting down.
CCCATCTCCAGTTCACCACTTCAATCATACTACTTTCTCAGTGGACTTGAAGCCAAGCTTTCACATCAGAGCCCTCCAACCAAGAGCCTGACTGTATAACTCCTAAGAACAATCAAGTAAGAATGTTTTTCTTTCCATTCCTCACATCTGGTATCTGTTGCCTTGTGAATGGGGTGCCCATCAGCAGGAAGGGTTAGAACTAGGGTAAGTGTGTAGGGAGCAAGGCTTGAAAAGAAACAGATGAGGAAAGAGTAGCAAAATCAAGACTGTCCCAGGAAGTGAGTGTCAGTCAAAGGTTTTGAAATCCCTCAAATAGTTACTTCTGCTGTCTTGGTTTTGTCCACCTCCCTTCTTTTTTCACATACCTGCCACCCTAAAAAGTAATACCTATGCCTAACATAGAGCTAACCAGTTAAAGAACTGCTAGTAACTTTAGAAAAGAGTCCATTTCCCATCAGAATCAGAACAAAATCTTTTTAAAAAAATTATTTTTGGCCAGGCATGGTTGTTCACACCTGTAATCCCGGCACTTTGGGGGGCTGAGGTGGGTGGATCACTTGAGGTCAGGAGTTCAAGACCAGCCTAACCAACATGGTGAAACCATGTCTCTGCTAAAAATACAAAAATCAGCCGGGTGTAGTGGCATATGCCTGTAATCCCAGCTACTCAGGAGGCTGAGGCATGAGAATCACTTGAACCTGGAGGCAGAGGGTGCAGTGAGCCAATATCGTGCCACTGCACTCCAGCCTGGGTGACACAGCGAGACTCTGTCTCAAAAAAACCACAAAAACATATATATATATATATATATATGTATATATATATACATATATATATATATATATACATATATATATATATATACATATATATATATATATAAAATATAAATATATATACATATAAATTTTTTCAGGCGGGGGCAATGGCTTATGCCTGCAATTTTAACACTTTGGGAGGCAGAGGTGGGAGGATCATTTTACCTAGGAGTTTGAGACCAGCCTGGGCAACATAGTGAGATCTTGTCTCTACAAAAACAGTTTTAAATTAGTCAGGCGTGGTGGTGCATACCTGTAGCCCCAGCTACTTAGGAGGCTGGGGCAGGAGAATCCTGCTGCTGCATTTTGTGCTACTTTTAAAAATATTTGGTAAAATTCAGGAGTAAAGCCGTCGGGTCTTGGGCTTTTCTTTCCCGGGAAACTTTTTTTTATTTTTTGAGAGGGCGTCTCGCTCTGTCGCCCAGGCTGGAGTGCAGTGGCCTGATCTCGACTCACTTGCAGGCTCCGCCCCTCAGGTTCACGCCATTCTCCTACCTCAGCCTCCTGAGTAGCTGGGACTAGAGGCACCCGCCACCATGCCCAGCTAATTTTTTTTTTTTGTATTTTTTTTAGTAGAGACGGGGTTTGACCGTGTTAGTCAGGATGGTCTCCATCTCCTGACCTCGTGATCCGCCCGCCTCGGCTTCCCAAAGTGCTGGGATTACACGCGTGAGCCACTGCACCCGGCTTTTCCTGGGAAAATTGTTTCCGTCTCACTACTTATTGGTCTTTTCAGGTTTTGGATTTCTTTGTGGTTCATTCTTGCTAGGTTGTATGTATCTAGGAAAGTATCCATTTATTCTAGATTTTCTAATTTATTGGTCTATAGTTGCTCATACTAGCCTCTAATGATCCTTAGAATTTCTACAGTATCAATGAAAATGTCCCCGTTTTCATCTTGATTTTATTTATTTAGGGTTTTTTGTTTTTTTTTAGTGTGGCTAAAGGTTACTGGTTTGGTTTATCTTTTTTAAAAAACGAACTTTTCGTTTTGTTCATATTTTGTATTTTTTCATTTCAATTTCATTAATTTTTGCTCTTATCTTTATTCTTTCCTTTCTTCTATACTTATTTTGGGTCTGGTTTATTCTTGCTTTTCTAGTTCTTTTAAGATGTATCGGCGCCACGGGCCCCGCAGAGCCAGGGCGGCTCCCGCCGGTAGCCTGTGTGTGGGCCCCGGCCAGCCGCGCCCCCAGTCCATATCGCCCTTCACTGCCCCGAGGCTGGCGCGGCTATGGGGCGCGGGGCCGGAGCTGCTCTGGGGCGTTGGAGCCGCGCGCCGCTGGAGGAGCTGCTGCCGGGGCGGGGGTCTGGGCGGCTCGGGGGGCCACGCGGGCCTCGGACGGCTCCCGGGGCTGTGGGCTTGGGCCCGGCAGCTGCAGGTGCGGGGCTCTTGCCGGCCGGGCGCTCCTCGGCTCCCGCGCGCCGGGTTCCCGGGCGGTCCCACCGCCACTGCCTCGGCAGGGGAGGAGGCCTGGCGGCGCGGGCGGGCGGCGCCTTCCCGGGACGACCAGCGGCTACGACCCATGGCGCCCGGACTCTCGGAGGCCGGGAAGCTCCTGGGGCTGGAGTTCCCTGAGCGCCAGAGGCTGGCAGCTGCGGTTGGATTTCTCCGATGTCCGGTGTTATCTCCATGTCTGCCCCTTTCTTTCTGGGGAAGATCATCGATGCCATCTATACCAACCCCACTGTGGACTACAGCGACAACCTGACCCGCCTCTGCCTTGGCCTCAGTGGCGTGTTTCTATGTGGTGCTGCCGCCAATGCCATTCGTGTCTACCTCATGCAAACTTCACGTCAGCGCGTTGTGAAGAGGCTGAGAACTTCGTTATTCTCCTCCATTCTGGGGCAGGAGGTTGCTTTCTTTGACAAGGCTGGCACAGGGGAATTGATTAACCGCCTCTCATCGGACACTGCACTCCTGGGGCGCTCAGTGACTGAAAACCTCTCAGATGGGCTCAGGGCCGGGGCCCGGGCTTCTGTAGGCATCAGGATGATGTTTTGTGTCTCACCTAATCGGGCCACCTTTGTTGTGAGTGTGGTGCGTCTAGTGTCAATCATTGATGTAATTTATGGACGATATCTACGGAAACTGACCAAAGTCACCCAGGATTCGCTGGCACAAGCCACTCAGGAGGAACGTATTGGAAATGTTAAGAACTGTTCGAGCTTTTGGGAAAGAAATGACTGAAATAGAAAAATAGGCCAGCAAAGTGGACCATGTGATGTAGTCAGCAAGGAAAGAGGCATTCGCTCGGGCTGGCTTCTTTGGAGAACTAGGCTGTCCGGAAACCTGATTGTGCTTTCTGTCCTGTACAAAGGGGGGCTGCTGATGGGCAGTGCCCACATGACCATGGGTGAACTCTCTTCCTTCCTATGTATGCTTTCGGGGTTGGAATAAGCATTGGAGGTCTGAGCTCTTTCTACTCGGAGCTGATGAAAGGACTGGGTGCCGGGGGGCGCCTCTGGGAGCTCCTGGAGAGAGAGCCCAATCTGCCTTTTAAGGAGGGGGAAGGGTTATCTTAAATGAGAAAAGCTTCCAGGGTGCTTTGGAGTTTAAGAACGTGCATTTTGCCGATCCCGCTTGCCCGGAGGCGCCCATATTTCAGGATTTCAGCCTTTCCATTCCGTCAGGATCTGTCACGGCACTGGTTGGCCCAGGTGGTTCTGGCAAATCAACAGTGCTTTCGCTCCTGCTGAGGTTGTTCGACCCTGCTTCTGGAACCATCAGTCTTGATGGCCATGACATCCGTCAGCTAAACCCAGTGTGGCTGAGATCCAAGATTGGGACAGTGAGACAGGAACCCATTTTGTTTTCTTGCTCTATCACTGAGAACATTGCTTATGGTGCTGATGGCCTTCCTCTGTGACCGCTGAGCAAGTCCAGAGAGTGGCTGAAGTGGCCAATGCAGTGGTCTTGATCCGGAATTTCCCCCAAGCGTTCAACACTGTGGTTGGAGAAAAGGGTGTTCTCCTCTCAGGTGGGCAGAAACAGCGGATTGCAATTGCCCGTGCTCTGCTGAAGAATCCCAAAATTCTTCTCCTAGATGAAGCAACCAGTGCGCTGGATGCTGAAAATGAGTACCTTGTTCAAGAAGCTCTAGATCCACTGACGGATGGAAGAACAGCGTTAGTTATTGCCCATCATCTCTCCACCATTAAGAATGCTAATATGGTTGCTGTTCTTGACCAAGGAAAAATTACTGAATATGGAAAACATGAAGAGCTGCTTTCAAAACCAAATGGGATATACAGAAAACTAATGAACAAGCAAAGTTTTATTTCAGCCTAAGGAAACAATTACTGGTAAACAACATGAGAGACTTTAATGCAAAACAGTACTGTAGAAAAAAAAAACCTCAGAGACTGCATGAAATATGTAAACCATATATCAAGTTATTTGAAAAATAGCTATTTTTTCCAAAGCGTGTAAAATATTGCTTTGAAATGTACCTGTTCTCAAGATCTTTTTATTCAGAGTTTTAACCATTGTAACTTTTTAAATGTCTATAGCACTGAAGTTATTTTCAGGTTTTGTATTTTCTTTCATTGTGGAATATTTTAATTAATATAGCATGGCACCTCATTTTCTTTTGCCTGCTGTTAAAGATGGAAGCTGTTGTCAAATGACAACTTTAAAAAGGGAAGTATAAATAAAAAGCCTGATTATTTTAGGCCAGTTTGCCAATCACTGTGTAATTCCTCTGGTAGTATTCTACCTACTTTAAGTCTAATTTTACTAGATAGAGTAATGGAAAATGAAAATCTAACCCTTTATTCCGATAATCTCATGAAGCAAACCTAACTATTTAACATCAGCTGGAAAGAAGGGAACATTTATATTGCCCGTCTCCTGTGTCTTCAAAGGTGTGAGAGTTGAGGAATATGTGTTCCTACGGGAACTATGTTTGAATATGTGCAGTTTTCAACATTTTGGCAAATGAAAGCCTGACAAGTTTTTAAAAGGGCAGAAGCTTTATTTTTTGAACAGAAAAATCTATTTTTTAAATTCACATGTTTGTATGAGTACTTCTGGGAAGCAAGGGATGAACTGCTAGGTATTATTAAGAACGAATGATTTTTGCATTTAAGTTGTTTGAAGGCATGTATTTTGAAAAATATCTGTTACAAATTTATAATTTCAAGACATACTAAATCTTATAATACTTTTGGAATTTCATTAATAAGGCTAAAATCTGAGGAATGTAACTAATTTTCAGCCTTAAGACACTTAAGTTTGGAAGTCCTTGCTATTCAACAGAATAACAAGAAACCTTCAGAATGTATCACTCTCCCAAAAAGAAGATATTAATAAGCCCTTTTCTTTTATTCATGGTTATAGTTTTTTTATAGTCTCAAAATTCCTAAAGCAATGCTGACAGCCATTGAATTTGCCATATTTTGTATTCAGTGCTGTTAATGTGCTGTTGCCTCAAGAAAAAGTGCTTTTTCTCCATTGATGAGGCTAGACCCTAAGAGGTAATTAAGTCAATGTAAATCAAATGGAAGTTTTGCCATGAACTAAGCATTTATTAGTTCCCTGATTAGACTGGAAGAAGAAACCGCTATTTCATGACAAGCATGGAATATTATATTTTCTTCTTCATAATTAATGAATAAAATTGATATGAGCGAATGAATGTAGTATTTTTTGAATTAGTAAACAGTACATCTGTGACAATCATTTTAACAAGCTCTACTTGTGTTCTTTATAAAGTGTGATTTTCAGAAAGCAAACAAAACACAATTAAAAGGTTGAATCTGAGGAAAATAATGCTTGTACCATAGAAGTATTTACAAAATTGCATTTCATTGTTATGTTTTATTTTCTGATACCTGATGTTCAATTATATCTGTAGGTAATATTTTATATCATAGATTAAAATTTATAGTGACCTTAAAAAAAGATGTATCATCAGGTTATTTATTTGAGGTTTTTCACTTTTTTGATCTTGGAAATTATAGGTATAAATTTCCCTCTTACTACTGCTTTTTGCTGTATCCCATAGGTTTTGGTATGTTGTGTTGCCGTTTTTATCTGCTTCAATAAACTTTTCAATTTCTTCTGAATTTCTTTGTTGAAATTGTAAGGATCATTAGAGGCTACTATGAGCAACCATAGGCCAGAAATTAGAAAACCTAGACTATCTGGATACATATAGATACAGAAAAATTCACATTATGAATTTGTTCTTAAATAAGCTTTGGTAATTTGTCTCTTTACAGAACTTTAAGCTGCCAAATTCTTGAGTATGGAATTGTTCATAATAGTTATTATCATTTAAATATAGAGGTTCTGTAATGATATTTCTTCTTTTATCAGTCCTTTTTTCTTAGTCTTACTAGTATGTAACAACTTTACTGATTTTTTCAAAGGAACTTTTCACTTTGTGAATTTATTTACTTTCAATTTCATTTATTTCTTTCATTACCTGTTATTTTATTTTTTCAAATTACGTTTTGTTTATTTTTTCATTGACTTTTAAACCTACGTATTTTTCTAATAGAAGAATTTCAAATAATAAATTACCCTCTCAATTTAACTCTACACCACAAATATGAAGCTTTTATTATCATAATTTTATTTTATTTTTTTAATTGGCACATAATAATTGTGCATATTTATGGGTACATAGTGATGTTTCAATACTCATAGTGTATATATTTAATTACCCTGATGAGGTGATGGTAATTAGCATATCCATCATTGCAAACATTTATCATTTCTTTGTTTTGGGAACATTCAATATCCTTTGCTAACTATTTGAAGCTATATGTTATTGTTAACTATTGTCATACCATAATGGTATAGAGCATTAGAACTTATTCCTCCTATCTAGCTTTAATTTTGAATCTTTTAACAAATCTCTCCCTATCCCTCCCTCCCTCTTATACTTTCCAGCCTCTAGCATCCTCTGTTTTAACTTCTATAAGATCAAAATATTTTAGCTTCCACATATGAGTGAGAAGCTGTAATGTTTAACTTTCTCTTCTTGGCTCATTTCACTCACATAATACACTCCATTTCTATGCATGTTGCTTTTATGGCCGAATAGTACTTCATTGTGTATCTATTCCTTTTCCCCTCCTGTCCCCTCCCTTCCCCTCCTCTCCCCTCTCCTCTCCTTCCTTTCCCTTCTTGAGATGGAGTCTTGCTCTGGAGTGCAATGGTGTGATCTTGGCTCACTGTAACCTCTGCCTCTCGGATTCAAGTGATCTTCCACCTCAGCCTCCCGAGTAGCTGGGGACGTGCCACCATGCCCAGCTAATTTTTATATTTGTAGTAGAGATGGGGTTTCACCATGTTGGCCAGGCTAGTCTCGAACTCCTGACCTCCAGTGATCCACCCATCTTGGCCTTCCAAAGTGCTGGGATTGCAGGCGTGAGCCACCGTGCCCGGCCTATATACCACATTTTCTTTAACCATCATCTGTTGCTGGACCCTTAGGTTGATTCCATATCTTGCCTATTGTGAATAGTGCTGCAATAAACATCTAGGTGCAGATGTTTATTTAATATACTGTTTTCCTTATTTTATATTTTTTCTAAATTATCTTTTGATTTCTTTTATGAACTATGAGTTAAATAGTGTTTCATGTTATTTACAACTATTTGGGGGTTTCCTAGGAATCTCTTATGTCATCGATTTCAAATTAAATTTTATTGTGATCAGAGAATATATTCTATAAAATCTAAAGCTTGAGTAAGTTAAATTCATTTAAACTTACTCTTTGATTCAGCATTTGGCCTATGTTGGTGGTGCTTTCAATACACAAGAAAACAATGTATATTCAGCATTTGAAATGTAGTTTTTATAAATGTCAATAAGATCAAGGTGATTTATAATGAAGTTGAAATGTTCTATAGCCATACGAATGGTTTGTCTTACTGTTCAATCAGTGATGAACAGAGGGATGTTAAAATCTTTAATTATTATTGTCATTTATCCATTTCTCCCTTCAATTCTGCTTTTTCCTTCATGAATTATGAGGCTTTATTATTAAGTTGGTGTCCCTTTCATAATTATGAAATGGGGGCATTTCATAATTATGGACATATATGTCATATTAGGACAATAATATAATAACCAATTCATCAGAGGACAATAATATAAGCAATATTATTGTCCTCTGATGAATTGGTTCTTTCATAATTATGAAATGCCCCCATTTTCTCTTATAATGCACCCTCTTTTCCAGTCTACATTGCATTTTGCTAATGTAGCCACACAAGCTTCCTAATGCTTGCTGTGTATATGGTTTATCTTTTCTTGTAGGTTTACTTTTCATCTATCTGTGTCTTTATGTTTAATGTATGTTTCTGGTAGACAACATTAGTTGGGTCTCATTCTTTTGTCTAATATGACAGTCTCTACCTTGTAATTGAATAATTTAGTTCATAAATATGTTAAATGAAATGTGTTGCCACTTTTAAAAACTGTACAATCTCTTGTTTCTCTTCTCATATTTTTGTTTAATTGTATTTTAAGTATTCATTTTAAATTGCATAGATGAGTTAGTTGCAACGCTTTTTTGTATTGAGTTATTTGTATTACAATAATCATCAATTTATACTTAACTAATCTAAATTTTACTTCGAGGTAATTTTTGACAACTTCATATATAATGTAAAAAACTGATGACATCTGTTCTATTTTTACATTCTCTCCAGTGATTGATAGTGTTGCCTACTTTGTCAAATCAAAACAAGGCAACATTTTCCTAAAAAGTGATCTGTGCTCCACCTATCCTATTCATATGCACAGAAGACTTTCAGGGCAGAAAACTATTCTGCATGATACTATACTGGTATATGAATTTGCCTAAACTCATAGAATGTATGACAGCAAGCGTGGACCCTAATATAACTATGGACCTTGGTGATAAGGATGTGCCAGTGCAGGTTCATCAGCGGTAAGTAATGTGCCACTCCAGAGGAGAATGACAGCAAGGGGTCAGGCTGTGCCTGTGTGGACACAATGATGTATGAGAAATCTTTGTATCTTTCTTTCAATTTTGCTGTGAGCTTACAACTGCCCTAAAAATAAAGTCTATTAAAAAAACCCAAAACAACAACAACAAAAACTGATGACGGTAACATTTCCTTTACTCCCCCTCTGTCTTTTGTGATTTTTTTTAGTATAAGTTTTTCTGTCCACATCATAAACCCCACAATAAAATGATATCTTTTTAAATTTAAATAGTCAGTTTCCCTTCAACAAAATCGGCAGATTAAAAAAAAGTATTTCCTGTTACTCATATACTTACCATTTCTATGCTTTTCATTTCCTCTAATCTGGAGTTTAGATTCGACGTTATTTCCCTTCAGGCCAGAAAACTTCTGCTAGCATGTTTTGTAGTACAGATTTGCTGGTGACAAATTGGCCCATTTAATTTTTCCGAAAATGTCTTAATTTTACCTTCAACTTTGAAAGATACTTTAATAATATATAGAAACGAACCTGATGCTCTGTCATCTCCAAATACTTTAGTAGACTGATTCTCAACCAGGGGGAGTTTTGCCCTCCAGGAAACATCTGATAATATCTCAAGATATTTTTAGTTGTTAGCCTGGGGAAAGGTGTGAGGAGGATGCTACTGTCATTTAGTTATTAAAGGCAAACCAAGTCGCTAAACATCCTGCAATTCACAGGAAATGCCCCCAACAAAGAATTATGTGGCCCAAATGTCAGAAGCGATAGTGCCAAAGTTGAAAAACCTTGCTTTCATATATATTTTCTACAAACACAATTGTGTCTATATATGTATATACATATATATAATTGTATATATTACAAATCTGTTACAGTAATATATGTGCCCCCCCAAATGCAATACATGCACAGTACAACGAACAAAACCAGAAAATTAATATTAATATATTGCTACATCTAATTATCAAGTCCGCATTAAAATTTCACCAATAGTCAGCCGGGCACGGTGGCTCACGCCTGTAATCCCAGCACTTTGGGAGGCCGAGGCGGATGGGTCACGAGGTCAGGCGATCAAGACCATCCTGGCTAACAGGGTGAAACCCCGTCTCTACTAAAAATACAAAAAAAAAAAGGAAAAAATTAGCCGGGCGTGGTGGTGGGTGCCTGTAGTCCCAGCTACTCGGGAGGCTGAGGCAGGAGAATGGCGTGAACCCAGGAGGCGAGGCTTGCAGTGAGCCCAGACTGCGCCACTGCACTCCAGGCTGGGCGACAGACCGAGACCCCGTCTCAAAAAAAAAAAAAAAAAATTCACCAATAGTCCCAATAATGTTTCATAGCAAAAGGATCAAGTTCAGAATCATGCATTGCCTTTCATTGTCATGTCTTTTTAATGTCCTTGTATCAAGAATAGATCTTTAGACCTAACTTAACCAAGATTTCTGGCCCATATTTTCTTCTTTTTTTCCTTTGCTTTGCTTCTCCTTCCTTTTCTCCTTTCCTTTCTCCTTCGCTTTCCCCTTCCTTTTTCTCTTCCCTCTCCCCTTCCCTTCCCCCTCCCCTTCCTTCTCTCCTCTTTCCCTTACTTTTTCCTTTTCCCTTCCTTCTTTTTTGAATGGCTCCCTTTAGGTTTTCTGAGGTTTCCTTGTGACTAGAGTCAGGCAATGCATTTTGGCAAGAATATCACAGAATTGATGCTGCGTTTTTTTCATTGCATCCTATCAGGTGGTACATGATTCCAGTTTGTCTCATTACTGACAATGTTTATTTTGACAGGTTGATAATGGTGGTATATAGTAGGCTTCTATCTTGTTATTCTCTGTTTCTAGATTCTGTTACTTTATTTTATGTTGTTTTTCCTAAAGGGTAATAGGAATTTTCTCTGTTTCTTTATTTTGTTTTTGTTTATTTCCCTATTTTTATTCCTTACTATACTTTTAGCACATAGTACCTAGTGCAAAATACTAATATATGTTGAACACCAACAGTTGTTGAACAAATGTCTGAAACTGACTCTGTCCTGCTACCACAAAAACATATATATATATATTTTTTTCCTATAGGGATACCATCAACTCTACATAGTTGTCTAAGCCAAGACCTCCTGCTAGGACTGATTAAAGCCTGTGCATCCTCATTATCCAGAGCCTGTGTTGCTCCTCTAGAGCTATAGTCAGGCTAACCATTCCTTCTGGTTAATATCTGAAAGGAAGAATCATGCAGCAAGAAGAGAACTGTGAGGGAATAAAAATGGCACAAACCCAGCCTGGATTTCTCTCTCCCCTTTTAATGATGAATGAATGAAAAAAATTCATCATTAGCTGTAGTTAGTTTCTATTACATAAAAAGGAAGCTGATGAAATATATAACTGAGTTATATACCCACATCCAATTGGTTCTGTTTCTCTGGAGAACTCTATTAAAGAAGTTATTGAGTATTGTTTACATGTACACTGACAAATATGTCTAAAGGTTATGTCTGAACACCTATAAATTTATATCAATGATTCTATATAGTTCATTCTTATTACACTTGATTCTAATTCTTATGAAGTTGATGTTTGGTAGAATGAATGATAAAAGGAGATTCTGTCCCCTATTGAAGTGTTTGTGTAGTTACACGCCAGAGTTTTGGAGATTGAGGAAAAGGTTGAGCTTAAATAATTTTATGGGCAAACTCAATGCTTGAATGTAAGATAGTACTTTGAAAGATTTGGAGGATTTCATAATGACTTTTACTTTTGCTAATTATTGATACAGTCACTTGTAAATAAGTTTACTTAGGTAAGCTCAAGGAAATCATGCTTTTTCTCAGGCTTATTTTAAATCTGAATATTTTTACTGTCTTTGCTTTTACAAGAAAATATTCATCATTGTATTTTTTGTCTTAATTTTCAAAGTCAAATGTTAATTGTTTTTGTGGGATTACTTTGGCAAATATGGGAGATCCCCAAACAAATTTTAAAAAGTTTTTTCGGCCGGGCGCTGTGGCTCACGCCTGCAATCCCAGCACTTTGGGAGGCTGAGGCGGGCGGATCACGAGGTCAGGAGGTCAAGACCATCCTGGTTAACACAGTGAAACCACGTCTCTACTAAAAATACAAAAAAATTAGCCGGACGTGGTGGCGGGCGCCTGTAGTCCCAGCTACTCTGGAGGCTGAGGCAGGAGAACGGCGTGAACCCGGGAGGCAGAGCTTGCAGTGAGCTGAGATCGTGCCACTGCACTCCAGCCTGGGCGACAGAGCGAGATTCTGTCTCAAAAAAAAAAAAAAAAAAAAAAAAAAAAAAGTTGTTTCTGTTCTCCTTTGTTTTCTACTTTCTCTTAAATAGAAATATATTTCTTGTACAAATAAATGCCATGAATTAAAAAAATAATAAATTATGATTTTCCTTCGTGAGGATCAGTTCTCCTAGACATTGGTTTAGCTAATGCCAGCTATTTGGTATAAAAATCTGTATCAGTGGAGAGGTAAAAAAGAGCTAAAGGAAGCATAAGAAAGACAACCGCATCTTTAAGAAGTTCCTCTTTTTCTTTTCTTTTTTTTTTTTTTTTTTTGAGACGGAGTCTTGCTTTGTTCCCCATTGTTCCCCAGGCTGGAGTGCAGCGGCGCGATTTCTGCTCAGTGCAAACTCCGCCTCCCGGGTTCACGCCATTCTCCTGCCTCAGCCTCCCGTGCAGCTGGGACTACAAGTGCCCGCTGCGGCGCCCAGCTAATTTTTTGTATCTTTAGTAGAGACGGGGTTTCACTGTGTTAACCAGGATGGTCTCGATCTCCTGACCTCGTGATCCACCCGCCTCGGCCTCCCAAAGTGCTGGGATTACAGGCGTGAGCCACAGCACCCGGCCAAGAAGGTTCTCTTAAAAGGAATCACTTCTTGTTTTCTTACAAGTTATAACCTCACTACCCTAGAGTCACATTTTTTAATAACTTATGAATTTTCTGAAACTTCAAATACCCTATGGCCCCATGGTAAAACATCAGATGACATTTGCCTCTCATTTAAACCATTTTTCTTTTCCTCTTTCTTCTTTATTTTTCTTATACTCTCTCCTCATTTCTTTTTCTCTCTTCCTATTTCTCTTTTTCTCTCTGCTTCTTCCTACCTCCCCTCGTGACTTTGTCTCCTCATCCCATCACCGTGCTACTTAGATGCCACATCAATTTGACTAGCCTCAAATTTACAATGAATACTTTTTAAATTCATGCTTCTGAAACTTTTAAAGGATGAAGAGGTATAAATGTCTCAAATAATAATTTGCTTGATGGCTGAAATGAATGGCATTTCTCAAAAAGGCCAAGGGACTGAATACAGAAATTTAAACAATAACTTTCCGTTAGTGATACGGTTTGGATGTTTTGTCCCCTCCAAATCTCATGTTGAAATGCGACCTCCAGTGTTGGAGGTGGGCCTAGTAATAGGTGTTTGTTTCCCAAGGGTGGATCCCCATGAATGGTTTTGTGCTGTCCTCCTGGTAATGAGTGAGTTCTTGCTCTATGAATTCACGAGAGATCTTGTTGTTTAAAAGAGCCTGGCATCTCCCTTGCTCCCTCTCTCCCCATGTAATATGCCAGCTCCCCCTTTGCCTTAAGCCATGATTGTCAGCTTCCCGGGCCTCAGCAGAAGCTGAGCAGATACTGGTGGCCTGTTTGTACAGCCTGCAGACCATCAGCCCAAATACTCCTCTTTTCTTTATAAATTACCCAGTCTCAGGTATTCCTTTATAGCATTGAGATGGACTAACATAGTCAGTTTTGACAACATGAACCTTTCATATTAAAATTTAATTTCTAAATTCACTCATTTACTGTGATTGGTTGATAGCTTTTCTGTAATAATGAATTTTACGTGTGACTTTCAATGTGCTTTAAAACTTGATTCACTTTTTAGCTCTATTTTTGGAAACTACCAGCTTCCACTGTTGAGGCAAAAGTGTCATCATTGAGGCTCTCCTGCTGAGGTAGCTGTTGTCTGATTTCCCTTCAGTTCTACTGCTGTCCCAGTGGAAAAAGGGAATCTTCACCACTTACATGACATGTTTGCCTGAACTCTAATCTTCCACACTTGCTGTAGAAAAGAGTAAAGTGGCAGTTCAGGGCAGTTTACCAATTTAGAAACGGTGTCCGCTCAGTATTTTCCTCTGTGTCACTTACTAAAACATATAAAGAAACCATGGACATTAAAAGAAAGAGAGAGGTTTAATGTGATATTTTAATTCTAACAAGGATTTATGGGCACGTGAATGCTCAAAATCACATACCCCCTTAGTGTTTTTCATCTCACACATATCACATCAGACACATATCACACACATCAGGCACATATCACACAGAACTTACCGTAATTAAATTATCAGTTTTTGAAAAATATTATCATTTGCTCTCTTTTTTTCTATATAAATAAATTTTTTTAAAATATGATTTTCAGTTCTGGGATACATGCACGGAACATGCAGGTTTGTTATATAGGTATACATGTGCCATATAGGTGGTTTCTTATTTGTGTTTTCATCTTATGGCTTTGGCTAGAACTAGATAATAAAAGTATGCATCAATTTAAGAGTTATTTTTAATCATGGTAAGGACATATCTATAACTACTTTGTTAAATTTCATCAGTCATGCATGTTAAATATCATTAAATAAATATCAAAAATGGGCTGCTGTACCAGAATACCATAGACTTGGTGGCTTATAAACAACAGAAAGGAATTTCTCACAGTTCTGGGGTCTGGGAAATCTAAGACCAAGGTACTAGCCAATCTGGTGTCTGGGAAAAACTTTTGTTCTAGTTCAAAGAAGGCTGCCCTTTCTCTATAACCTCAGTGGGGAAGGAGCAAGGGAGTTCAGGGGGCTGCTTTAGAAGGGTGCTAAACCCATTAATGAGGGCTGCTCTCTCATGACTTAATTAGTTCCCAAAAGCCCCACCTTCAAAAACCCTCACATTGGCGGTTAGCATTTCAACATATGAATTTGAGAGGGATGTAAACATTTAGTCTGTAGCAGTAAATGTACAATATAAAGTAAATAGCTTTATTGTTGTGTTGCATTATATTAATATATATTTTCTAGTATTAAATCTTTGTATGCCAAATCACTGGGGTGGGTGATTTCTTAGTAAGTGTAGAATTCAGTTCCTTTTTCTTTCAGTTAAGAATATTTTAACTATGTTTATAAGGGATACTGTTTAGTAATTTTATTCTTTTTGTATTCACTTCATCAAGAGTTAGTAATAGTTATATTTGCTTTGTAAAATGAACTGAAAGGAAGCCACTTTTTATAACTTTATCCATATTTCCTAGTTTGGGGTCCATTTTACAAGATGTTTTAAACAGATGCTTATTAAAAACACTGGTTATAGGGACTTTAATAAAAATTTTTAAAATAATGTTTTACATTTCTTGCAAAAATTGATGCCTGCAACCTATTTACTATTTTTAAAATTAAATTAAGATTCATTTAAGCAGTACATGTTTATTTTAGTGAAACACGTATTTAATTTTCTAAGATAGTATTTTTTGTCTTTAAAACAATTTCTGCATGTTTTGTTTTTTTTTCACTTTAAATTTTATGTTTTCTCAGTTTTTGTTTTATCACATTTGCTATATTTTTCTGTATCATGGGTTATTTGTTAAAGAATGAACTTGTGTATGTTTATAAATTGTTACTGTTTTTGTTTATAATTTATTGCCTTCTAACTTAATATGTAATTAGCATTCCTTTTAATTTTGCTTGTATGCTTTGCTGTACCATTTTGAAATTCTTGAGTTAAATGCTTAACTAGTTTTTATCAAGTTTAAATATTAAATTAAATATGTCCCATCAGTTTAGTCATTTTAATATTCTCACTCATCAGACATTTTTTGGGAACACCATATGCCTTTTCATGCAGTCAGTTTCAAGAAAATGAAAATTACTTTTTATATGTTTATACTCAAAGCTTGGCTAGAGATAAGTCTCCCCTTCCTTAAGTTGGGGAGAAAGTGATTTCTTCCAGGCTATAGTCAAAAGAGATACAATTATAGTAACTTTTTGTGTTTGTTTGGGTTGTTTCTGTTTGTTTGTTTGTTTGTTTGTTTGAGACGGAGGTTGGATCTTGTTGCCCAGGCTGGAGTGTAGTGGCATAATCTCAGCTCACTGCAACCTCCGCCTCCTGGGTTCAAGCAATTCTAAACATATTTTAGCACAAAACTGTTTAAGATTTCAATTTATATCTTTTTATTATGTTCCATATACTCTTTTGATACATTACCCATTATGTTGATTATTAACGTACACTCAAGTCAAGATCTTTTATTATGTGAGGTCATCAGTCAATGATAACAGATATTGATGAATTAGTCTCCTCATCAGAAATTGAGCAACATTTTCATTCAAGACGACACATGGGCCTTTAAAGCATATTCAATAATACTGAGTCTCAGTGTTCTCCTGCTATTTTCTGAATGTGCATTTAGACCTTTATACATCTATCTATCTACTGACCCATTTATTAAATTTTCAGCATTTACTTTGTACTCCAAGGACCAGAACCATGTTTGTCTTGTTCACTGCTGTACTCCTATTGCAAGGACCTAGAACATAGTAGGAGCTCATTAAACCCTGAGGATTCAAAATAAGTGAATAGAGGTTGTAGCAGGAAGAAGTCTAAGATAGCCCCTATGACCTTCATTTCCTCATGTTACCCTGTTGATACCTCACACGGCAAAGGAGTCTTGCACATGTCACTAAGGCTAATAATCCGTCAGCCTTAAGACGGGGGGAGTATCTGGGTAAACCTAACCTAATCACACCAAAACTTCACAATCAGGGAGTTTTCTACAACTGAGAGTAGAATGGGAAGTCAGAGAGTTTCAGAGTCCAAGAAGCATTTATAGCACCCTTATTGACTTTGAAGATGCTTTGCTTCTTCTTTTGAGTTCAGTTTGAGATTATCTTTCTAATAATTGATTAGATTTTATTCTTGTAAAAAAAGAGATAATTTAAAGGAATCTATTTTTAAATACTCTGAGGAGGGTGATACTAGGGGTGCTGGTTGTCCTGTTTTAACTTTGTCTTAATTTCTAATGTAATTAAATTTTGAGTAGGTAATGTGACCTGTGTGGTTTTTATTTTAAAAAATATATTGAGGTTTTATATAATCTATTTTTAAAATTTTCAATGGAAACTTGAAAAAATACTGTTTCACATATTCTCGTATATATATATTAAAAATCTTTTTTTATTTATTTTTTATTTTTATTTTTTTTTGAGACGGAGTCTCGCTCTGTCGCCCAGGCTGGAGTGCAGTGGCGCCATCTGGGCTCACTGCAAGCTCCGCCTCCTGGGTTCACGCCATTCTCCTGCCTCAGCTTCCCGAGTAGCTGGGACTGCAGGCACCCACCACCACGCCCAGCTAATTTTTTGTATTTTTAGTGGAGACAGAGTTTCACCGTGTTAGCCAGGATGGTCTCGATTTCCTGACCTCGTGATCCGCCCGCCTCAGCCTCCCAAAGTGCTGGGATTACAGGCGTGAGCCACTTAGCCCGGCCTAATTATTTGTTTTTTAAAAGACGGTACATAGGAAGAAGTAAATCAGGAAAAGTGGATAGTGATTGGTGGCAGTAGAAGTGAGTCAGTGTTACAGTTACTATTGCTGCTTAAGAAACTAACCCAAATGGCCTGGGCGCCGTGGCTCACGCCTGTAATCCCAGCAGTTTGGGAGGCTGAGACGGGCGGATCATGAGTTCAGGAGATCGAGACCATCCTGCCTAATACGGTGAAACTCTGTCTCTACTAAAAATACAAAAGTTAGCCTGGCCTGGTGGTGGTGGGCGCCTTAAGTCCCAGCTACTCGGGAGGCTGAGGCAGGAGAATGGCGTGAACCCGGGAGGCGGAGCTTGCTGTGAGCCGAGATCGCGCCACTGCAGTCCAGCCTGGGCGACAGAGGGAGACTCCGTCTCAAAAAAAAAAAAATTTAAAAAAAGAAAAAGAAAAAAGAAACTACCCTAAATTTAATAAGGTAAAACAACGACCACTTCATTATATCTCATGGATCCTATAGGTGAGAAATTCCAGCAGGATTCATCTGAGTGATTCTTCCTCTCTCACATCATTAACTAGGGTGACTCAGTGCTAGTCGGCTGGCAAACAAGTCAGTCTGGAAGGTGCAAGGTGCTTTTTTTCTGTCTTATAAATTGATGGAGTTGTCTGGAAGGCAAGGCTCAGATGGGAAGGACTCTTAGTTATAGTGCCTGCACAGGGTAAACTTTTTTTTTTTTCTTTTTTTTTTGAGACGGAGTCTCACTGTCCCCCAGGCTGGAGTGGTGTGACCCGATCTCGGCTAACTGCAAACTCCGCCTCCCGGGTTCACGCCATTCTCCTGCCTCAGCCTCCCGAGTAGCTGGGACTACAGGCGCCCACCACCAGGCCCGGCTAATTTTTTGTATTTTTAGTAGAGACTGGGTTTCACCGTGTTAGCCAGGATGGTCTCGATCTCCTGACCTCGTGATCCACCCGCCTTGGCCTCCCAAAGTGCTGGGATTACAGGCCTGAGCCACCGCGCCCGGCCTGCACAGGGTAAACTTCTTATATGGCTGCTGGCTTTCCGCAGATCAAACACTCCAAGGGAACCAGGTGGAAAATGCCTGGTCTCTTTTTATCTCACTTTAAAGGTCAGGTAGAATTATTTGTCATACTCTATTGATTGTAGCAGTCACAAGCACGTCCAGATTTAGGGAAGGGAGACATAGACCTATTTTTTGATGAGAAGAATATCAACCTGTTTTTGGACTATGTTTAAAACTGCCACACATGACAATTACACACCAGGTAGAAGGCATTTGGGGACAGACTTGAAGGAAATGAGGAGGAATCGTGCTCTGCTGAAACAAGAGCATTCCAAAGAGAGACCACAGCTTGGGCAAAAGCCCTGAGTCGGAATCATGTGGACTTATTCTTAGAACAGCATCGAGGAAGCCATTATAGCTGGAGTAGAATGAGAAGGGGGAAGAGTATTAGTAGATGGTGGCAGAGAAATAAACATGAGAAGACGGATGATGGAACGAGCACCTTGTACGTCATTTTAAGGACTTTGGCTGTTCCTCAAACTGACATGGGACCATTGAAAGATTTTTTTATTTTTTATTTTTTAAATTTAACTTTTAAGTTCAGTGGTACACGTGCAGGTTTGTTATGTAGGTAAAGTTGTGTCATGGGGGTTTGTTGTACGGATTATTCTGTTACCCACATGGTAAACCTGCTACCCACTAGTTGTTTTTCCTGATCCTCTCCCTCCTCCCAGCTTTCACCCTCCTTTTCAAAATAAGACATACGTGCAGCCAACAAACGTAGAAAAAAAGCTCAGCATCACTGATCATTAAAGAAATGCACATCAGAAGTACAATGAGATACTATCTCACACCATTCAGAATGGTTATTATTAAAAAGCTAAAAAATAACATGCTGGCAATATTGTGGAGAAAAGGCAACATTTCTACACTGTTGGTGGGAGTGTAAATTAGTTCAGCCATTGTGGAAGACAGTGTGGTGATTCCTCAAACACCTAAAAGAACTACCATTCGACCCGGCAATCCTATTACTGGGTATACACCCAAAGGAATATAAATTGTTCTGTCATAAAGACACATGCATGCATATGTTTATTGCAGCGCTATTCACAGTAGCAAAGGCATGGAATCAACATAAATGCCCATCAATGGTAGACTGGATAAAGAAAATGTGGTATATATACACCATGGCATATTATGCCACCATAAAAGATGAGATCACGCCCTTTGTAGGAACATGGATGGAGCTGGAAGCCATTATCCTTAGCCAACTAATGCAGGAACAGAAAACCAAATGTTCCCACTTAGAAGCGAGAGTCAAAGGGGAGAATACATGAACACGTAGAGGGGAACAACATTGAAAGATATAAGCAAAGAAGTGATATCATCTGAATTGCATTTCTGAGATTTCTCTGGCACTTGTGTAAAAAATAGCTGAAAGGAATCAACGGCAGAAGCTGGGAGACCAGTTAGGGAGCTTTTGCAATAACCATAAGAGGAAATATGTGTGGCTTAGACTAGGAATCGTCAGGTTGGGAGTGCTCATATTCAAATGTGGTCAGAATCCGGACATTTTGAGTGAGCCTACAGAAAGCTTTAATACTATCTCAAACTAAAGGATATAGAAGGTTTTCCCTTTCTCTTGCCCTGAAACCTTCTGTATCCTTTATTTTGAGATAGTATTAGAATTCTTACTATCTTACTGACAATTCTCACTATCTTGTTTTATAACTTGGAACATGATTATAATTATAGTATTGTTAAATATTTTATTTTTATTTTATAATTATACTTTAAAAATATTATTTTGGTAAATAATCATAAAATATGAAAAATAAATCTTTCCATTAACTGAATCAATTGTCCCCTTGCAGGATTTTGGCTTCACAACTTCCTAATCCTTGAAATATTAATTTTGATTATTTTTCTAATATGTACCCATATGTCTTTGAGTAAATTTTTATTGGAAGGACAAATCAGTGCTGGATATACAGATGCCATTGCTTCGTACTCAGGTAAAGACAACCTGATATTTATGATCCTCTTGATCATATTTTTATTCTCTTAAAATCTTTATGTCTTCTAATAATGTTAACAGAGAAGAAAAAAAGTCTTATCTAAGCCTGACTTTTTATTTTTAAGGAAGTTTTTTTCTTTATTTGTAAAATTCAGGAGTTTGGCTAGTTGTTATTTAAATATGGAGAACTCTTCCTTGTTTCTTCCCCCTCCCTGCCTAGAAGCTGGTTGGTGCTTTTATTATTCGTACTTCAGTGATAGCTTTGATTATTGTTTCAGATCTCCTTGCCCTTGTGTCTTTCCCCAGTACACAAACTATTCTCGAGGTGGAACCTGTGGTCTCTGGCATACCCATCCGCCTTCTTCTCTGTCATTAGTTCATCTCTTCTTTTGCCCTCCAGAGCTCTGATTCAATTGCTGCTTGAACTTTTCAGTGTGTCAGTTTCTTTCTCCACGGATTTCCCTGTGGATGGAAAATCTGCCCTTGCACTTTAGTTTTCATAGAAGCCTCATCTCAGCTATCTCCCATTTTGTGATATGAGCCTCTTTTGTTATTGTAGCCTTCATCTCCTATTTCCTAAATTCCATGTGTTTCTACATACTGTTCATAGACAAATAGTTTAAAGCAATGTTCTATAGTTTCTTGTGGTTTGAAAGTCATATATTTTTAAATACGTTTTCTCCCCCTGAGAATTCAGCATACAGTTTCATTTTTCTTGTACGCAGGATGATTTTTAAGATTTTTTTTCTGTTATTTTTTTCCATTCTGGTTACCTAGAAGGTAGTGATTATTACCCCAAACCAGGGTTTGATACTGTGTTAGTCCACTTTCATACTGCTATGAAGAAATACCTGAGACTGGGTAATTTATAAAGAAAAAAAGGTTTAATGGACTCAGTTCCACGTGGCTGGGGAAGCCTCACAATCATGGCAGAAGGCAAAGGAGGAGCAAAGACATGTCTTACATGGTGGCAGGCAAGAGAGAGAGCATGTGCAGGGGAACTCCCCTTTATAAAACCATCAGAACTTGTGAGACTTATTCGGTTTCACAAGAACAACACAGGGAGAAACCCATCCCCATGATTCAGTTACCTCCCACTGGGTCCCTTTCATGACATATGGGGATTATGGGAGCTACAATTCAAGATGAGATTTGGGTAGGGACATAGCCAAACCATATCATTCTTCCCCTGGCGCCTCCTGAATCTCATGTTCTCACATTTCAAAATCAATCATGCCTTCCCAACAGTCCCCCAAAGTTTTAACTCGTTTCAACATTAACTGAAAAGTCCACAGTCCAAGGTCTCATCTGAGACAAGTCCCTTCCACCTATGAGCCTGTAAAACTAAAAGCAAGTTAGTTACTTCCTACATACAATGGGGGTACAGGCATTGGGTACCCCCAGTGTATTTACACCTGTTCCAAATGGGAGACATTGGTCAAAACAAAGGGGCTACAGGTTCCATGCAAGTCTGAAATCCAATAGGGCAGTCATTAAACGTTAAAGTTCCAAAATGATCTCCTTTGACTCCGTGTCTCACATGCAGGTCACACTGACGCAAGTGGTGGTCTCCCATGGCCTTGGGCAGCTCTGCCTCTGTGGCTTTGCAGGGTACAGCCTCCCTCCTGGCTGCTTTCACTGGCTGGCATTGTCTGTGGCTTTTCCAGGTACACAGTGTAAACTGTTTGTGGATCTACCAATTGGGGGTTTGGAGGGCAGCGGCCCTCTTCTCATAGCTCCACTAGGCATTGCCCCAGTAGGGACTCTGTATGGGAGACAGAGCCCACATTTCAATTCTCTACTACCCTGGAAGAGGTTCTTCATGAGCCCCTGCTCCTGCCCCCGCACCCCACCAGAGCAAACTTCTGCCTGAACATCCAAGTGTTTCCATACATTCTCTGAAATCTAGGTGGAGGGTCCCAAACCTCAATTCTTGACTTCTGTGCGCCTGCAGGCTCAACATCTTGTGGAAGCTGCCAAGGCTTGGGGCTGCAACCTCTGAAGACATGGCCTGAGCTGTAGCCTGGTGTCTCCCACCCCAGCCATGGCTGGAGTGGCTGGAATGCCGGGCACCAAGTCTCTAGGCTGCACACAGCAGGGGGACCTGGACCTGCTCCAGGAAATCATTTTTCCATACTAGGCTTTTGAGCCTGTGATGGAAAGAGCTGCCGTGAAGGTGTTAAGGTCTTTAATGTTCTGGAGACATTTTCCCCATTGTCTTGGTGATTACATTTGGCTCCTTGTTACTTATGCAAATTTCTGCAGGAGGCTTTAATGAAAGTCGGTTTTTCTTTTCTTTTCTTTTCTTTTTTTTTTTTTTGGATTGGGAGTCTCACTCTCTTGCCCAGGCTGGAGTGCAGTGCCGCAATCTGGGCTCACTGCAAGCTCCGCCTCCCAGGTTCACGCCATTCCTCAGCCTCCCAAGTAGCTGGGACTACAGGTGCCCGCCACCACGCCTGGCTAATTTTTTTGTATTTTTTTAGTAGAGACACGGTTTCACCGTGTTAGCCAGGATGGTCTGGATTTGCTGACCTCGTGATCCGCCCGCCTCAGCCTCTCAACGTGCTGGGACTACAGGCGTGAGCCCCTGCGCCCGGCCAAAAATCTTATACATTATAATGCTCAAATTTTATCCTTTAATAAGTCATAACGGAGAAACATGCTAATGATTTCACAATTAAATGTGACGTTCATTTAGTGTTTTGCTTTGTAATATTAAATATTTTATTGTTTTCCATGTGATACCTTTTCCTTTAAAATTCTACTTTATGTGAAATCGATGATGTTATAAATAGTCTTTGATTTTTACTTTATTAATCTTTGTACATTTTAATATCGTTAAACTTACAGGAACAGTTTGTACACTTCATGGAAATAGAGTAGAGTAATAGAGTTTGATTATTTGTTTTGTTTTCAGCTGAGGGTTTTTTTTTTTTTGGTAATTTCAGTCTTAGAGTCTTTCTTTTCAGCAGTTAGTGGTATAATTCATATTTGTTTCTCATAGCTGATTTTTTGTTTTAACTTTTGTGAACTTGCTTATAGTTTCTTTACAACTATTAGGCCGGTGCAAAAGTTATTGAAGTTTTCACTAATTATTATTATTATTATTATTTTGAGGCAGACTCTCCCTCTGTCGCCCAGGCTGGAGTGCAGTGGCGCGATCTCAGCTCACTGCAAGCTCCGCCTCCCGGGTTCACGCCATTTTCTTGCCTCAGCCTCCCGAGTAGCTGGGACTGCAGGCCCCGGTCACCACGCCTGGCTAATTTTTTGTATTTTTAGCGGAGACGGGGTTTCACCATATTAGCTAGGATGGTCTCGATCTCCTGACCTCGTGATCCGCCCACCTCAGCCTCCCAAAGTGCTGGGATTACAGGCGTGAGCCACTGCACCCGGCCTAATTATTTGTTTTTTAAAAGATGGTACATACGAGGAAGTAAATCAGGAAAGGAGGATAGTGATTGGTGGCAGTAGAAGTGAGTCAGTGTTACAGTTACTATTGCTGCTTAAGAAACTACCCCAAATGGCCCGGGCGCCGTGGCTCACGCCTGTAATCCCAGCAGTTTGGGAGGCTGAGACGGGCGGATCACGAGTTCAGGAGATCGAGACCATCCTGCCTAACACGGTGAAACCCCGTCTCTACTAAAAATACAAAAGTTAGCCTGGCGTGGTGGTGGGTGACTGTAGTCCCAGCTACTCGGGAGGCTGAGGCAGGAGAATGGTGTGAACCCGGGAGGCGGAGCTTGCAGTGAGCCGAGATTGCGCCACTGCACTCCAGCTTGGGCCACAGAGTGAGACTCCGTCTCAAAAAAAAAAAAGAAAAAAGAAAAAAAAAAAAGAAAAAAGAAACTACCCCAAATTTAATAAGGTAAAACAACGACCACTTCATTGTATCTCATGGATCCTATAGGTGAGAAATTCCAGCAGGATTCGTCTGAGTGATTCTTCCTCTCTCATATCATTAACTAGGGTGACTCAGTGCTATGCGGCTGGCAAACAAGTCAGTCTGGAAGGTGCAAGGTGCTTTTTTTCTGTCTTATGTATTGGTGGGGTTGTCTGGAAGGCAAGGCTCAGATGGGAGGGACTCGTAGTTATAGTGCCTGCATAGGGTGAACTTCTTTTTTTTTTTTTTTTAGACGGAGTCTCACTGTCCCCCAGGCTGGAGTGGTGTGGCCCGATCTCGGCTCACTGCAAGCTCCGCCTCCCGGGTTCACGCCATTCTCCTGCCTCAGCCTCCCAAGTAGCTGGGACTATAGGCGCCCACCACCAGGCCCGGCTAATTTTTTGTATTTTTAGTAGAGACGGGGTTTCACCGTGTTAGCCAGGATGGTCTCGATCTCCTGACCTCGTGATCCGCCCTCCTCGGCCTCCCAAAGTACTGGGATTACAGGCCTGAGCCACCGCGCCCGGCCTGTGCTCACCCATATTTCTGTTTGCTGTGTGGTGCAGTGCGACCACACGGTTCTTCAGACACAACCTCTGCTTTCTCATTTACCTCAACACTTTAACCCTTAGATTCTTTTTTACTATACTTCAGTGTATTTCCCAGGCATATATTGTCTATGAGGGATAAAATAAAATATCAATTAAAAACAAAAAAATTCAGAGAAATATTAACCATTCACTCTTCTAAGTTCTCAAAGGTTACATTCTTCACCAAATCATATAACCAGGTCCCAATAAAATACCATCATGCAGGGAATTTAACATCATGTAGTTTAAAATACCATCATGCGGGCAGCTTTCAACTAAGCATCCTGTAAGAAAAGATCATTTGTTCTTACATCTTTAAAAGTTTGGAAATTGCTATGGAAGATTATTTTTATTATATTGTCCATTGTCTGTTGCTTGAAGACATATATTTTGCTTGAGTTTAGAGTTACCAAAAAATAGTTGCTGATATATCCAGATACTATTTTATTAACTAACAATACCTATTTGAATTCTGGTTTTCCTTTTGGCCTTTAAGAACAAGGGGCTTAGGACTAAATTTTAGGCTGAAGGGTAGTGTTTCCTTCCCTAGGTTGTCCCATGTAATTGTCACCTCTTTCTCTTCATTATTCTGTCATTTTGCCCTTGTTTTATAGTGTCTGTGCCTTTCATTCTAAGCTGTCTCAGGGGCTTTTCTGGAAATACACAGTGTATAAGTACAAAATGATGAAATAAACATGCTTCTTTTTTTTTTTTTTTTTAAGACGGAGTCTCACTCTATTGCCCAGACTGGAGTGCAGTGGCACGATCTCGGCTCACTGCAAGCTCTGCCTCCTGGGTTCACTCCATTCTCCGGCCTCAGCCTCGCGAGTAGCTGGGACTACAGGCACCTGCCACCATGTCCGGCTAATTTTTTGTATTTTTAGTAGAGACGGGGTTTCACCATGTTAGGCAGGATGGTCTCGATCTCCTGACCTTGTGATCTGCCCGCCTTGGCCTCCCAAAGTGCTGGGATTACAGGCGTGAGCCACCGCATCAGGCCAACACACTTCTTTATTTTGTTTTCAAAGATGCTTGGGTGGGACTAGATGACCTCTAAGGTCCTTTCCAGCTCTAAATTTACGTTACTTTCACCAAAGACAGACAAAAAAAAAATCTGTTAGGTTATAGGTCTAGAGATGAGTGCCAAGTACTATATTCCTGCTCTAGGTGCATTTCTTGTTGAAGGCAGTGCTAGATTCAGTGACCTGTTACGGCCGTTTACAGTCTTATGGTGATAAAACAAGAGAACTGATTGCTAAAAAAAAAAAAAAAAAATTCAGTTGAAATATCTTTTTACTCTTAAGCATCAACAAAAAATAAATAGAAAACAGAAGAGTTGAGTTATTTAGTTTGAGCTATTTGTAATAAATTTGGACAACTAAGCTAAGCCCGAGTGTAGTTAATTCAATGAAATTAGTCATATTTGAATATTGTCACAACCTTACTACCACATTAGCATTAAGTGTGATTAAAATTTATTCTTTGTTTCTGTGTGAGTCTCCACAGAATCAGCTATCAACACCTTCATAATAAACTAGCCCTTCATTGCTTTCAGGAAACTTTTAGATTCAGAGCAGGTGGTTGGGCTTCTGCTTTAAAAGAGAACACATCATTTTTAAAGTCCCTTTCCTGTTTGTGTGTGTGAATTTAGAACACAGAAATTATCCATTGCATTGTTTATTTTTGCTAGGAGGTAGAAGTTCTTAAAAATATAGGAAATACTAGATATCATGTACTGATAATTTCCAAAGCTAATTATTTTTCTTAAGTCCAAGCTATAATTTAAGAGGTGTACTTGTGAAATATGAATATTGTTTTAGAGTAATAAAATGTTTCTCATGGAAAAATAGAATATGATTTTGTCGAAGTTCAAGGGAATATCCATTTTCATTCAGGTAGCTTCCAGATTTTTGTCTTTACATGTTCTGTGTAGTGATTTAAATACCGTACCTCCAAAATTTATGTCCATTAGGAACTTTAGAATGTGATTTTATTTGGAAGTAGGGTCTTTGCAGATATAATTAACCCAGTGATTGAGATGAGGTCATCCTGGGTGAAGGTGGGCCCTAAATCCAGTGTAAATGTCCTTATAACATACAGGAAAAGACACACACAAGGTCATGTGAAGATGGAGACAGAAATTGGAGTTATGCAGTCATAAATCAAAGAAGGTCAAGGATTGCCAGGAGCCACTGGAAGCCAGGAAGAAGCGAGGGAGAATTCTTCCCTAGGGTCTTCAGGGGGAGTGTGGCCCCGCCAACATCTTGATTTCAGAGGTCCAGGCTTCAGAACTATGAGAGAATATATTTCTGTCCTCTTAACCCACCAAGTGTGTGATAATTAGGTATGATGGCCCTAGGCAACTACTACACTCTAATTCAGAAGTTCTTCTGGATTTTATTGTATCATGTGTTGGTAGGAAGTACCTGGCTGTTTCAGTTGCATGATATGTGGGTAATCTTAGAATTATCATATCTTGCAAGTAATTTTAAAGTATGTTGTAATGTAGTCTGAAGCTTTTTAAATATGAAATTTAATTCATGCTGGTGTCAATTACATTTGAAAAAATACAAAAAAGCTATATAAGATTCTAGGATCTTTCAGAATTTTATAATGTTTATAATGGACAGTTGGTTAAATAAAAATTGTACCCTAAACAATTTTGTTGTTGGCTTAAAATAGCATTTAATTTATTAGTGCTCAGATAATAGTTATCCCCTAAATAGCATTTTTACTTTCATATGTTGATATCAAACAGTGAAGTGAGACAGCAAATCAGTACAACGTGGTGATTATCAAACATCATAAATCCATGAAGGATAGCCTTGATCTTACTGAGAAGAGTTTAATTTTAAAATGCATACCTGGAAAAGGCAACTTAGATTAACATTTCAAACTCACATAGCATTATTTGTGATTGATTATAGTTATAATTGATCATTTTACTTTTGGACCGTCACTTCGAATCAAATTGGGATAAATATAAATTAAAGATTGATTATTTGCTTTGAATTTTAGATTAAAAAATTCAAAAACCATAAAAACAGAGCTTTGACTATAATAAAGGTATTTATCCTTTCTTGGTAAGAATTGGGGAGGGGTTTAAGAAAAGGCTAAGCAATGTTCTATTTTTTACGTAGGCAAAAGTTCATTTGTGCTACTTTTTAATTAGGTAGTTTGTTGTTTTTTAAATGACAGCTTCCTAAACACTACTGATTTTACATGTGCAGTCATTAGCTTTTCATGTGGAAATAGTATCTTTCAAATTCACGCAGCTGCTTATTTTATGAAATGCAATGAGACTACTTACTTGCCACCTGTCTAAACTGGAATGCATAGATTCATGCCTTGCCAAATGAGGAGTTAGGGTGAAAAGTGATTAACGTCCATTCTTTAATGAGTTTCTAAGTCTTTCTGAACATGTTTTTATTCTATCTATTGCAGTGGTATAGTAACATTTTCGTGTTGGTTGCTGTACAAAGCATGATAATACCTTTATTAAAGCAATGTTAATGACATCCATAAGATATCATAAAATATTATATTCTCAATAGGAAATTTGTTATATATAAATAACAATAAAGATCGTAATAAGCTCTCCTTAATTCTGTTTATTTTGACTTCATTATTAAGTTTGGAAACATAGGTGTCAAATTTAGACATTATTTATATGTAATTATAAAGCCAAATAAATGTTAGAGATTAACTTAAAAAGAGTTTTGTGGCTTAACAATTGAAGTGAGATAGTGAGATCACAAGGGGCTTAATCATTCTGAATTGATTCTACAGATGTCTCCTTTCTCTAAATGCCCTGTAAGCTTCCTATCTTCCATGAAAGTTTATTCCCATAATCCTGGCACATAAAATTAGTCATATAACTCTTTTCCATTCTGAGATTTCAAGGATTAGGACTTTCAACATAGAGAAAACGTGCTGTGTAGAAGCTGAATGTACAAAAGGCAACACTTGGCAACGGAATCCAGTATTTCCCAAGTATTTGAGGAAACTTACAAAACCCAAATCTCTAGTACTTGCTTTCACATTTGCTATCAGAACCAGGAAGGGAGGCCTAGAAATGGTTTGAATGGAAAATTTGTTGTTGTAGAAGGGGTTCCCATTCACTGGTGAATAGACACAACGTATTTCCCAACCTTCTTTTAATCCAAGATAGCAACATTTTTACTGGAGCCAAAGATAAAACCAGTATTTAATCTCCTAGAAATTAGGAGATTTATGACTCTGGAAATGGAAAGAATTTTCATATCCAGCCACATAACCAAGTCCTGCAAGAACATAATAAACAAACCAATCAAACAACAAGAATAACAACCACAACATGGTCCCCATTCTGTCTTTAACCTCTGATAGAAAGAGCAGTAATGGTAAGACGAGAAAGCTCTCGTCAAGTGTTTTCCTCATCTACTGTTAATGATTTATTCTTACATCCTGTCCCAGTCCAATTATGAAAAAATTCTAAGAGAGATCCCTTTAACTGACTTGTAATGAATTCCAGGGTCACATTCCAGATATTGTTTTCCCCTGAAATCGTGTAAGTGCACATCAAAATACTATACTTTTGGTGTGAATCTGAGCCAAATTCTATTGTATTCTAAATAAAGTGAAACTCCTATCAGCCAATAGGGCACGGTATCAGTTTCAAATAAGACAAGTTGGTAAAGTCAGGAGAAATGACTTCCTCCTTCCTCCTGATGTGCTGTATATAGATGTATTAGCACTGCCTTTTAATATTTTATGTGTTCAACAGAGAGGGAACTAACATCTTGTTAATCCTCATTTGAAAACAATTTTGCGAATGTAAATGTAGCAGGGCTTTTGCCTTTTTTCCTTCTTCATGAAAAACAAGTAGTGCTTGGGGAGCAAGTGTTCCTGTTCAACTGCTGTCACTCATTCCCAGCTCTGTTTAGAAGAAATAAGCACAGATGGTTGGTCTACTACTTCCCCAACGAAAAATTTGCCTGTTGGCCGGGCGCAGTGGCTCAAGCCTGTAATCCCAGCACTTTGGGAGACGGAGGCGGGCAGATCACAAGGTCAGGAGATGGAGACCATCCTGGCTAACACGGTGAAACCCCGTCTCCACTAAAAATACAAAAAATTAGCTGGGCACGGTGGCGGACGCCTGTAGTCCCAGCTACTTCGAAGGCTGAGGCAGGAGAATGACGGGAACCCGGGAGGCGGAGCTTGCAGTGAGCAGAGATCGCGCCACTGCACTCCAGCCTGGGCGACAGAGCAAGACTCCGCCTCAAAAAAAAAAAATTGCTTACCTTTTTTGTGTTTTATTCCATCCTTCTCATTGTCATGTGAACAGTATTTCAAGGGAAGAAACTTCTGTAGGGATCTTTGAAATGTTTATCCACTGCTTGTGCATGAAAGAGAAAAAGAAGAAATTAATGATTTATTAAAATTCCATGAGGGGAACTCAAAAACGCTTTGTTACAAAAAAATTTAATTTAGAAACCGTGTATTTTGCATGCAAAATTAAAGTCTTCAGGGAAGTAAGTTTTTATATCAGACTTGCATCCTAAAGTACTCATTTAATGATGACAGAACCACTTCATCCATGTTAAAAATACCTGTGTGGGTCTTTTTTATTTATACTGTGGCTTAATGAAAATTTGTCTATTGTAAATATATTAAGAAAAAGAGCATAAAGACTTTTTAACATAATTTTCTAACGCTG
This sequence comes from Homo sapiens, assembly GCF_000001405.40. Taxonomy (NCBI): domain Eukaryota; kingdom Metazoa; phylum Chordata; class Mammalia; order Primates; family Hominidae; genus Homo; species Homo sapiens. Next base: position 756,051 of record NT_187660.1, on the reverse strand, counting down.
AAAATACATACAAACAGTAAAATACCCAAATCTTAACTGTACAGCTCAATACTTCTTTTGTTTTTAAACAAACTTAGCCCTTCTGTGTATCCAGTACTCAAGTCAGGAAATTTTATATTATTACTTCTTCTAGACACTATTTCATAGGATCGCTCTTATGGTGATTTGGAACATAACTGATGAGTTTTACAATTTTTAGTGAATTAGATCGTAGAATATGTTCTGTATCTTGCTTCTTTCATTCAATATTTAGTTTATAAGATTTGTTAATCTTTTTGCATATAGTTGTAATTTGTTAGGTTCTCATTGCTATATACTATATCATTATACAAATATAAGTTCAATTTGTGGTTATTTTGAATGGTGCCTCTCTGAGCATTCATGTATTTGTCTTTTGGTAAATATTGCTGGGTATATGCTCAGGGTCATAGAATATGGTCAGATTTAGCATACATGGAAAATGGTGGTGTCCATCAGTTTACATTTCCATCCACAATGGGAGAGAGTTCTAGTTGCTCCGCATCTTTGCCAACACTTGGTATCATTTCTCTTTTTCATTTGAACTGTTCTGATGTGTATGTATCACTATTTCAATTGTGGTTATTTTGAACATTACAAAATTGGCAAAGAATAACTGATTTTATTAAATCATATTTCATTTGAAGTAACGTGGGTCTACTTTGCAGTATTTTTCCCTATTTACATGATTCATAAGAAGAGTGATCATGAGATAGTCAACAATATAACAGCTTGGAATGAGATTTTTGATCAGCTATAATTGTAATGTATTTTATCTAAATATTATTTAACTGTATTAGTAACTGTGATCATTAAGAACAGAAACAAAAGGTAAGCAAGTCCTTAGATTAACATGAAACAACATTCCTGCCTTTTGAAAGGAACTTTTCTGACCTGTAAGTAAATGATGTAAATCAATTAATAGCTTAACTGAAATTAAGAGATGAGTCTCAGCTTTCATTGCCTATATTATATCTGTGTTTCTGGAGAAACAAAAAAACAGTATGACAAACCTACAGTCTGCTAGTTTCTTCTCACCCTGCCAACAACTGTTATATTACTGTTTAGCTGGTTATGTGCAACCATTTGTTCAGGATTGTTTTGTTTTGCTTAGTTTTACTTTTTAAGGCAGAGTCTTGCTCTGTTGCCCAGGCTTGAGGTCTATGAGTTACACTCAGGGTCACGTGGTCAACGAGATGTAATCACAGCTCACTGCAGCCTTAACCTCCTGGGCTCACGTGATCCCCCTGCCTCTGCTTCCTCAGTAGCTGGGACTACAGGTGCATGCCACGACACCCGGCTTGTTGAGCAGAGTTTTGATGAAAATCATTCATCCCTTCTTAATCACAAACAGTGAAACCTTAGAAAATGTAATTAGAGAGAAAAATAACATTTTGCACCAAGCTAATTGTATCTTTACCTTTTATTAGTTGGTTTCAGGATTGGTACTTGTTGATGGTTCTGTTTTGGAGTGTGCGTTCCCTGGGTTTAACTCCTTGCAGCACACTTTATATACGTTGTGTGGCCTTACTTGAGTAACTTAAGTTGCTTAACTTCTCCAGATCCCAGATTCTCAACCTGTAGAATGGAAGTAATTATAATACAAACATTATGTGGTGGGTTAGTCCAGGTCCTCCAAGAGGTAGATGTTGAAAACGAGTTAAACACAAGAGGATTTTATTAAGGGAAATCCCTGTGAGAGAAAATGGAGAGGAAGCTGAGTAAGCCTGGAAGAGGTCTCAGCTATGAGGCAAGTCTGACCTAGAATGAAGGAAAGAGGAAAGGAAGGTTGAGTGGAAGCACTGGAGCGTAATGTACAGTCTAAGGAAGGGTGAGAAAAGGCTTCAGGGAATCCTGAGCCAAGACTGGTCCTCAGAGAAGCCCTGTGTCTCCTAAAGAGGGATCTGCATTAGCCACCCTGTGGGCCTCAGTCATTGACTGAGGGGCAGATGCAGAAACAGATTTTAGAGTGAAGCAGCAAGTGGCCGTAGGCAGTTAGGCTTCCCATACTTTGAGGTCTATGAGTTTATTTATTTATTTATTATTTATTTATTTAAATTATACTTTAAGCTCTGGGTTACATGTGCGGAACTTGCAGTTTTGTTTCATAGGTATACACATGCCATGGTGGTTTGCTGCACCCATCAACCCATCACCTACATTAGGTATTTCTCCTAATGTTATCCCTCCCCTACACCCCCACACCCCACAGGCCCCAGTGTGTGATGATCCCCTCCCTGTGTCCATGTGTTCTCATTGTTCAACTCCTGCTTATGAGTGAGAACATGCGGCGTTTGGTTCTCTGATCTTGTGATAGTTTGCTGAGAATGATGGCTTCCAGCTTCATGCATGTCCCTGCAAAGGACATGAACTCATGTCCTTTTTTATGGCTGCATAGTATTCCATGGTGTATATGTGCCACATTTTCTTAATCCAGTCTATCACTGATGGACATTTGGGTTGGTTCCAAGTCTTTGCTATTGTGAATAGTGCCACAATAAACATACGTGTGCATGTGTCTTTATCGTAGAATGATTTATAATCTTTTGAGTATATGCCCAGTAATGGGATTGCTGGGTCAAATGGTATTTCTAGTTCTAGATCCTTGAGGAATTCACACACTGTCTTCCACAATGGTTGAAGTAAATTACACTCCCACCAATAGTGTAAAAGCATTCCTGTTTTTCCACAACCTCTCCAGCATCTGTTGTTTCCTGACTTTTTAAGGACTGCCATTCTAACTGGAGTGAGATGGTATCTCATTGTGGTTTAGATTTGCATTTCTCTAATGCAGGTCTATGAGTTTCTTATTCATGGTCACTAAAAGATGTTTATCATGAATTGAAATCTCCAGATAAGAGTAAAGCAATGCCTAATTCATAGTTACGCACTTATCAATTTATTTATTCATATTATTCATTATCATTATGAATATTCAACACATTAATAAAAGAGTCACATGTGCAATCTACTTGGGGTATTGGGAGAGTAAAGAATAACATAGTGGTGCTACAGGTAATTTAAGAGATGGTTTCTCTCTCTCTCTCTCTCTCTATGTGTGTGTATATATATATATATATATATATATATATATATGACACAGGTATAATTATTTTCCTTCTACTATTTGTTATTGATGTATACTGCCAAATCCCTAACGGATACTGGAATACTTAACTCTAAGCTCCCCCCACGCCTACAAAAGAAGTGGGTACAAGGTTAGTTTTTAAATCAAAAGATTTATTAATAGTATTTTTATCATGTCCAATTGATATTATCATTATCAAAAAGTTTAATCACTTATTATTACTTGAAGGACCTCGTTAGGAAATATTCGATCCACTTTTTTTGTTTTTTTTTTTTTTTGAGACAGAGTCTCATTCTGTCACCTAGGCTGGAGTGCAGTGAGGTGATCTCGGCTCACTGCAAGCTCTGCCTCCCAGGTTCACGCCATTCTCCTGCCTCAGCCTCCCGAGTAGCTGGGACTACAGGCGCCCGCCACCACGCCCGGCTAATTTTTTGTATTTTTAGTAGAGACGGGGTTTCACCGTGTTAGCCAGGATGGTCTCGATCTCCTGACCTCGTGATCTGCCCGCCTCGGACTCCCAAAGTGCTGGGATTACAGGCATGAGCCACCGCGCCTGGCCTGTTCCACTTCTTAAAACTGGTCACTGGAAGTACATCGTCTTGGGAAGAACTGGATATTTCTTGAAACCCCTTTCATATAGCCATATTCTCAAACATAGAACCTTCTTTTATTTTTTTCAAAGATTTTTTTCCATTACTGTAGAAAATTCAGAGGGTGTTTATGGATAGTGCAGTACTCCGCTCAAATACAGGGAACGAAAGTTACATTAAAATGATAATATTTTTTGCTGAAAAGTATTATGATATTTAATGTAAGCAAACAAATTACTCAGGTGATAGTGTTTTGTTTTCATTTTTTAAATGTCTTGGCCGGGCGCGGTGGCTCAAGCGTGTAATCGCAGCACTTTGGGAGGCCAAGGCGGGCGGATCATGAGGTCAGGAGATCGAGACCATCCTGGCTAACACAGTGAAACCCCGTCTCTACTAAAAATACAAAAATTAGCCGGGCGTACTGGCGGGAGCCTGTAGTCCCAGCTACTCGGGAGGTTAAGGCAGGAGAATGGCGTGAACCCGGGAGGCGGAGCTTGCAGTGAGCCGAGATTGCGCCACTGCATTCCAGCCTGGGCGACAGAGCCAGACTCCGTCTCAAAAAAATAAATAAATAAACATAAATAAATAAATAAATAAATAAATAAATAAATAAATGTCTTACTTCAATAGCTTTTGGAGCACAAGTGGTTTAGGTAACATGGATAATTTGTATAGTGGTGAAGTCTGAGATTTTATTGCACCTGTCACCTGAGTAGTGTACATTGTACCAAACATGTAGCTTTTTTATTCCACACCCACCTGCCAACTTCCCCCTTATGAATTTCCAGAGCCCATTATATCACTCAGTGGAGAGTCTTCAACATTCAGGGTGGAATCTTCAGGGTGTGGCCCTCTATCCATTGCTTTCCAACGTTTGTACTCTCTGCTTTGTGAATAGAGGCCTGTTCTCCCTGTCTGCCTTGTTCACGTACCTTTGCCGTTTTCCTTGCTGGGATGACATCCTTTGCCCTGAAGTTCTCATTAACCATACCATAGATGTCCTCTTCTTACCTCAATACATCCAAGGCTACCTCAAGTTATAACTTCTCCTTTAGTTTTTCCCTAGTGTCTGAGTTCAAATGGGCTTCTCTATATCCAGAATATCTACCACCTGTCTTATCTTTCCTCACACGTGGCACGTGCAGTTCCTTCCATCTACTTTCATAATGTTGTATTTTAACGGTTCAGTTGTGTTTATATTACACTCTTCTGTCAGGCAAACAAGGGTATTTATATGGCTGAAATCTACGGTATTTTTTAAATGTAGTAAAATGTAATGAATAAGCATACAAATGAATGAGTTAATTAATCTGTTATATTCTTGGTTAAGTAATGAGCATTATGAGGACAAAAATTGAGTCTTACACCTTCTTATAATCCTAAAGACCTAGTACAGGACTTGGAATATAGCATTCACTTAAGACATCTTTGTGACTAATGAATTTAAATATTTTTATTAATTCTAAGTTGACGTATGATTGTAATTTGGGGAAGGTAGTGAAATTTCAAATGGCTTTCACCACCTGTGAAATGACCCTTTTTACCTACCACATGATTTACCAGATCTTTGTTTAGGTGAACCTAGGCGAAAGCAGATTGTTTCCTCTACTTAGGAAATACTTCGCACATTTTCGTTGCTTATAAATTTGATGATTTTAATTTGTACAGTTATAATTTATGATATTGACTTGTACAGTTATATATATTTTACATATAATATATATTATATATTATATATAGTTATACTATATATAATTTTATTTTCTAAAGTAAAGAATATCATTACACATTAACAAAATAGATATAACTGTTTTCTTTCTACTATTTGTTACTGGTGTATACTGCAAATCCCTAATGGATACTGAAATTCTTATCTCTAAGCCCCTCTATGACTATGAAAAGAAATGGGTTCAAGTTTATTTTAAAAATCAAAGAGTTTATTAATAATATTATTGTTATCATGTCCAATTGATACTATCATTATTAAAAAGTTTAATCACTTATTTCTTGAAGGACCTAATTAGGAAATATATATGTGTGTGTATATCTATATTCTATCTATATATATCCTATATCTATATTCCATATATATTCTATATCTATATTCTATATCTATATTCTACATATATTCTATATATAGTCTATCTATATTCTATCTATATCCTATATATAGTCTATCTATATCCTATATATAGTCTATATATATTCTATCTATATCCTATATATAGTCTATATATATTCTATCGATATCCTGTATATAGTCTATATATATTCTATCTATATCCTATATATAGTCTATATACTCTATATATCTTATATAGTCTATATATATTCTATATATATCCTATATAGTCTATGTATATTCTATATATATCCTATATAGTCTATGTATATTCTATATATATCCTATATAGTCTATGTATATTCTATATATATCCTATATAGTCTATGTATATTCTATATATATCCTATATAGTCTATGTATATTCTATATATATCCTATATAGTCTATGTATATTCTATATATATCCTATATAGTCTATGTATATTCTATATATATCCTATATAGTCTATGTATATTCTATATATATCCTATATAGTCTATATGTATATTCTATATAGTCTATATATATTCTATATGTGTATCCTATATATATTCTCTATACATATTCTATATATATATACACACACACACACACACATATATAGTAGCCTGATATTTAAAAAATAAGATTGGGACTGCGTAAAATAAGCTCACCCAGACAATAGGGGTACAGACATATGTATAATTCAGCAAGAACTGGTAACAAAGTGAGATATGTCAACTCTTTGTAGCATATTGTTAAGTAGTATTAAAAAACAAGTAATTTTTGGTTGGGTCCATTGAGAGAATAACATTATTTTTAGAATGATCTAATGGCACAATAAGCATTTTAGCATTTTACCTGCAAAAGCATTATAGCTGTGCCAGTTTCTGTTCCAAGAAAAAAATACATTGGTGTATTCTCTAAAGGAGGAAATTCTGACCTCAACTATGTTCAGATAGCTGTGGCAGATAATACTCTGATCAGGTACTAAGTCATATATCTTTCACATTTCCCTTTGCTAGTTATACTCAGCATGTGGTTGGAAATGGAATCAAAGCCCAGTCTGGAAATCCTGAAGTCAAAGTCAAAGGAACTGATCCTGTGATAAATCAGATTATTGATAAACTGAAGCATGTTATTCAGGTAAGTCCTGATCCTATATTTTTTGGTATAGCCAATAATAAATAATAAGTGGTCACTTTCTGTTATACTTGATAAATTTGTTAACCCTATCAGGTAATCCTGCCTAAAATATTGTAACACATTATTTGTATCAGGACTTTTGGGAATATTTAGTTTAATGATTTTTGTATGCAGTCAATATGCAGTGGTATTTTAATGTTGGACAATCTGTATATGTGAAAAGCAAGCCTCAGCCTCAGCATTTCAATAATGAGAATCTCAGGACATGCATTGTCTTCAGTGAATAAGTTTGAACGTGGGAATCACTGTGACCATTAAAGAAAACACATAGAAGACCATAGAAGATGCCAGAGTTTTCTTTCAGGTAATTCTCTGAATGTTGCTATGAAGGTTTTTGCAGCATTTCAATACAAATTAGGTCATAGATGAATAATATGTACTTCTAATATTTATTTCCTATATCACCTTTTATATGTTATCTTATAATCTACCTAATGGTTGTTTATGAAATACTTCTGTTTTATCTTCAATAATATTTTTCATCAAGTGAGTGTGTATTGCTGTTTTTAATACATGACAAATGAAGCATGAACATATTTATCAAAATAATATTTCATTGAAATAGTCTATTAATTAGAACCAAACATGATGTTGCATGTTGTAAATATTACTCTGCATTCTGCATCTATTGATGTTTGGGGAAAGAAAGGCTATTTTTTTTTTTAGTTAATAGTCATTTTATAAAAATTTATATTTGAATATACTTTCATTTTTCCTAAGCAGAACTTTGCATGGCTAGTTGATGCTTATTTCTAGTATCGTGCATCAGAAACAATACCTAAATAGTACAGAGTTTTTATTGCATACAACATATTCCAGAGTCAGTAGTAGGCTTCTCATAATTGTTCTGCAAAGACAAAGCTTAAGTTTATGCAGAGCCAATTCCTGGGTTTCCATTTTTCACGAGTCCCTATCTCTCAAGGAGAGGATATGTAAGAAGGACTTGGGGGTTGGTGTCCAATACCATAGACTTCTCCCTTCTGTGAGGCAACAATGCTTATTCTACCATTGATACCTATAGAAAACAGCTCTCACCCTGGCTGGCAAAACCAAAAATAAATTCTACTGGAAAAGTCTAAGAGAAAAGTGGTATCATGACTACTGATGAGTTAAACCTTCCAGCCTCTGCTGAGCTGGTCCAGTTGGTACCTCACAGTATCGTCCACTGTAGTATAATATGTACAGCTAGATTATTTGAAAATTCGACCGCATAATTGATAATAAAACCAAAAGAGCTTTAATATTAATGTTCTCTCATTGAGGAGTGAGTACAATCTCACTGTGAGGACACAGTGAAATCTTAGGGGTTTCTTAAGTGGGGTAAGCATTCCACAGAGGATGGAGGAAGAAAAACTAGAACTTAAATATATATTTATTCCATCTCATTCTTTTATATTTCTTTGGTTGTAGTAAGGTATATAAAATATGTAATGTATTAGTGCAATAGCATATACATATAATTTATAAATACATAAATATACATATTAACTGGACATTTGTTCAGATTGTTTTTCTAAGATATATACATGATGAAAGCAGAACAGAAACCCTGTTACAGATAATAAGGATAGAGCTGTTCCATGAGAAGTGCAGTTATAAGAAAACACATTCACAGAGGAACACATAGATACCCAAGATAGAAAGGATTATAAAAACCCTTAGGAGGAGGGCTCATATATTTATTACCCATTCAGCAACCCCCCTCCCCATTTCTTGTTTCGTAGGTTTCAAAGCCTTTTCAAGGTGGCAGAGGGAAGTCATCCTGCCTTTCTTTTTTAGCTTCTGTGTGAACTTGAGTCCCATTCTTTATTCTTTATAGGAGTGTGCAGATCTCCAATTATTCATGCTTAAGTTTCATTCTGGGGTTGCAAGAGAATATCAAATGCAGTGCTACCTTTGAGGTCTATCATTTTAAGATCTGCTAGATTTATATGATAGAAATGTAGATTTTTATAGAGGACAGCAGAAAGTCATATCTTGCACAGGTGTCACTGAAAATTTACCTTTAATATCTAAGAATATGCTCTTTCATGAACTGCTCTCCTGGAGATGAAGAGAAGTGTTTTACTTTGCCAATTTTTTTTTTTTTTTTTTTTTTTTTTTTTTTTTTTTTGAGACAGAGTTTCCCTCTTGTTGCCCAGGCTGGAGTGCAATGGCGCGATCTCGGCTCGCTGCAACCTCCGCCTCCCGGATTCAAGAGATTCTCCTGCCTCAGCCTCCAGAGCAGCTGGGATTACAGGCACGTGCCACCACAGCCCGGCTAATTTTTTTTGTATTTTTAGTAGAGACAGGGTTTCTCCATGTTGCTCAGGCTGGTCTCGAACTCCCGACCTCAGGTGATCCACCTGCCTCGGCCTCCCAAAGTGCCGATTACAGGCGTGAGCCACGGCGCCCGGCCTACTTTGCCAAACTTTTGACTACTGATGGTGTACGCGTGCCCTGGCAGGGATGGCCATTGTGCTGTCAGTATCAAGGGATGGCTAACAGCACCCACCACAATGTCAGCTATGAAAGGATTCAGAAAATAGCCTTCTGTAAGTCAGAATTTATTAATTAAGGAGTAGGGCCATGGAAGATGTCAACATAGGAATAGGTTTCAGATTCTAAACTGTAGATTTAGATGATCACTTCTTAGTGTTTGTATAAAATTTACTTTATTTTTTATTATAACATGAAGTTCGCTTTCCACCTTTATACTATGAAAAATGCCGTGTCTCACAATAGGGACATACCTGTGTTAAAGTATATGGAAGTAAATCAGCCACAATAGCAAACATTGCCTGCATGGACTCACCCAAAAATGCCTTTCTCGGCCTGCCATTGATCTGAACCTCATTTCTACCTTGCATTGTCTGCAATTAGAGTCACTAAGGAAGTAGATAAAGATTTTTACTTGGAAAATGTCACTTTTTAATGTTTTAATAATTAATTCGTTCAAGATACTCAACAAATGCTCACTGAGTTTCTAGTACGGTCCTGGTTCTGTACAGGCACTGAGGTTAAAGTTGTGAATAAAGCAGACACAACCCTGCTCTCATGGGCTTTCCATTGTAAGAAAAAAGTAAATAAACAAACCAATGAAACCAGTATTGTAGCTGACACATGTTATGCACAAAACCAAACAAGGTGAGGTAAGGAAAGATATTTAAGAAGAGTGTGCTGGTGAAGGCCACTCAGGGGCAGATGTTTGGGTTGATGCTGAATAAGGAGAAGAAAGGAGTCATGGGAAAACCTGTGAGAACTGTGTCTGGGGCAGAAGGCAAAGTAGGTGTAAAGGCCCTGTGGCAGGAATAAGTTTATTTTATTCAGAGAACAGAAGGCCAGGTGGCTAAAACAGAGTGAGTTAAAGGGAGGAGATAAACATACATCATGTTTTGGGGAGTCCAGTAGGCTCTGGTAAAGAGTTTATATTTTCTCCTAAATAGACTAAGAAGTCATTTTAAAACTGTAAGCAGAAACTAGCTGCGCGCAGTGGCTCATGCCTGTAATCTCAGCACTTTGGGAGGCTGAGGTGGGTGGATCACCTTAAGTCAGGAGTTTGAGACCAGCCTGGCCAACATGGTGAAACCCCATCTCTTCTAAAAATACAAAAATTAGCTGAGCACGGTGGAGCGTGCCTGTAATGCCAGCTACTGAGGAGGCTGAGGAAGGAGAATCGCTTGAACCCAGGAGTCGGAGCCTGCAGTGAGCCAAGATCGCGCCACTGCACTCCAGCCTGGATGACAGAGCAAGACTCCTTCTCAAAATAAATAAATAAATAAAAATACATCACAAATTTAATAAATAAATAAATAACTGTAAGCAGAAGCTGATACAATTTAATACATGTTTTATGAGGACTTCACTATGAAAACTGGACCCTGCGTACAAGAATGGAAAAAAGAAAGTAACACAGACAGAAGGCCACATAATTGGAGCTAGAATAATAAGAGTGGATAAGCTGAGAAGTGCATAGATTTAGACAAATATTGGAAGCGGGGTTTTTGGGATTTGTTAATGGATTGGAAATTTGGGAGACGGAAGAAAGATGATAGCGAGGTTTGGTGGGATGATAGTGTCACTAAGTGAGAAAAGGAATTCTGAGAGAGGAGCAGGCCTGGCGGAGGGTCCCTGGGATTGATTAGAAATCAGTGGTTTTGTTAACTGTGAGATGCTTGTTAGATGCCCAAGAGGGATGTGCAGAACTCAGGGAGACCACACAACTGGAGGTGTATGTTTGTAAGCATCAGCACGTGGATAGTATTTAAGCCCTGAGATTGTATAAGGTTGTCACCTTTCCTTTAGAGTATAAATTCACACCAAAACTATTGGTGGAGATGATAGGACAAGGGAATCATACAAAAAAAATTGTACTGCAAAAAGCTATGAATGAATAAAACATTTTATTAAATGTATTTGGCACCTTGTATATACCTAGTTGATCTAGGACAGAGAAGATACTTAGTAACATTCATTTTTTCTTACTGTAAGAATAATGACCCAGGAGGCGGAGGCTGCAGTGAGCTGAGCAGGCCACTGCACTCTAGCTCTAGCAGACAGAGTGAGACTCCGTCTCAAAAAAAAAAAAAAAAAAAAAGAATAATGAATGCTCATCAGAGGGAATTGAATTTTATTATTCTAGGAAATCTGATGGAAAAAGTGAAAAATAAATATTGATACCATTTATAAAACAATGAAAAGACTTATAAGAGAAGCCATCTAGGCTTTTCTCTATACTTAATTATACATATAAATACATCAGTACTTTACTTCAAAAAATAAGATCATAGGGTACATTTGATTTTATGATCTGAACTGCTCACCTGACCACACAAAACAAATACTTTACCATGACATTAAATAGTCTGCTCTCTGGTTGTTAGTGCTGGCATACTATTCTATCATATGGAAAAATTACAGTTTTCCTTCACCCAGTCACCGAAAGTTGGATATTTAGGATGCGACCAGTTTTTCATGATAATAAAGACTAATAGGAATAGCAGTAGACATAAGATGTTTTTGGCATCTTTTTTTTCTTGTAATACGTTCTACATATTGAAACTAATAATTGTATTTTGCTACATATTGCCACGTTTTTCTCAAGGAAAATTATAGCTAACAGAAAGTGTCAGCTTTCTCTGTGTGTTAAGGGTGTGGGTGGAAGCTCGGCAGTGACGCTGAGACATATTGGTATGGAACATCATTGGACTCTCTAGAGATCAAGGTAGCAGTCCTGTAGAAATGTTAGCCCGAGCTGTGTGTCACCTGGGAGTACTCCAAGGACGGCCAAAAGAAATATTTTAGTTAGAAGACAATTTATAAGAAAAGTTTAGAGGCTTCCTAGAGAGGTCATAGCATACACAATTTTATTTCATCCTTTAGGGCAAGCCGTATATATATGTTCTGCGCACATCTCCTCCTGCACCCTCCTCAAAAAAAAAAAAAAAAAAAAAAAAAAAAAAAGCTGAGATCTGATGTAAATAGATAGCTGTGAATTATAGCTTGGTCCTTAAGGAATATCTCAGAAACTTCAATGTTCCTTCACCCCCTCCGCAAACCCTTCTGAATTGAGAATGGGAACCTTGGCAACAGAGGGGAGTCATGCACCTCCCTTTTCCATCTGTGACTCTGGCATCTTCCTCCAGGTCAGCCATGGTGCAAACTCTCACAGTTACTTTCTGGCAGTTTCCTGCATTCCAAACCTGTTTCTGAAATGGGCAATATTTGTCCCCTTGAAAATCACCTGTGATAAATGTGGTATAGCCCACGGCCAGTGAAAATTTTCCTACAGGGAGACATATTCCTAAGTGTTAACATTAACTTTTTCAGATGTTTGAGTCAGACTCAATTGCCCTTTCATATTATAGATTGAAAACAACACTTGGTTGATGTTAGTATATCTGATTGAGGAAATATGAGAGCCTTTTTAATTTAGATTTGCTCGCCTAGAAAACTCACTTTGAAACTTCTTGGTCATGTTATGTTTGCTTATGGCAAAGTTATCAGCAAAAAAGTCACTGTTATGCAGCAATTTATCTTTAAACACTAAATGACATCTATCATTTTTCAAAGAAAATAGTGTCAGCAGTTAAAATCCTAACTGCTTGAGCACTGTTAGTTGACAATTATAATGCCCCATTGCTTAGAAATTAATTGACCTACTTTCAATAAGAAACATAAAAAGTAATATCACAGCAATTTTCTGGATCTATTTTATTCCAAAACCAATAAATGTTACAGTGTTGTTAAAAGTAATAGATTTAAAAACATTTTATTTTCTTAAACTTAACAATTCAAATAACATAAAATAATATTACGTTTCTATTAAGTATTCATTTTTATACAGACCAAAAGTTCTTTAGAAAATGTCTTCATGTATAATATAAATTTGATTTTTAGATGTGAGAAAAGCAACAATCATAATCGTTGCCTAAATCCACAAAATAAGTAGATATTCTATAATATGTATTTCAGTAATCACAATGTATTGGATTCAGGCAGAGATGAGAGACACTCTGATTTTAGCAGAAAAAGACTGTGTTAAATTACCTCTTTGCCTTTTCTCACTCTGTTCCTAGGATAGCAATATAATAAATAGTAACTTTAGAACTGGGATACACTGAGAAAATGTCCTAATTTAAATCTCAATAGATGATTACACAGGTAGTGTTTACACACACACACACACACACAATGACAGGAGTTTTTAAAGATATTAGTATCTCGGAATTTTTGAATTCTGAAAACTGTCCAAGCTTTTATCATTAAATCACTTGTTATGAAACCCATTTTAGAAACACGCTTTCCTATTTTTAATAGCCTATGATAGTCATACAGAATGAGTTAATCAAAATTGATTGGTCAATTGCTAATTGCAAATTCTTTGACCGTAGCATGTCAGCTGATTCTATGAACTTCTACAGACTCTTTCCCTTGGTCCGGGAGTTGCCACAACACTCTGACTCCTTTCCCCACAACTCCATTACATGATATTGTCACCTCCCCAGGCTTACGATACTAATATTCCAGAGAGATGAACAGTCCTTGATTTTGAATAGCAATGCAGTAGTGACCAAAACAGATTTAGTTTTGGTTCAGAAGAAAGTGCTGGATATGCCCTCAGTAACTTTCCATGGTCATCTAATTCAGCAATTAGTTTGAGTAAATTCAATGGAAGGCTGCTTTCTGGAATGGGTAGTGTAATGTACTGACTTCCCTATTAGACATTTCATTTAAAAAAATCAATTGTCCGCATAAAACAACCATTTCAATCAGTGTACATTCAACTGGAAAGGAAAGTTAGAGGACTTTTTTTGAAAGTAATGGGATTGGGGTTGGCCGTTGCTAATTTCTTTTTGATTAAAGCGTATGTAATTGTTTTGTGTTGGATAAAAATTTGACTTTTTATTTGCGCGGATGCTGCTGATCTTATATGTTATCATTTCCCATTCAGACTTGAGCTGTTTACCTGCCGGGTTTTCTGTTCATAAAATGTTGAAAGGACGTTAAAATGTAGAACTTTTACATTTTTTATTTAGGTGACTAGGACAAATTCTGGTAATTTGTAGGCTACAACTTAAATGTATTTCTGCTTAAAATATTTTGAAATATGGTTTATTTCACAAATGAGGTTCCAAACTATAACCAGCTCTCACTAAATTCTTATTTATTTATTTATTTATTTATTTATTTTGAGACGGAGTCTTTCTCTGTCACCCAGGCTGGAGGGCAGTGGCCGGATCTCGGCTCACCGCAAGCTCCGCCTCCCGGGTTCACGCCATCCTCCTGCCCCAGCCTCCTGAGTAGCTGGGACTACAGGCGCCCGCCACCACGCCCAGCTCATTTTTTGTATTTTTAGTAGAGATGGGGTTTCCCCGTGTTAGCCAGGATGGTCTGGATCTCCTGACCTCGTGATCCGCCCGCCTCGGCCTCCCAAAGTGCTGGGATTACAGGCGTGAGCCACCGCGCCCAGCCAAAAGATCATTTTTAAATTATGTATCTGGGAATATATTATCAAACCAGGCCTGAAACTTATTAAAAAGATGGTAAAATCTAATTTAACTTCATTTAATACTCCTTTTCTCTTAGTCTTATAAAAGCAAATGAGCTTGTTGGCTTTTCATTATGAAAATATAATTTTAATTTATAAGACATATGTAACAAAGCAAGATAGCTGCTAAATTCACTCTATCCTAATAACTTCTGGTACCCACCTGTGGTCCCAGCTGTTTGGGAGGCTGAGGTGGGAGGATCCTGTGAGCTGGGGAAGTTGAGGCCGCAGTGAGCTAAGATCGGGCCCCTGCACTCCACCCTGGGCAACAGAGTGAGACCCTGTCTGAAAATAAAAAAAAATAAAAAACGGGGTTGAGAGACAAAAAAGGACATCCTTTTTTTTATTATTGTATTTTGAGATGGAGTTTCGCTCGTTGCCCAGGCTGGAGTGCAATCGTGTGATCTTGGCTCACTGCAACCTCCGCCTCCCGGGTTCAAGTGATTGTCGTGCCTCAGGCTCCCGAGTAGCTGGCATTACATGTGCCTGCCATCACGCCCAGCTAATTTTTGTATTTTGATACAGACGGGGTTTCACCATGTTGGCCAGGGTGGTCCCCAACTACTGACCTCAGGTGATCCACCTGCCTTGGCCTCCCAAAGTGCTGGGATTACAGACATGAGCCACCGCGCCAGCCGAAACCTTCATTTTAGAAAAGGCTGGGTCAGGCATCATGCCTCATGCCTGTAATCCCAGCACTTTGAGAGGGCAACGCAGGCGGATCACCTGACGTCAGGAGTTCGAGACCAGACTGACCAACATGTTGAAACCCCGTCTCTACCAAAAATATAAAAATTAGCCGGGTGTGGTGGCACACACCTGTAATCCCAGCTACTCAGGAGGCTGAGGCAGGAGAATTGCCTGAATCTGGGAGGCGGAGGTTGCAGTGAGCCGAGATTGTGCTACCACACTGCAGCCAGGATGACAGAGTGAGACGCCATCTCAAAAAATAAATAAAGGCTGGGTGCCAGATGTGGTGCATAGGCCTAGTTTGTTGACTCCTGTACTTAACATATAAAACTCTAAAGAACAGTGGGAAGGAGCTTCCCTCTAGAGGCACAGGAGCGGCCAAGTTGGTCCCTGAGCAGTGACTTCATAATAACATGTTACACTGTGTTTTTTGTTTTTGTTTTGTTTTTTGTTTGTTTGAGACGGAGTTTTGCTCTTGTTGCCCAGGCTGGAGTACAATGGCGTGATCTCAGCTCAAAACAACCTCTACCTCCCAGATTCAAGTGATTCCCCTGCCTCAGCCTCCAAAGTGGCTGGGATTTCAGTCATGCAACACCACGCCCAGCTAATTTTGTACTTTTAGTAGGGATGGGGTTTCTCCATGTTGGTCAGGCTGGTCTCGAACTCCTGACCTCAAGTGATCTGCCCGCCTCGGCCTCCCAAAGTTCTGGGATTACAGGCGTGAGCCACCACACCCGGCCTATTTTTTTTTTTTTTTTTTTTTAGACACAGTCTGACTCCGTTGCCCAGGCTGGAGTGCAGTAGCGCGATCTTGGTTCACTGTAACTTCTGCCTCCCTGGTTCAAGCGATTCTCCTGCCTCAGCCTCCCAAGTAGCTGGGATTACAGGCATGCACCACCACATCCGACTAATTTTTGTATTTTTAGTAGAGATGGGGTTTCACCATGTTGGCCAGGCTGGTCTCAAACTCCTCACCTCAAGTAATCCGCCCGCCTCGGCCTCCCAAAGTGCTGGGATTACAAGGCGTGACCCACCGGGCCTGGCCCTGTGTGTTGTTTTATGTATGTTTCTATACGTGTTATATTTCACAATAAACTAAATATTAAAACAAAGAATAACTGATAGCTATGCACAAAGGTATTTAAATTTCACCTTCACAATTTTTTTTTTTTTTGAGACAGGATCTCACTCTGTTACCCAGGCTGGAGTGCAGTGGCACCACCTTGGTTCACTGCAGCCTTGACCTCCCAGGCCCAAGCGATCCTTCTACCTCAGCCTCCTGAGTAGCTGGGACTACAGGCACACTCCACCACACCCACCTAATTTTTGTATTTTTGGTAAAGATGAGGTTTCACCATGTTCACCATGAAGCCCCTGCCTCATTCCCAAGTTCTCTCCTTTTCCACTGCCAGTACTTGGAAGGTTATGTGCCATGTGTGTCATAGGTTAAGGCTAGAGGAGTTTATTCTGACTGACATTGAACTTTATGGGAGCAACCAACAAACTTTGGTTTGGTTGAGCCACTGAGAATTCCAGTTTAGTATCTTCTTGTTGCTACTGCTGTTTACCAACACAGTGGGATTTCTACAGGGCTCCAGCGGGCAGAGAAATTCCATGTGAACAAGAATGTCTCATGTTGGGCTTCTGTATAAATTGTGCTGATGAAAAATGTTAAGCTGATAAAAATTTTAGAAATTCATTGCTCCACACTGTATCGATGCTATTTTTGTCTCAGTTGAAGCCATCCTAAAATTATATATTTAGATCATACTATCTTCAATAGAATTGTTTTTACCGAGTTGCTTTTTGACGTTATAGATGAGCCTTTTGTAATTCACAACTGAGTTTATACACAAATGTTATTGAGTCTATTGCCCACCATGTTAGAGAGGTTTATGAGAGCTCAATGCAGAAATGCCTCTGAAGTGGGAAAATCTGTCATTTCTCTGAAGAAACTATTATAGTTTTAACAGAATGAGTGATGGAAAATAATAATATAGAAAATCATATGAAGGAGTAAGAAAGATGGGGCACTATTAAAGGGATTATTTGATGGCAATAAGGATGAAAATGTGTCATTGAAATTCTTAGGTTTCACATAGAAATTGCACCGGTTTATCCTAGCAGACATTTTGTTTAGAAGTTTTTAAGAAAATAAATTTCTGAATCATGGTTTACACTGTTTTAGGTCATTGGAACTAGTAAAAATGTTTCACTATGCAGACTATTAGTCAACATTTAAATCATGCTTTTCAATAAAGAATGTCAAATTGTGAGAGGAGAATTAATAAACCTAATTGTTACAGTCACTGAGCTGACATGTTGAAGTGCCTGGAAAATTTCTCACATGAATAATGGGTGAAGAGTCAAAGAATGTTTCACTTGGGGAAAAGAAGACCTGCCGGGTTTTGGAAAGGGTATGTGTATGCATTTAGTATTGTTTAGTGTGGTAGCTCTGTGGTCCTGACCTTCACATATTTATTGGGCTGCCATGTGTTAGGTGGAAACACAAAACTGTCATTTTTTTGTAGGACAAAAAAGGCTGAATACTGACAATTTCATATGGTTCCACCTAATAGAATAGGAAACAGAGTTATCTCTGAATTGTTTATCTAAGGTAGAATTTGGGGAAGTACTTACAATTTATAAAAATTAAATTTTAGACTAAAATATATAGATATATCTAGAGTTGTTCAAAAATGAAAATAGAGCTGAAATATCAAGTGCTATAATGGAGTTCATATGAGAATTCCATGCTTTATATTTGAGGTTGGATATGTGCTTTTTCTTTATCCCTTTCATTTATATGGATCTAATCTTCTATAATGCTTCAAACATTTTGACAGAGATCTTCTTTGGTGTTCTTTTTTCTCTTGATTTAAAAATCTGCTTTACAACCAAACAGTAAGATTAAACAAAACCAAACAATGCCCATGGCTTCATGGTCACTCTACCCATCTACAAAGGCCTTGTGCATGGCCTATTATGGTCATCTTGAAATTCTTTGTAAGTTTTTATCAAAGGGTTCTACATTTTCACTTTTTACTGGGCCCTGAAAATTATGCACCCAATCCTCAATCCTTGGTCTTCTTAAATTTGCATGCAGATTAGAATTATAAAGGTACATCAATTCTAGGCCATCAAAGGCTAGCTTATAACTCAAATTACATTTGGGAATTGTTCTTACGTAACAGCATTTATTGCTCCAAAGATCATTGTGTAATAACTACTAAATAATCTATATGAATGTACATTTGGAAAACCATGAAAACTTTCTGAAAGAGCTCTGCTGTTTTATGTAACAATCATAAAATATTTCCAAAGGCATAAATAAAAATAATTACAACAGAAAATCTGAGAGACAAAAAGAAAATCTATGATAATATACCAATGCAATTTATTGAAAATAGATACACATGGAACAAAGAATAAAGGAACAGCAGGAAAATGTGCCACTATTGTGGTTACAGCTTCGAGGCAACACATTAAAATGCCAACCAGACACAGGTGGCAACAGATGTATCTACCACCAAAAAATAAAGTTAAATTAAATCAAGTGAAAAATTTCAAATGAAGTAACTGTTCAATGAAAAGGAAAAAAGAATAAAAATCACATCTGCTTACATGGCAATGAAAGGTGAAAGAGTCTGCTAAAAGTTTATGTTGAAAATTAAGATGGAGGTAATCTATGCACACTCATCCAAAAATAGAAAACAAGGAATTAGTGGACCAATGCCAATGTTAATTTTGAAGACCTCAAAAAGAAGAAAATTAAGATATGGTTGATAGGTTCTCTACAATATAGCAAGAAAACTCTGCCCAAATTCTAAAGGATACAAAGTCTACTCAATTTAATAACAAATGGCACGTTTCTGTTTCTTAAAAGACATATGCAGAATCTGTGAGTGCATTTTCTACTTTAGGGACCATTTGAATTAAAATCCTTAAGTTCTTATGAATGTTTGAGAAATACATACAGTAAATGAATAAAGCCCATAGTTATTTAAGGATAACATTTAAAATTATTTCCTAAATATTTAATATTAAAATAATAGTACATGCCGTCCAGTCATAATCAAAAAAGCCAAAGTGATTATGGAGTATTGAGGCTGAAAAGAGTTAGATCTAAACCAACCTCTTCTGGACTTCACTGTCAAGGAGAAGAATTGAGAGGAAAATTTTCAAAAAACATGTATATTTGTGAGATTGGTGATGAGAAAAAACCTGTGAAATATTGCCATTTCTTTGGAGTAAAAATTTTAAATGATTGGTTAGCACGATGTCCCTTTCTCGTCACACTCACATCTTTCTGATTTGCTCCTCACATCTCGGGCATGCTGAGGCTATAATGCCTTTCCATCTACCTTAGGTTTACTATTTTAAAATTGGTTTTTGATGTTGTGAACATGAAGTGTGTATTAATACAGGAGAATGGGGTGTGTATTTCTGAAAGTCCAGAGTTGTAGTGGCAAAGAAGAGATTTCTGGAGTCCCCTGCGTGCCTGCTTACAGAGGTTTCCTTCCTGACATTGTCAAATTCCAGAATTCTTGCCCTGGCTCCATTTTAAAGCCCAGAGCACAGTTAAGTGTCTTTTCCTGACCCTCATTTATACTACCATGAGGCTCCTTTGTAACATGAAATGTGCAATGTGACCAATTGTTGGCTGCCCAAACAAGCATATGTTAGGACTTTTCACTCTGGCCCCCTATACTGACACATCATTCACATTTAGTAAAGGAAGGTGCACTCTGCTAAACTCACCACATTCTTTACTTTATGGAGTCATAAGAGATATTCCACTAAGTCCTTTTGCTTGATCCCACAGAGACCATCCTATGAAAACTGAATTAATATGAAAGCAGGTAGAGTGAATATTCATTTATGTCATTTACAACAACATCAAATAGTGTCTCCAAGTGGAACAGATAAGTAGAGACCAATTTGGCAGGAGATAGGATGGGGAAAGAGAGTGGCTGATGCATGCTGAGAAGTAGGAGGAACAGTCCAGTTTTTAAAACATTGTTCTTCTTGTTAAGAGTCTGTTTATCAGATTAAACACAGTCAAGCGGTCAGCTGAGTCTAATAATTCAGCAACTGAGAACAGATGGAGAAAACCTGGATATGTGTCTGTGTGTACACTCACATGCAAAATCAGTTGCCCTGACTTTATCTTACTTACATCCATCTATTTATTGATTTTGATAGGAAGAGTATGTATTTTAGATACCTCAAGAATATCTCCTGAAATACTTCCATGTTCTTGCCTTTTGAAGAATCTTTTTAAAGAAGAAAAATAATTATTAGCAAAGAATCCACATTCCCAATGGCTCCATTTTCATCTCCTTAATCCAGTGTTAAAATTCATGGCTTGGGAAAAGTGGGATGTTTACAATGCCTATCTATACCATTTATCTATACCATTCGTTTTAATAGCCTGTTCACTTGAACAATTTCTAAGTATGTGGCAAAAGAAACTAAACTAAAATAATAATGCGTTATATTTGAAAACATCAGTATCCTGTACACAAAACTTCCATAAGTAATTCTTCCTAGATTGAGACTAGAACTAATCCATTTCCAAAATCATCTACATTTTTCTGAAGACAAAAAAAAATGTGGCTACAGATAATTGCCATAGGCTGCAAATATTCTAATTCATCTGATATTTCTCTCCTGTTGCATGTTGTATAGATAAATATAATGCATCAATATTAGGATAGCAGGTATTTTATTAAATGTTAATGCAGAATTCTAAATTTTCTAGATTTCACAGAAAAGCAAGCTACCGATAATAAGTAGTATTTAAAGAGAACTCTTATCTACTACAATCAATTGAGAAATCCAGGATATTAAGACCACAAAAATGATTGTTTAGATGATTTAATTATAGCACAACAGGCTTTTCTGCTGATAATGTTATAATGATGTTTTCATAACCCAATCTCAACAAACATAACTAGAGTACAAATGATGAGCACAAAAATCCATCTCATTTGTAGCTCAGACTAGTATTTCAAGTGTAATTTCTCTATTACTAATTTAGTCTGATTTTTATAATTCATCAGAATAAATCAATAACTGACTTAGAAATCACTTCTATGATTTTAAGTAATTTTCCACAGAAACATTAACAATACCACAAGCATTAAAATGTTGAGAAATATTTGTGTATGATGATGTCAGTGCATGTTCCTTTCCTCAGCTAATAAATTCTAGTATAAAGTTTTCAGATCTGTACACAAAAATGGATCATAAAAATATAATCATGGTAGAAACTATGTAGCAATTTTATGAATGTGGAGAAAGAGTTCAAATAGTACTTTTGTACTGTACTGTGTCCATGCAAAGCTTCATTCAAACAAACAAAAACAATACTGAATTTATTATGTTAAAATCTTTAAGGACACTCTGGTAGATGAGATCATTTTCCTGCATTTGTTCACACTCTCTCCTATCTCCATCTCTAAGGGACAGATATAATTCCCCACTCCTTGACTTTGATCCTTGCTGTGTGACTCTGCTTAAGCCAAAGGGGTATCTTAGAGGATTTAAGGCAACAGAAGCCTGGCATGTTTTTGCACAGGCAGGTTGCACTCCTGACTTTGGCCACAACAATAACATGCTTCAAGTACCCGGGAGGGCTGAGGAGGATCACAAATACATGGAACAGATCTGGACACCAGCTGCAGCTTCAAGCCAATGCTAGCCAAGCCCAGCCTACATCAGCTGAATTGCGTCTGACCAGCGGTGCATGAACAAGGAAGGCAACGCGTGGACCTGGGCCAGATGAGCAGCTTCTACATTGGCCTGTGTTCCCGCCTCCACTGCAACATCTTCTCCTACGACTACTCCGGCTACGGTGCCAGCTCGGGCAGGCCCTCCGAGACGAACCTCTACGCCGACATCGACGCCGCCCGGCAGGCCCTGCGCACCAGGTGAGGGCGACCCCGGGGGCAGCTCAGCCTGGGCACACCGGAGAGGGGACCAGGCCGGGGGCCGGGGGGAGGGGCGGGCTTCCCTGGGAGGAAGGTGGGCGGCCCTGCAGGAGAGGAGCCACAGTGGACGCATGCGGCCAGAGAGCCGGAAAGGTGAGCTCAGGCGTGCGGGTGCCGCCTCCACATGGCTGAGGTGTGGCCAGGTCCCCCCACACCCTGGCCTGTGGAGCCAGGCTCTCTGGGATCCCCTGGCCTGAGGACAGGAAGGGGCTGAGCTTGTCACAGGGGCGTGGACGCCACCCGGCGGGAGGGGGTGGGTGGTGTCTGGGGGGGGGTCTGTGCACGTGTGGCTGGGAGCCCAATGGCCGAGGCAGCACTTGGGGCCAGGTGAGGCGAGGCTGCTGCATCGAGGTCCCGAGGCCTGGCCCATGAGGCCCTGTGGCTGTGGAGCTCGGCCATCCCGGGGCAGGGCCTGCTGGGTCAGGTGCAGACCCCCAGCACACACCTGAGGTCTGGGCCAGCCTCCATTCCAGATCCAGCCCTCCTAAACATCCAGGTCCCCAGCCCTGCACTTTCCTGGGCCCTTCACTGGTGTTTGAGCACCGCCCACCGCCCGGGCCAGTGCTGCTCTGGATCAGAAGACCCGCGTGGGCCTCTGGAGGCCTTTCCTGCTTGCCACCCGCTGGGGCTGTCTCGTCCTGGCCCTGCCCCCCACTGGTCTGCCCCGCTCCTGCAGGGGCCAGGCGCAGCTCTGAGAAGTCAGAGGCCCTGGGGAGGTGGGGTCCTCGATGCCTTGGCGATATCCCAGGCAGTCCCTTCTGTGGGCCTGGGAGCTGGGTCCCCTGGCACCACCCTGGCTCTGGGGGCCTCCTGGCAGTGTGGGCGCAGAAACCAAGCACCACTTCATGCAGCTTCCTCGGACCCCTCCTGTCTCTACTGCCCAGGGCACTGGCAGAGTCACACCCGCCATGGCCAGCTCTGAGCTCTGTCTGCTCGGCCATCTGTCCTGCTGCTGCTTTGTCCTGCAGGAACCTCGGCCCAGAGCCATGAGGGGGAGGCCAGATCGCGCTCAGGGCCTCCACTGAGGATGTGTCTTGTTTGATTGTCTGAGTGGTGACATCCAGGTGGCAGCTGGGGGTCCTGCCTGGAGCAGGTGACAGGGCTGGGCTGGCTCAGCACACTACTGGCCTTGGCTGCCAGGGAGCAGGCCAAGGAGGCTGAGGCAGAGCTGGGGCCACAGGCACCAGCCAGGCAGCATCCTTTGGGGCATGGGTGAACAGTGAGCTGTGGAGTGCTGCCAGGAGGCTGGGATTCCAGGCCAAGGAGGGGTACAGCCCTGCTGGTGGAGTCCGAATGCCAGGCAGATGGGACGCACACCTGCCCATGCTCCTGCCTCGCAGGAGGGCATCTGCCTGGGATCAGAGCCTGGAGCGTGTGGGAGGAGAGTTCTGGGGTTGCGGCATCGACAGGGTGGCAGGTGGGTCCCGCGTGGTTGGGACTGGGCACGAGGAGGCCTTGGTACTGGTGCTGGACCAGCTGGGCCAGGGGCCGCACACCAGTGACCTGGCGGTGGGGGTGGCCCTGGGTGGGAGCTGGTGGTGCTGAGGTGGCCGAGGACTTGTCCACTCCCAAGGGAAGGCGCTGGTGGGAGGAGGTGCTGCCCCCGCAGCCGCCACCCTCGATGTTGACCTGGGTTGGGCTGGCACCTCATTGAGCATGGGACTCCGAGAGTCCAAAATTGGGTGGAGACATGTGGGGACACAGCTGCCTGAATTCCTCATGGCCAAGGGGGTGGGCAAGGGCTGCAGGGAGGAAGAGTGTACCCTGTTCCGGCCAGTGCACCAGGAACGGCTTTCTAACCTGGGCAGGAAGGCATGAAGCATTCAGGATGTGGGGGGGCACACAGTTCCCAGTGTGCGCCCAGGGATGACCAGGAGAAGGAGAGGCGCCAGGGCTTCCCCTACCCTAGCCCGAGGGGGACTCCCTAGCCAGGATCCAGCAGATCCTGGCTAGGAAACGCCAGTGAACCATAGCGCCAGGGAACAGGACCACGCCGCCGGCTCCGCCCACCGCTGCGGTCTTGGGGGACTGGGGGTGGCCCTTGGGACTGCTGTGGAGCCTGGGCCTGACCCACTGACTAGGCTGAGCCGGGAGACTGGAGAGTCGCATCTGGAGCTGGGCCCGGGGACGCCCGCTGGCGGGAGGGGTGCGCGCGAGTCGGAGGCCGCGGCTGACCCTGCTCCGGTGCCGCCAGGTACCGCATCAGCCCGGACAGCATCATCCTGTACCGGCAGAGCATCGGCACGGTGCCCACCGTGGACCTGGCCTCGCGCTACGAGTCCGCCGCGGTGGTGCTGCACTCGCCGCTCACCTTGGACCTGAGCGTCGCCTTCCCGACACCAAGAAGACCTACTGCTTCGACGCCTTCCCCAAGTGAGCAGGCTGGGGCAGGGACAGGGGCGGGGACGGGGACTGGGTCGGGGACTGGGGCGGGGCGGGGCCCGGGCCCGGAGAGGTCTCACCCGCCCCACGCCCCTCCCGCAGAATCCAGAAGGTGTCCAAGATCACGTCGCCCGTGCTCATTATCCACGGCACGAAAGACGAGGTGATCGACTTCTCGCAGGGGCTGGCGCTCTAGGAGCGCTGCCCCAAGGCCGTGGAGCCGCTGTGGGTGGAGGGCGCCGGGCACAAAGACATCCAGCTCTACAGCCAGTACCTGGAGCGCCTGCGCCGCTTCATCTCCCAGGAGCTGCGCAGCCAGAGCGCCTAGCGGCCGCCGGGGCCCCAACCGGCCGGACTTCAGCAATAAGGCGGCCCCCGGACCTCACCCCGCACCGGCCTCCCGGGGGCTGCATGTGGACCCCCAGGTGGCCCGGGGGACCCCGCCCGGATCCAGGGGCCGTGGACGGTGTACAACAGAGCTACCCACTCCTTTCCTTTTGGAAGCAAGAAGAAATATGTGAAAACGGAAATTAAAGATTAAAATTTTTTTTTTAAAAAACACAATGTTTATTAATATACTCCAAAGTTGTGTTCTTTTTTTTTTTTTTTTTTTGAAATGGAGTCTCACTCTGTCGCCCAGGCTGGAGTGCAGTGGCGCGATCTCAGCTTACTGCAACCTCCACCTCCCAGGTTCAAGCGATTCTCCTGCCTCAGCCTCCCGAGTAGCTGGGACTACAGGCGCGTGCCACCATGCCCAGCTAATTTTTTGTATTTTTAGTAGTTACGGGGTTTCACCGTGTTAGCCAGGATGGTCTCCATCTCCCGACCTCGTGATCCGCCCTCCTCGGCCTCCCAAAGTGCTAGGATTACAGGCGTGAGCCACCGTGCCCGGCCGTTTTGCACAGATTTTTTAATGCAGAATCATGTTGGCAATGGGTAATGGCTACCAAGGTGCCATCGTTCCACATTCCTGTTATTCAGTCATCACATCTACTATGTGTGAGCCATAATATCTTCTAAAATGAATTATAACTATGTTCGAATTGTTATTTCACTAAGTAATCTCTGCTACTTTAGTCTCTATTTCATCTCAACGGAATGCCTTCTGAGTTCCTATAATTGTGACTAATTCTCTGAGACAACATCAGCAGTATCACTATAAACTATGAAACCTACAAAGGGAATTTCCTCTTTTTCCTTTTTATTATAGAGATGCTTTTTTGTTTGTTTTCTGCAAGCAAGCACAGTCTTAATCAATTTTGTATGCCCATACCTAGGAGAGCCCCTGATTCATAATAAGACCTCAATAAGATTTGTTGAATAAAGTGAAAATAGGATTTTCAGCTTTCCCTCACCACTTTCTTCAAAACAGACTAGTTCATAACTGAAATAGGCATTGTTTCTAGAAAACGGTCACTCCAGCTGATCCCTTCGTTTAACCATTTTTGTACTCCCTGAATCTATGATGATACCTGGCACATAGTGGGTAAGTAATCAATATTTGTTCACTGAACTAATGGAAGGATGAGTGAATGAAACAATACAGGCATTTTAAAATTATAATTCAAAATTAACATATTACTTGTTATTAGAGTGATTTTAAACAGTTATGTTAAGTATATGATAATTAGGAAGATTTACTTTCCTGCTTCATTTAAATTTTAAATATAGTGATCAAGGTAATCATGATTTTCATTCATTTATTCAATAAATGCATATTTAATATTTTTTATCTCACATGATAGATTGCTCCTGGTCAAAGACATTACGATGGTATTATACATAAAGATTTGTTTTAAATTTACAGTATCTTGAAATTTTTCTCTTGTTAATCCACAAAGTATATTTATCCATTGGGAAATATACTTTTTAAAATGTCAGTTAATGATATTTTTATTTTCTATTTTATCTTATTATTATTGATACAAGATCTCACTATGTCACCCACTGCTGGAATGCAGTGGCATAATCATGGCTCACCACAACCTCAACCTCCCAGGCCCAGGTGATCCTCCTACCTCAGCCTCCTCAGTTGCTAGGACTACAGGTGCCCGCCACCTTGCCCGGCTAACTTTTTACTTTTTTTTTTTTTTTTTTGGTAGAGATGAGTTTTCACCATGTTGCCCAGGCTGGTCTTGAACTCCTGGGCTCAAGCAATCTGCCAGCCTCGGCCTCCCAAAGTGTTAGGATTACAGGCATGAGCCACCACTATGGGGCAGATAATGATATTTTTTCAGGAATCGGTAAAACATTGTCCTTCAATGAATTAGTGCAGAAGCATGAAAAAATCTATTCTGAGCAAATCTGTGAAACAGACATTGAAATTAGTATTCTAATAAGGCTTTTGTGCTGTTTGATGATATAAAATAATTTTGCTATGACAATACAGTTACTTAAATGAGAAGTATGAATAACTTGCTTTGATATGTTTGTGGTATGTTTCACTTCTTTTTTAAGAAGGGAAATTATTAAATTTAAACTCTCTATATATGTAAAGAGTGCACATCAAATATTTTAAAGCCCTGAAGAATTAGGTCTTCATTTCAAGAATTATTAAGTGTCTTAAGAACATATTTATTTTCTAGAAATGTTGAGCCTCTTCTTGGGTAATGTGATTCTTTTAAGCATTTTGAAAGGATTTTCTTATTACATTAAAAATGAATGTATGCAATAGGAAGTTACTAGGATAGAGTGAATTTAGCAGCTATCTTGCTTTGTTACATATGTCTTATAAATTAAAATTATATTTTCATAATGAAAAGCCAACAAGCTCATTTGCTTTTATAAGACTAAGAGAAAAGGAGTATTAAATGAAGTTAAATTAGATTTTACCATCTTTTTAATAAGTTTCAGGCCTGGTTTGATAATATATTCCCAGATACATAATTTAAAAATGATCTTTTGGCTGGGCGCGGTGGCTCACGCCTGTAATCCCAGCACTTTGGGAGGCCGAGGCGGGCGGATCACGAGGTCAGGAGATCCAGACCATCCTGGCTAACACGGGGAAACCCCATCTCTACTAAAAATACAAAAAATGAGCTGGGCGTGGTGGCGGGCGCCTGTAGTCCCAGCTACTCAGGAGGCTGGGGCAGGAGGATGGCGTGAACCCGGGAGGCGGAGCTTGCGGTGAGCCGAGATCCGGCCACTGCCCTCCAGCCTGGGTGACAGAGAAAGACTCCGTCTCAAAATAAATAAATAAATAAATAAATAAATAAGAATTTAGTGAGAGCTGGTTATAGTTTGGAACCTCATTTGTGAAATAAACCATATTTCAAAATATTTTAAGCAGAAATACATTTAAGTTGTAGCCTACAAATTACCAGAATTTGTCCTAGTCACCTAAATAAAAAATGTAAAAGTTCTACATTTTAACGTCCTTTCAACATTTTATGAACAGAAAACCCGGCAGGTAAACAGCTCAAGTCTGAATGGGAAATGATAACATATAAGATCAGCAGCATCCGCGCAAATAAAAAGTCAAATTTTTATCCAACACAAAACAATTACATACGCTTTAATCAAAAAGAAATTAGCAACGGCCAACCCCAATCCCATTACTTTCAAAAAAAGTCCTCTAACTTTCCTTTCCAGTTGAATGTACACTGATTGAAATGGTTGTTTTATGCGGACAATTGATTTTTTTAAATGAAATGTCTAATAGGGAAGTCAGTACATTACACTACCCATTCCAGAAAGCAGCCTTCCATTGAATTTACTCAAACTAATTGCTGAATTAGATGACCATGGAAAGTTACTGAGGGCATATCCAGCACTTTCTTCTGAACCAAAACTAAATCTGTTTTGGTCACTACTGCATTGCTATTCAAAATCAAGGACTGTTCATCTCTCTGGAATATTAGTATCGTAAGCCTGGGGAGGTGACAATATCATGTAATGGAGTTGTGGGGAAAGGAGTCAGAGTGTTGTGGCAACTCCCGGACCAAGGGAAAGAGTCTGTAGAAGTTCATAGAATCAGCTGACATGCTACGGTCAAAGAATTTGCAATTAGCAATTGACCAATCAATTTTGATTAACTCATTCTGTATGACTATCATAGGCTATTAAAAATAGGAAAGCGTGTTTCTAAAATGGGTTTCATAACAAGTGATTTAATGATAAAAGCTTGGACAGTTTTCAGAATTCAAAAATTCCGAGATACTAATATCTTTAAAAACTCCTGTCATTGTGTGTGTGTGTGTGTGTGTAAACACTACCTGTGTAATCATCTATTGAGATTTAAATTAGGACATTTTCTCAGTGTATCCCAGTTCTAAAGTTACTATTTATTATATTGCTATCCTAGGAACAGAGTGAGAAAAGGCAAAGAGGTAATTTAACACAGTCTTTTTCTGCTAAAATCAGAGTGTCTCTCATCTCTGCCTGAATCCAATACATTGTGATTACTGAAATACATATTATAGAATATCTACTTATTTTGTGGATTTAGGCAACGATTATGATTGTTGCTTTTCTCACATCTAAAAATCAAATTTATATTATACATGAAGACATTTTCTAAAGAACTTTTGGTCTGTATAAAAATGAATACTTAATAGAAACGTAATATTATTTTATGTTATTTGAATTGTTAAGTTTAAGAAAATAAAATGTTTTTAAATCTATTACTTTTAACAACACTGTAACATTTATTGGTTTTGGAATAAAATAGATCCAGAAAATTGCTGTGATATTACTTTTTATGTTTCTTATTGAAAGTAGGTCAATTAATTTCTAAGCAATGGGGCATTATAATTGTCAACTAACAGTGCTCAAGCAGTTAGGATTTTAACTGCTGACACTATTTTCTTTGAAAAATGATAGATGTCATTTAGTGTTTAAAGATAAATTGCTGCATAACAGTGACTTTTTTGCTGATAACTTTGCCATAAGCAAACATAACATGACCAAGAAGTTTCAAAGTGAGTTTTCTAGGCGAGCAAATCTAAATTAAAAAGGCTCTCATATTTCCTCAATCAGATATACTAACATCAACCAAGTGTTGTTTTCAATCTATAATATGAAAGGGCAATTGAGTCTGACTCAAACATCTGAAAAAGTTAATGTTAACACTTAGGAATATGTCTCCCTGTAGGAAAATTTTCACTGGCCGTGGGCTATACCACATTTATCACAGGTGATTTTCAAGGGGACAAATATTGCCCATTTCAGAAACAGGTTTGGAATGCAGGAAACTGCCAGAAAGTAACTGTGAGAGTTTGCACCATGGCTGACCTGGAGGAAGATGCCAGAGTCACAGATGGAAAAGGGAGGTGCATGACTCCCCTCTGTTGCCAAGGTTCCCATTCTCAATTCAGAAGGGTTTGCGGAGGGGGTGAAGGAACATTGAAGTTTCTGAGATATTCCTTAAGGACCAAGCTATAATTCACAGCTATCTATTTACATCAGATCTCAGCTTTTTTTTTTTTTTT
The DNA here is from genome assembly GCF_000001405.40 of Homo sapiens. NCBI lineage: Eukaryota > Metazoa > Chordata > Mammalia > Primates > Hominidae > Homo > Homo sapiens. The sequence continues at coordinate 725,540 of NT_187660.1, read as the reverse complement.
TTTTTTTTTTTTTTTTGAGGAGGGTGCAGGAGGAGATGTGCGCAGAACATATATATACGGCTTGCCCTAAAGGATGAAATAAAATTGTGTATGCTATGACCTCTCTAGGAAGCCTCTAAACTTTTCTTATAAATTGTCTTCTAACTAAAATATTTCTTTTGGCCGTCCTTGGAGTACTCCCAGGTGACACACAGCTCGGGCTAACATTTCTACAGGACTGCTACCTTGATCTCTAGAGAGTCCAATGATGTTCCATACCAATATGTCTCAGCGTCACTGCCGAGCTTCCACCCACACCCTTAACACACAGAGAAAGCTGACACTTTCTGTTAGCTATAATTTTCCTTGAGAAAAACGTGGCAATATGTAGCAAAATACAATTATTAGTTTCAATATGTAGAACGTATTACAAGAAAAAAAAGATGCCAAAAACATCTTATGTCTACTGCTATTCCTATTAGTCTTTATTATCATGAAAAACTGGTCGCATCCTAAATATCCAACTTTCGGTGACTGGGTGAAGGAAAACTGTAATTTTTCCATATGATAGAATAGTATGCCAGCACTAACAACCAGAGAGCAGACTATTTAATGTCATGGTAAAGTATTTGTTTTGTGTGGTCAGGTGAGCAGTTCAGATCATAAAATCAAATGTACCCTATGATCTTATTTTTTGAAGTAAAGTACTGATGTATTTATATGTATAATTAAGTATAGAGAAAAGCCTAGATGGCTTCTCTTATAAGTCTTTTCATTGTTTTATAAATGGTATCAATATTTATTTTTCACTTTTTCCATCAGATTTCCTAGAATAATAAAATTCAATTCCCTCTGATGAGCATTCATTATTCTTTTTTTTTTTTTTTTTTTTGAGACGGAGTCTCACTCTGTCTGCTAGAGCTAGAGTGCAGTGGCCTGCTCAGCTCACTGCAGCCTCCGCCTCCTGGGTCATTATTCTTACAGTAAGAAAAAATGAATGTTACTAAGTATCTTCTCTGTCCTAGATCAACTAGGTATATACAAGGTGCCAAATACATTTAATAAAATGTTTTATTCATTCATAGCTTTTTGCAGTACAATTTTTTTTGTATGATTCCCTTGTCCTATCATCTCCACCAATAGTTTTGGTGTGAATTTATACTCTAAAGGAAAGGTGACAACCTTATACAATCTCAGGGCTTAAATACTATCCACGTGCTGATGCTTACAAACATACACCTCCAGTTGTGTGGTCTCCCTGAGTTCTGCACATCCCTCTTGGGCATCTAACAAGCATCTCACAGTTAACAAAACCACTGATTTCTAATCAATCCCAGGGACCCTCCGCCAGGCCTGCTCCTCTCTCAGAATTCCTTTTCTCACTTAGTGACACTATCATCCCACCAAACCTCGCTATCATCTTTCTTCCGTCTCCCAAATTTCCAATCCATTAACAAATCCCAAAAACCCCGCTTCCAATATTTGTCTAAATCTATGCACTTCTCAGCTTATCCACTCTTATTATTCTAGCTCCAATTATGTGGCCTTCTGTCTGTGTTACTTTCTTTTTTCCATTCTTGTACGCAGGGTCCAGTTTTCATAGTGAAGTCCTCATAAAACATGTATTAAATTGTATCAGCTTCTGCTTACAGTTATTTATTTATTTATTAAATTTGTGATGTATTTTTATTTATTTATTTATTTTGAGAAGGAGTCTTGCTCTGTCATCCAGGCTGGAGTGCAGTGGCGCGATCTTGGCTCACTGCAGGCTCCGACTCCTGGGTTCAAGCGATTCTCCTTCCTCAGCCTCCTCAGTAGCTGGCATTACAGGCACGCTCCACCGTGCTCAGCTAATTTTTGTATTTTTAGAAGAGATGGGGTTTCACCATGTTGGCCAGGCTGGTCTCAAACTCCTGACTTAAGGTGATCCACCCACCTCAGCCTCCCAAAGTGCTGAGATTACAGGCATGAGCCACTGCGCGCAGCTAGTTTCTGCTTACAGTTTTAAAATGACTTCTTAGTCTATTTAGGAGAAAATATAAACTCTTTACCAGAGCCTACTGGACTCCCCAAAACATGATGTATGTTTATCTCCTCCCTTTAACTCACTCTGTTTTAGCCACCTGGCCTTCTGTTCTCTGAATAAAATAAACTTATTCCTGCCACAGGGCCTTTACACCTACTTTGCCTTCTGCCCCAGACACAGTTCTCACAGGTTTTCCCATGACTCCTTTCTTCTCCTTATTCAGCATCAACCCAAACATCTGCCCCTGAGTGGCCTTCACCAGCACACTCTTCTTAAATATCTTTCCTTACCTCACCTTGTTTGGTTTTGTGCATAACATGTGTCAGCTACAATACTGGTTTCATTGGTTTGTTTATTTACTTTTTTCTTACAATGGAAAGCCCATGAGAGCAGGGTTGTGTCTGCTTTATTCACAACTTTAACCTCAGTGCCTGTACAGAACCAGGACCGTACTAGAAACTCAGTGAGCATTTGTTGAGTATCTTGAACGAATTAATTATTAAAACATTAAAAAGTGACATTTTCCAAGTAAAAATCTTTATCTACTTCCTTAGTGACTCTAATTGCAGACAATGCAAGGTAGAAATGAGGTTCAGATCAATGGCAGGCCGAGAAAGGCATTTTTGGGTGAGTCCATGCAGGCAATGTTTGCTATTGTGGCTGATTTACTTCCATATACTTTAACACAGGTATGTCCCTATTGTGAGACACGGCATTTTTCATAGTATAAAGGTGGAAAGCGAACTTCATGTTATAATAAAAAATAAAGTAAATTTTATACAAACACTAAGAAGTGATCATCTAAATCTACAGTTTAGAATCTGAAACCTATTCCTATGTTGACATCTTCCATGGCCCTACTCCTTAATTAATAAATTCTGACTTACAGAAGGCTATTTTCTGAATCCTTTCATAGCTGACATTGTGGTGGGTGCTGTTAGCCATCCCTTGATACTGACAGCACAATGGCCATCCCTGCCAGGGCACGCGTACACCATCAGTAGTCAAAAGTTTGGCAAAGTAGGCCGGGCGCCGTGGCTCACGCCTGTAATCGGCACTTTGGGAGGCCGAGGCAGGTGGATCACCTGAGGTCGGGAGTTCGAGACCAGCCTGAGCAACATGGAGAAACCCTGTCTCTACTAAAAATACAAAAAAAATTAGCCGGGCTGTGGTGGCACGTGCCTGTAATCCCAGCTGCTCTGGAGGCTGAGGCAGGAGAATCTCTTGAATCCGGGAGGCGGAGGTTGCAGCGAGCCGAGATCGCGCCATTGCACTCCAGCCTGGGCAACAAGAGGGAAACTCTGTCTCAAAAAAAAAAAAAAAAAAAAAAAAAAAAAAAAAAAAAATTGGCAAAGTAAAACACTTCTCTTCATCTCCAGGAGAGCAGTTCATGAAAGAGCATATTCTTAGATATTAAAGGTAAATTTTCAGTGACACCTGTGCAAGATATGACTTTCTGCTGTCCTCTATAAAAATCTACATTTCTATCATATAAATCTAGCAGATCTTAAAATGATAGACCTCAAAGGTAGCACTGCATTTGATATTCTCTTGCAACCCCAGAATGAAACTTAAGCATGAATAATTGGAGATCTGCACACTCCTATAAAGAATAAAGAATGGGACTCAAGTTCACACAGAAGCTAAAAAAGAAAGGCAGGATGACTTCCCTCTGCCACCTTGAAAAGGCTTTGAAACCTACGAAACAAGAAATGGGGAGGGGGGTTGCTGAATGGGTAATAAATATATGAGCCCTCCTCCTAAGGGTTTTTATAATCCTTTCTATCTTGGGTATCTATGTGTTCCTCTGTGAATGTGTTTTCTTATAACTGCACTTCTCATGGAACAGCTCTATCCTTATTATCTGTAACAGGGTTTCTGTTCTGCTTTCATCATGTATATATCTTAGAAAAACAATCTGAACAAATGTCCAGTTAATATGTATATTTATGTATTTATAAATTATATGTATATGCTATTGCACTAATACATTACATATTTTATATACCTTACTACAACCAAAGAAATATAAAAGAATGAGATGGAATAAATATATATTTAAGTTCTAGTTTTTCTTCCTCCATCCTCTGTGGAATGCTTACCCCACTTAAGAAACCCCTAAGATTTCACTGTGTCCTCACAGTGAGATTGTACTCACTCCTCAATGAGAGAACATTAATATTAAAGCTCTTTTGGTTTTATTATCAATTATGCGGTCGAATTTTCAAATAATCTAGCTGTACATATTATACTACAGTGGACGATACTGTGAGGTACCAACTGGACCAGCTCAGCAGAGGCTGGAAGGTTTAACTCATCAGTAGTCATGATACCACTTTTCTCTTAGACTTTTCCAGTAGAATTTATTTTTGGTTTTGCCAGCCAGGGTGAGAGCTGTTTTCTATAGGTATCAATGGTAGAATAAGCATTGTTGCCTCACAGAAGGGAGAAGTCTATGGTATTGGACACCAACCCCCAAGTCCTTCTTACATATCCTCTCCTTGAGAGATAGGGACTCGTGAAAAATGGAAACCCAGGAATTGGCTCTGCATAAACTTAAGCTTTGTCTTTGCAGAACAATTATGAGAAGCCTACTACTGACTCTGGAATATGTTGTATGCAATAAAAACTCTGTACTATTTAGGTATTGTTTCTGATGCACGATACTAGAAATAAGCATCAACTAGCCATGCAAAGTTCTGCTTAGGAAAAATGAAAGTATATTCAAATATAAATTTTTATAAAATGACTATTAACTAAAAAAAAAAATAGCCTTTCTTTCCCCAAACATCAATAGATGCAGAATGCAGAGTAATATTTACAACATGCAACATCATGTTTGGTTCTAATTAATAGACTATTTCAATGAAATATTATTTTGATAAATATGTTCATGCTTCATTTGTCATGTATTAAAAACAGCAATACACACTCACTTGATGAAAAATATTATTGAAGATAAAACAGAAGTATTTCATAAACAACCATTAGGTAGATTATAAGATAACATATAAAAGGTGATATAGGAAATAAATATTAGAAGTACATATTATTCATCTATGACCTAATTTGTATTGAAATGCTGCAAAAACCTTCATAGCAACATTCAGAGAATTACCTGAAAGAAAACTCTGGCATCTTCTATGGTCTTCTATGTGTTTTCTTTAATGGTCACAGTGATTCCCACGTTCAAACTTATTCACTGAAGACAATGCATGTCCTGAGATTCTCATTATTGAAATGCTGAGGCTGAGGCTTGCTTTTCACATATACAGATTGTCCAACATTAAAATACCACTGCATATTGACTGCATACAAAAATCATTAAACTAAATATTCCCAAAAGTCCTGATACAAATAATGTGTTACAATATTTTAGGCAGGATTACCTGATAGGGTTAACAAATTTATCAAGTATAACAGAAAGTGACCACTTATTATTTATTATTGGCTATACCAAAAAATATAGGATCAGGACTTACCTGAATAACATGCTTCAGTTTATCAATAATCTGATTTATCACAGGATCAGTTCCTTTGACTTTGACTTCAGGATTTCCAGACTGGGCTTTGATTCCATTTCCAACCACATGCTGAGTATAACTAGCAAAGGGAAATGTGAAAGATATATGACTTAGTACCTGATCAGAGTATTATCTGCCACAGCTATCTGAACATAGTTGAGGTCAGAATTTCCTCCTTTAGAGAATACACCAATGTATTTTTTTCTTGGAACAGAAACTGGCACAGCTATAATGCTTTTGCAGGTAAAATGCTAAAATGCTTATTGTGCCATTAGATCATTCTAAAAATAATGTTATTCTCTCAATGGACCCAACCAAAAATTACTTGTTTTTTAATACTACTTAACAATATGCTACAAAGAGTTGACATATCTCACTTTGTTACCAGTTCTTGCTGAATTATACATATGTCTGTACCCCTATTGTCTGGGTGAGCTTATTTTACGCAGTCCCAATCTTATTTTTTAAATATCAGGCTACTATATATGTGTGTGTGTGTGTGTGTATATATATATAGAATATGTATAGAGAATATATATAGGATACACATATAGAATATATATAGACTATATAGAATATACATATAGACTATATAGGATATATATAGAATATACATAGACTATATAGGATATATATAGAATATACATAGACTATATAGGATATATATAGAATATACATAGACTATATAGGATATATATAGAATATACATAGACTATATAGGATATATATAGAATATACATAGACTATATAGGATATATATAGAATATAGACTATATAGGATATATATAGAATATACATAGACTATATAGGATATATATAGAATATACATAGACTATATAGGATATATATAGAATATACATAGACTATATAGGATATATATAGAATATACATAGACTATATAGGATATATATAGAATATACATAGACTATATAGGATATATATAGAATATACATAGACTATATAGGATATATATAGAATATACATAGACTATATAGGATATATATAGAATATACATAGACTATATAGGATATATATAGAATATACATAGACTATATAGGATATATATAGAATATACATAGACTATATAGGATATATATAGAATATACATAGACTATATAGGATATATATAGAATATACATAGACTATATAGGATATATATAGAATATACATAGACTATATAGGATATATATAGAATATACATAGACTATATAGGATATATATAGAATATACATAGACTATATAGGATATATATAGAATATATATAGACTATATAAGATATATAGAGTATATAGACTATATATAGGATATAGATAGAAAATATATAGACTATATACAGGATATCGATAGAATATATATAGACTATATATAGGATATAGATAGAATATATATAGACTATATATAGGATATAGATAGAATATATATAGACTATATATAGGATATAGATAGTCTATATATAGGATATAGATAGAATATAGATAGACTATATATAGAATATATGTAGAATACAGATATAGAATATAGATACAGAATATATATGGAATATAGATATAGGATATATATAGATAGAATATAGATATACACACACATATATATTTCCTAATTAGGTCCTTCAAGAAATAAGTGATTAAACTTTTTAATAATGATAGTATCAATTGGACATGATAACAATAATATTATTAATACACTCTTTGATTTTTAAAATAAACTTGAACCCATTTCTTTTCATAGTCATAGAGGGGCTTAGAGATAAGAATTTCAGTATCCATTAGGGATTTGCAGTATACACCAGTAACAAATAGTAGAAAGAAAACAGTTATATCTATTTTGTTAATGTGTAATGATATTCTTTACTTTAGAAAATAAAATTATATATAGTATAACTATATATAATATATAATATATATTATATGTAAAATATATATAACTGTACAAGTCAATATCATAAATTATAACTGTACAAATTAAAATCATCAAATTTATAAGCAACGAAAATGTGCGAAGTATTTCCTAAGTAGAGGAAACAATCTGCTTTCGCCTAGGTTCACCTAAACAAAGATCTGGTAAATCATGTGGTAGGTAAAAAGGGTCATTTCACAGGTGGTGAAAGCCATTTGAAATTTCACTACCTTCCCCAAATTACAATCATACGTCAACTTAGAATTAATAAAAATATTTAAATTCATTAGTCACAAAGATGTCTTAAGTGAATGCTATATTCCAAGTCCTGTACTAGGTCTTTAGGATTATAAGAAGGTGTAAGACTCAATTTTTGTCCTCATAATGCTCATTACTTAACCAAGAATATAACAGATTAATTAACTCATTCATTTGTATGCTTATTCATTACATTTTACTACATTTAAAAAATACCGTAGATTTCAGCCATATAAATACCCTTGTTTGCCTGACAGAAGAGTGTAATATAAACACAACTGAACCGTTAAAATACAACATTATGAAAGTAGATGGAAGGAACTGCACGTGCCACGTGTGAGGAAAGATAAGACAGGTGGTAGATATTCTGGATATAGAGAAGCCCATTTGAACTCAGACACTAGGGAAAAACTAAAGGAGAAGTTATAACTTGAGGTAGCCTTGGATGTATTGAGGTAAGAAGAGGACATCTATGGTATGGTTAATGAGAACTTCAGGGCAAAGGATGTCATCCCAGCAAGGAAAACGGCAAAGGTACGTGAACAAGGCAGACAGGGAGAACAGGCCTCTATTCACAAAGCAGAGAGTACAAACGTTGGAAAGCAATGGATAGAGGGCCACACCCTGAAGATTCCACCCTGAATGTTGAAGACTCTCCACTGAGTGATATAATGGGCTCTGGAGATTCATAAGGGGGAAGTTGGCAGGTGGGTGTGGAATAAAAAAGCTACATGTTTGGTACAATGTACACTACTCAGGTGACAGGTGCAATAAAATCTCAGACTTCACCACTATACAAATTATCCATGTTACCTAAACCACTTGTGCTCCAAAAGCTATTGAAGTAAGACATTTATTTATTTATTTATTTATTTATGTTTATTTATTTATTTTTTTGAGACGGAGTCTGGCTCTGTCGCCCAGGCTGGAGTGCAGTGGCGCAATCTCGGCTCACTGCAAGCTCCGCCTCCCGGGTTCACGCCATTCTCCTGCCTTAGCCTCCCGAGTAGCTGGGACTACAGGCTCCCGCCAGTACGCCCGGCTAATTTTTGTATTTTTAGTAGAGACGGGGTTTCACTGTGTTAGCCAGGATGGTCTCGATCTCCTGACCTCATGATCCGCCCGCCTTGGCCTCCCAAAGTGCTGGGATTACACGCTTGAGCCACCGCGCCCGGCCAAGGCATTTAAAAAATGAAAACAAAACACTATCACCTGAGTCATTTGTTTGCTTACATTAAATATCATAATACTTTTCAGCAAAAAATATTATCATTTTAATGTAACTTTCGTTCCCTGTATTTGAGCGGAGTACTGCACTATCCATAAACACCCTCTGAATTTTCTACAGTAATGGAAAAAAATCTTTGAAAAAAATAAAAGAAGGTTCTATGTTTGAGAATATGGCTATATGAAAGGGGTTTCAAGAAATATCCAGTTCTTCCCAAGACGATGTACTTCCAGTGACCAGTTTTAAGAAGTGGAACAGGCCAGGCGCGGTGGCTCACGCCCGTAATCCCAGCACTTTGGGAGTCCGAGGCGGGCAGATCACGAGGTCAGGAGATCGAGACCATCCTGGCTAACACGGTGAAACCCCGTCTCTACTAAAAATACAAAAAATTAGCCGGGCGTGGTGGCGGGCGCCTGTAGTCCCAGCTACTCGGGAGGCTGAGGCAGGAGAATGGCGTGAACCTGGGAGGCAGAGCTTGCAGTGAGCCGAGATCACCTCACTGCACTCCAGCCTAGGTGACAGAATGAGACTCTGTCTCAAAAAAAAAAAAAAACAAAAAAAGTGGATCGAATATTTCCTAACGAGGTCCTTCAAGTAATAATAAGTGATTAAACTTTTTGATAATGATAATATCAATTGGACATGATAAAAATACTATTAATAAATCTTTTGATTTAAAAACTAACCTTGTACCCACTTCTTTTGTAGGCGTGGGGGGAGCTTAGAGTTAAGTATTCCAGTATCCGTTAGGGATTTGGCAGTATACATCAACAACAAATAGTAGAAGGAAAATAATTATACCTTTGTCTCATATATATATATATATATATATATATATATATATATACACACACACACACATAGAGAGAGAGAGAGAGAGAGAGAAACCATCTCTTAAATTACCTGTAGCACCACTATGTTATTCTTTACTCTCCCAATACCCCAAGTAGATTGCACATGTGACTCTTTTATTAATGTGTTGAATATTCATAATGATAATGAATAATATGAATAAATAAATTGATAAGTGCGTAACTATGAATTAGGCATTGCTTTACTCTTATCTGGAGATTTCAATTCATGATAAACATCTTTTAGTGACCATGAATAAGAAACTCATAGACCTGCATTAGAGAAATGCAAATCTAAACCACAATGAGATACCATCTCACTCCAGTTAGAATGGCAGTCCTTAAAAAGTCAGGAAACAACAGATGCTGGAGAGGTTGTGGAAAAATAGGAATGCTTTTACACTATTGGTGGGAGTGTAATTTACTTCAACCATTGTGGAAGACAGTGTGTGAATTCCTCAAGGATCTAGAACTAGAAATACCATTTGACCCAGCAATCCCATTACTGGGCATATACTCAAAAGATTATAAATCATTCTACGATAAAGACACATGCACACGTATGTTTATTGTGGCACTATTCACAATAGCAAAGACTTGGAACCAACCCAAATGTCCATCAGTGATAGACTGGATTATGAAAATGTGGCACATATACACCATGGAATACTATGCAGCCATAAAAAAGGACATGAGTTCATGTCCTTTGCAGGGACATGCATGAAGCTGGAAGCCATCATTCTCAGCAAACTATCACAAGATCAGAGAACCAAACGCCGCATGTTCTCACTCATAAGCAGGAGTTGAACAATGAGAACACATGGACACAGGGAGGGGATCATCACACACTGGGGCCTGTGGGGTGTGGGGGTGTAGGGGAGGGATAACATTAGGAGAAATACCTAATGTAGGTGACGGGTTGATGGGTGCAGCAAACCACCATGGCATGTGTATACCTATGAAACAAAACTGCAAGTTCCGCACATGTAACCCAGAGCTTAAAGTATAATTTAAATAAATAAATAATAAATAAATAAATAAACTCATAGACCTCAAAGTATGGGAAGCCTAACTGCCTACGGCCACTTGCTGCTTCACTCTAAAATCTGTTTCTGCATCTGCCCCTCAGTCAATGACTGAGGCCCACAGGGTGGCTAATGCAGATCCCTCTTTAGGAGACACAGGGCTTCTCTGAGGACCAGTCTTGGCTCAGGATTCCCTGAAGCCTTTTCTCACCCTTCCTTAGACTGTACATTACGCTCCAATGCTTCCACTCAACCTTCCTTTCCTCTTTCCTTCATTCTAGGTCAGACTTGCCTCATAGCTGAGACCTCTTCCAGGCTTACTCAGCTTCCTCTCCATTTTCTCTCACAGGGATTTCCCTTAATAAAATCCTCTTGTGTTTAACTCGTTTTCAACATCTACCTCTTGGAGGACCTGGACTAACCCACCACATAATGTTTGTATTATAATTACTTCCATTCTACAGGTTGAGAATCTGGGATCTGGAGAAGTTAAGCAACTTAAGTTACTCAAGTAAGGCCACACAACGTATATAAAGTGTGCTGCAAGGAGTTAAACCCAGGGAACGCACACTCCAAAACAGAACCATCAACAAGTACCAATCCTGAAACCAACTAATAAAAGGTAAAGATACAATTAGCTTGGTGCAAAATGTTATTTTTCTCTCTAATTACATTTTCTAAGGTTTCACTGTTTGTGATTAAGAAGGGATGAATGATTTTCATCAAAACTCTGCTCAACAAGCCGGGTGTCGTGGCATGCACCTGTAGTCCCAGCTACTGAGGAAGCAGAGGCAGGGGGATCACGTGAGCCCAGGAGGTTAAGGCTGCAGTGAGCTGTGATTACATCTCGTTGACCATGTGACCCTGAGTGTAACTCATAGACCTCAAGCCTGGGCAACAGAGCAAGACTCTGCCTTAAAAAGTAAAACTAAGCAAAACAAAACAATCCTGAACAAATGGTTGCACATAACCAGCTAAACAGTAATATAACAGTTGTTGGCAGGGTGAGAAGAAACTAGCAGACTGTAGGTTTGTCATACTGTTTTTTTGTTTCTCCAGAAACACAGATATAATATAGGCAATGAAAGCTGAGACTCATCTCTTAATTTCAGTTAAGCTATTAATTGATTTACATCATTTACTTACAGGTCAGAAAAGTTTCTTTCAAAAGGCAGGAATGTTGTTTCATGTTAATCTAAGGACTTGCTTACCTTTTGTTTCTGTTCTTAATGATCACAGTTACTAATACAGTTAAATAATATTTAGATAAAATACATTACAATTATAGCTGATCAAAAATCTCATTCCAAGCTGTTATATTGTTGACTATCTCATGATCACTCTTCTTATGAATCATGTAAATAGGGAAAAATACTGCAAAGTAGACCCACGTTACTTCAAATGAAATATGATTTAATAAAATCAGTTATTCTTTGCCAATTTTGTAATGTTCAAAATAACCACAATTGAAATAGTGATACATACACATCAGAACAGTTCAAATGAAAGAGAGAAATGATACCAAGTGTTGGCAAAGATGCGGAGCAACTAGAACTCTCTCCCATTGTGGATGGAAATGTAAACTGATGGACACCACCATTTTCCATGTATGCTAAATCTGACCATATTCTATGACCCTGAGCATATACCCAGCAATATTTACCAAAAGACAAATACATGAATGCTCAGAGAGGCACCATTCAAAATAACCACAAATTGAACTTATATTTGTATAATGATATAGTATATAGCAATGAGAACCTAACAAATTACAACTATATGCAAAAAGATTAACAAATCTTATAAACTAAATATTGAATGAAAGAAGCAAGATACAGAACATATTCTACGATCTAATTCACTAAAAATTGTAAAACTCATCAGTTATGTTCCAAATCACCATAAGAGCTATCCTATGAAATAGTGTCTAGAAGAAGTAATAATATAAAATTTCCTGATTTGAGTACTGGATACACAGAAGGGCTAAGTTTGTTTAAAAACAAAAGAAGTATTGAGCTGTACAGTTAAGATTTGGGTATTTTACTGTTTGTATGTATTTTCAGCGTTAGAAAATTATGTTAAAAAGTCTTTATGCTCTTTTTCTTAATATATTTACAATAGACAAATTTTCATTAAGCCACAGTATAAATAAAAAAGACCCACACAGGTATTTTTAACATGGATGAAGTGGTTCTGCCATCATTAAATGAGTACTTTAGGATGCAAGTCTGATATAAAAACTTACTTCCCTGAAGACTTTAATTTTGCATGCAAAATACACGGTTTCTAAATTAAATTTTTTTGTAACAAAGCGTTTTTGAGTTCCCCTCATGAAATTTTAATAAATCATTAATTTCTTCTTTTTCTCTTTCATGCACAAGCAGTGGATAAACATTTCAAAGATCCCTACAGAAGTTTCTTCCCTTGAAATACTGTTCACATGACAATGAGAAGGATGGAATAAAACACAAAAAAGGTAAGCAATTTTTTTTTTTTTTTGAGGCGGAGTCTTGCTCTGTCGCCCAGGCTGGAGTGCAGTGGCGCGATCTCTGCTCACTGCAAGCTCCGCCTCCCGGGTTCCCGTCATTCTCCTGCCTCAGCCTTCGAAGTAGCTGGGACTACAGGCGTCCGCCACCGTGCCCAGCTAATTTTTTGTATTTTTAGTGGAGACGGGGTTTCACCGTGTTAGCCAGGATGGTCTCCATCTCCTGACCTTGTGATCTGCCCGCCTCCGTCTCCCAAAGTGCTGGGATTACAGGCTTGAGCCACTGCGCCCGGCCAACAGGCAAATTTTTCGTTGGGGAAGTAGTAGACCAACCATCTGTGCTTATTTCTTCTAAACAGAGCTGGGAATGAGTGACAGCAGTTGAACAGGAACACTTGCTCCCCAAGCACTACTTGTTTTTCATGAAGAAGGAAAAAAGGCAAAAGCCCTGCTACATTTACATTCGCAAAATTGTTTTCAAATGAGGATTAACAAGATGTTAGTTCCCTCTCTGTTGAACACATAAAATATTAAAAGGCAGTGCTAATACATCTATATACAGCACATCAGGAGGAAGGAGGAAGTCATTTCTCCTGACTTTACCAACTTGTCTTATTTGAAACTGATACCGTGCCCTATTGGCTGATAGGAGTTTCACTTTATTTAGAATACAATAGAATTTGGCTCAGATTCACACCAAAAGTATAGTATTTTGATGTGCACTTACACGATTTCAGGGGAAAACAATATCTGGAATGTGACCCTGGAATTCATTACAAGTCAGCTAAAGGGATCTCTCTTAGAATTTTTTCATAATTGGACTGGGACAGGATGTAAGAATAAATCATTAACAGTAGATGAGGAAAACACTTGACGAGAGCTTTCTCGTCTTACCATTACTGCTCTTTCTATCAGAGGTTAAAGACAGAATGGGGACCATGTTGTGGTTGTTATTCTTGTTGTTTGATTGGTTTGTTTATTATGTTCTTGCAGGACTTGGTTATGTGGCTGGATATGAAAATTCTTTCCATTTCCAGAGTCATACATCTCCTAATTTCTAGGAGATTAAATACTGGTTTTATCTTTGGCTCCAGTAAAAATGTTGCTATCTTGGATTAAAAGAAGGTTGGGAAATACGTTGTGTCTATTCACCAGTGAATGGGAACCCCTTCTACAACAACAAATTTTCCATTCAAACCATTTCTAGGCCTCCCTTCCTGGTTCTGATAGCAAATGTGAAAGCAAGTACTAGAGATTTGGGTTTTGTAAGTTTCCTCAAATACTTGGGAAATACTGGATTCCGTTGCCAAGTGTTGCCTTTTGTACATTCAGCTTCTACACAGCACGTTTTCTCTATGTTGAAAGTCCTAATCCTTGAAATCTCAGAATGGAAAAGAGTTATATGACTAATTTTATGTGCCAGGATTATGGGAATAAACTTTCATGGAAGATAGGAAGCTTACAGGGCATCTAGAGAAAGGAGACATCTGTAGAATCAATTCAGAATGATTAAGCCCCTTGTGATCTCACTATCTCACTTCAATTGTTAAGCCACAAAACTCTTTTTAAGTTAATCTCTAACATTTATTTGGCTTTATAATTACATATAAATAATGTCTAAATTTGACACCTATGTTTCCAAACTTAATAATGAAGTCAAAATAAACAGAATTAAGGAGAGCTTATTACGATCTTTATTGTTATTTATATATAACAAATTTCCTATTAAGAATATAATATTTTATGATATCTTATGGATGTCATTAACATTGCTTTAATAAAGGTATTATCATGCTTTGTACAGCAACCAACACGAAAATGTTACTATACCACTGCAATAAATAGAATAAAAACATGTTCAGAAAGACTTAGAAACTCATTAAAGAATGGATGTTAATCACTTTTCACCCTAACTCCTCATTTGGCAAGGCATGAATCTATGCATTCCAGTTTAGACAGGTGGCAAGTAAGTAGTCCCATTGCATTTCATAAAATAAGCAGCTGCGTGAATTTGAAAGATACTATTTCCACATGAAAAGCTAATGACTGCACATGTAAAATCAGTAGTGTTTAGGAAGCTGTCATTTAAAAAACAACAAACTACCTAATTAAAAAGTAGCACAAATAAACTTTTCCCTATGTAAAAAATAGAACATTGCTTAGCCTTTTCTTAAACCCCTCCCCAATTCTTACCAAGAAAGGATAAATACCTTTATTATAGTCAAAGCTCTGTTTTTATGGTTTTTGAATTTTTTAATCTAAAATTCAAAGCAAATAATCAATCTTTAATTTATATTTATCCCAATTTGATTCAAAGTGACGGTCCAAAAGTAAAATGATCAATTATAACTATAATCAATCACAAATAATGCTATGTGAGTTTGAAATGTTAATCTAAGTTGCCTTTTCCAGGTATGCATTTTAAAATTAAACTCTTCTCAGTAAGATCAAGGCTATCCTTCATGGATTTATGATGTTTGATAATCACCACGTTGTACTGATTTGCTGTCTCACTTCACTGTTTGATATCAACATATGAAAGTAAAAATGCTATTTAGGGGATAACTATTATCTGAGCACTAATAAATTAAACGCTATTTTAAGCCAACAACAAAATTGTTTAGGGTACAATTTTTATTTAACCAACTGTCCATTATAAACATTATAAAATTCTGAAAGATCCTAGAATCTTATATAGCTTTTTTGTATTTTTTCAAATGTAATTGACACCAGCATGAATTAAATTTCATATTTAAAAAGCTTCTGACTACATTACAACATACTTTAAAATTACTTGCAAGATATGATAATTCTAAGATTACCCACATATCATGCAAATGAAACAGCCAGGTACTTCCTACCAACACATGATACAATAAAATCCAGAAGAACTTCTGAATTAGAGTGTAGTAGTTGCCTAGGGCCATCATACCTAATTATCACACACTTGGTGGGTTAAGAGGACAGAAATATATTCTCTCATAGTTCTGAAGCCTGGACCTCTGAAATCAAGATGTTGGCGGGGCCACACTCCCCCTGAAGACCCTAGGGAAGAATTCTCCCTCGCTTCTTCCTGGTTTCCAGTGGCTCCTGGCAATCCTTGGCTTTCTTTGATTTATGACTGCATAACTCCAATTTCTGTCTCCATCTTCACATGACCTTGTGTGTGTCTTTTCCTGTATGTTATAAGGACATTTACACTGGATTTAGGGCCCACCTTCACCCAGGATGACCTCATCTCAATCACTGGGTTAATTATATCTGCAAAGACCCTACTTCCAAATAAAATCACATTCTAAAGTTCCTAATGGACATAAATTTTGGAGGTACGGTATTTAAATCACTGCACAGAACATGTAAAGACAAAAATCTGGAAGCTACCTGAATGAAAATGGATATTCCCTTGAACTTCGACAAAATCATATTCTATTTTTCCATGAGAAACATTTTATTAATCTAAAACAATATTCATATTTCACAAGTACACCTCTTAAATTATAGCTTGGACTTAAGAAAAATAATTAGCTTTGGAAATTATCAGTACATGATATCTAGTATTTCCTATATTTTTAAGAACTTCTACCTCCTAGCAAAAATAAACAATGCAATGGATAATTTCTGTGTTCTAAATTCACACACACAAACAGGAAAGGGACTTTAAAAATGATGTGTTCTCTTTTAAAGCAGAAGCCCAACCACCTGCTCTGAATCTAAAAGTTTCCTGAAAGCAATGAAGGGCTAGTTTATTATGAAGGTGTTGATAGCTGATTCTGTGGAGACTCACACAGAAACAAAGAATAAATTTTAATCACACTTAATGCTAATGTGGTAGTAAGGTTGTGACAATATTCAAATATGACTAATTTCATTGAATTAACTACACTCGGGCTTAGCTTAGTTGTCCAAATTTATTACAAATAGCTCAAACTAAATAATTCAACTCTTCTGTTTTCTATTTATTTTTTGTTGATGCTTAAGAGTAAAAAGATATTTCAACTGAATTTTTTTTTTTTTTTTAGCAATCAGTTCTCTTGTTTTATCACCATAAGACTGTAAACGGCCGTAACAGGTCACTGAATCTAGCACTGCCTTCAACAAGAAATGCACCTAGAGCAGGAATATAGTACTTGGCACTCATCTCTAGACCTATAACCTAACAGATTTTTTTTTTTGTCTGTCTTTGGTGAAAGTAACGTAAATTTAGAGCTGGAAAGGACCTTAGAGGTCATCTAGTCCCACCCAAGCATCTTTGAAAACAAAATAAAGAAGTGTGTTGGCCTGATGCAGTGGCTCACGCCTGTAATCCCAGCACTTTGGGAGGCCAAGGCGGGCAGATCACAAGGTCAGGAGATCGAGACCATCCTGCCTAACATGGTGAAACCCCGTCTCTACTAAAAATACAAAAAATTAGCCGGACATGGTGGCAGGTGCCTGTAGTCCCAGCTACTCGCGAGGCTGAGGCCAGAGAATGGAGTGAACCCAGGAGGCAGAGCTTGCAGTGAGCCGAGATCGTGCCACTGCACTCCAGTCTGGGCAATAGAGTGAGACTCCGTCTTAAAAAAAAAAAAAAAAAGAAGCATGTTTATTTCATCATTTTGTACTTATACACTGTGTATTTCCAGAAAAGCCCCTGAGACAGCTTAGAATGAAAGGCACAGACACTATAAAACAAGGGCAAAATGACAGAATAATGAAGAGAAAGAGGTGACAATTACATGGGACAACCTAGGGAAGGAAACACTACCCTTCAGCCTAAAATTTAGTCCTAAGCCCCTTGTTCTTAAAGGCCAAAAGGAAAACCAGAATTCAAATAGGTATTGTTAGTTAATAAAATAGTATCTGGATATATCAGCAACTATTTTTTGGTAACTCTAAACTCAAGCAAAATATATGTCTTCAAGCAACAGACAATGGACAATATAATAAAAATAATCTTCCATAGCAATTTCCAAACTTTTAAAGATGTAAGAACAAATGATCTTTTCTTACAGGATGCTTAGTTGAAAGCTGCCCGCATGATGGTATTTTAAACTACATGATGTTAAATTCCCTGCATGATGGTATTTTATTGGGACCTGGTTATATGATTTGGTGAAGAATGTAACCTTTGAGAACTTAGAAGAGTGAATGGTTAATATTTCTCTGAATTTTTTTGTTTTTAATTGATATTTTATTTTATCCCTCATAGACAATATATGCCTGGGAAATACACTGAAGTATAGTAAAAAAGAATCTAAGGGTTAAAGTGTTGAGGTAAATGAGAAAGCAGAGGTTGTGTCTGAAGAACCGTGTGGTCGCACTGCACCACACAGCAAACAGAAATATGGGTGAGCACAGGCCGGGCGCGGTGGCTCAGGCCTGTAATCCCAGCACTTTGGGAGGCCGAGGAGGGCGGATCACAAGGTCAGGAGATCGAGACCATCCTGGCTAACACGGTGAAACCCCGTCTCTACTAAAAATACAAAAAATTAGCCGGGCCTGGTGGTGGGCGCCTATAGTCCCAGCTACTTGGGAGGCTGAGGCAGGAGAATGGCGTGAACCCGGGAGGCGGAGCTTGCAGTGAGCCGAGATCGGGCCACACCACTCCAGCCTGGGGGACAGTGAGACTCCGTCTAAAAAAAAAAAAAAAAGAAGTTCACCCTATGCAGGCACTATAACTACGAGTCCCTCCCATCTGAGCCTTGCCTTCCAGACAACCCCACCAATACATAAGACAGAAAAAAAGCACCTTGCACCTTCCAGACTGACTTGTTTGCCAGCCGCATAGCACTGAGTCACCCTAGTTAATGATATGAGAGAGGAAGAATCACTCAGACGAATCCTGCTGGAATTTCTCACCTATAGGATCCATGAGATACAATGAAGTGGTCGTTGTTTTACCTTATTAAATTTGGGGTAGTTTCTTTTTTCTTTTCTTTTTTCTTTTTTTTTTTTGAGACGGAGTCTCGCTCTGTGGCCCAAGCTGGAGTGCAGTGGCGCAATCTCGGCTCACCGCAAGCTCCGCCTCCCGGGTTCACACCATTCTCCTGCCTCAGCCTCCCGAGTAGCTGGGACTACAGTCACCCACCACCACGCCAGGCTAACTTTTGTATTTTTAGTAGAGACGGGGTTTCACCGTGTTAGGCAGGATGGTCTCGATCTCCTGAACTCGTGATCCGCCCGTCTCATCCTCCCAGACTGCTGGGATTACAGGCGTGAGCCACGGCGCCCGGGCCATTTGGGGTAGTTTCTTAAGCAGCAATAGTAACTGTAACACTGACTCACTTCTACTGCCACCAATCACTATCCTCCTTTCCTGATTTACTTCCTCGTATGTACCATCTTTTAAAAAACAAATAATTAGGCCGGGTGCAGTGGCTCACGCCTGTAATCCCAGCACTTTGGGAGGCTGAGGTGGGCGGATCACGAGGTCAGGAGATCGAGACCATCCTAGCTAATATGGTGAAACCCCATCTCCGCTAAAAATACAAAAAATTAGCCAGGCGTGGTGACCGGGGCCTGCAGTCCCAGCTACTCGGGAGGCTGAGGCAAGAAAATGGCGTGAACCCGGGAGGCGGAGCTTGCAGTGAGCTGAGATCGCGCCACTGCACTCCAGCCTGGGCGACAGAGGGAGAGTCCGCCTCAAAATAATAATAATAATAATAATTAGTGAAAACTTCAATAACTTTTGCACCAGCCTAATAGTTGTAAAGAAACTATAAGCAAGTTCACAAAAGTTAAAACAAAAAATCAGCTATGAGAAACAAATATGAATTATACCACTAACTGCTGAAAAGAAAGACTCTAAGACTGAAATTACCAAAAAAAAAAAACCCTCAGCTGAAAACAAAACAAATAATCAAACTCTATTACTCTACTCTATTTCCATGAAGTGTACAAACTGTTCCTGTAAGTTTAACGATATTAAAATGTACAAAGATTAATAAAGTAAAAATCAAAGACTATTTATAACATCATCGATTTAAGTAGATTTAAGTAGATTAAGTAGAATTTTAAAGGAAAAGGTATCACATGGAAAACAATAAAATATTTAATATTACAAAGCAAAACACTAAATGAACGTCACATTTAATTGTGAAATCATTAGCATGTTTCTCCGTTATGACTTATTAAAGGATAAAATTTGAGCATTATAATGTATAAGATTTTTTGGCCGGGCGCGGGGGCTCACGCCTGTAGTCCCAGCATGTTGAGAGGCTGAGGCGGGCGGATCACGAGGTCAGCAAATCCAGACCATCCTGGCTAACACGGTGAAACCGTGTCTCTACTAAAAAAATACAAAAAAATTAGCCAGGCGTGGTGGCGGGCACCTGTAGTCCCAGCTACTTGGGAGGCTGAGGAATGGCGTGAACCTGGGAGGCGGAGCTTGCAGTGAGCCCAGATTGCGGCACTGCACTCCAGCCTGGGCAAGAGAGTGAGACTCCCAATCCAAAAAAAAAAAAAAAAAGAAAAGAAAAGAAAAACCGACTTTCATTAAAGCCTCCTGCAGAAATTTGCATAAGTAACAAGGAGCCAAATGTAATCACCAAGACAATGGGGAAAATGTCTCCAGAACATTAAAGACCTTAACACCTTCACGGCAGCTCTTTCCATCACAGGCTCAAAAGCCTAGTATGGAAAAATGATTTCCTGGAGCAGGTCCAGGTCCCCCTGCTGTGTGCAGCCTAGAGACTTGGTGCCCGGCATTCCAGCCACTCCAGCCATGGCTGGGGTGGGAGACACCAGGCTACAGCTCAGGCCACGTCTTCGGAGGTTGCAGCCCCAAGCCTTGGCAGCTTCCACAAGATGTTGAGCCTGCAGGCGCACAGAAGTCAAGAATTGAGGTTTGGGACCCTCCACCTAGATTTCAGAGAATGTATGGAAACACTTGGATGTTCAGGCAGAAGTTTGCTCTGGTGGGGTGCGGGGGCAGGAGCAGGGGCTCATGAAGAACCTCTTCCAGGGTAGTAGAGAATTGAAATGTGGGCTCTGTCTCCCATACAGAGTCCCTACTGGGGCAATGCCTAGTGGAGCTATGAGAAGAGGGCCGCTGCCCTCCAAACCCCCAATTGGTAGATCCACAAACAGTTTACACTGTGTACCTGGAAAAGCCACAGACAATGCCAGCCAGTGAAAGCAGCCAGGAGGGAGGCTGTACCCTGCAAAGCCACAGAGGCAGAGCTGCCCAAGGCCATGGGAGACCACCACTTGCGTCAGTGTGACCTGCATGTGAGACACGGAGTCAAAGGAGATCATTTTGGAACTTTAACGTTTAATGACTGCCCTATTGGATTTCAGACTTGCATGGAGCCTGTAGCCCCTTTGTTTTGACCAATGTCTCCCATTTGGAACAGGTGTAAATACATTGGGGGGTACCCAATGCCTGTACCCCCATTGTATGTAGGAAGTAACTAACTTGCTTTTAGTTTTACAGGCTCATAGGTGGAAGGGACTTGTCTCAGATGAGACCTTGGACTGTGGACTTTTCAGTTAATGTTGAAACGAGTTAAAACTTTGGGGGACTGTTGGGAAGGCATGATTGATTTTGAAATGTGAGAACATGAGATTCAGGAGGCGCCAGGGGAAGAATGATATGGTTTGGCTATGTCCCTACCCAAATCTCATCTTGAATTATAGCTCCCATAATCCCCATATGTCATGAAAGGGACCCAGTGGGAGGTAATTGAATCATGGGGATGGGTTTCTCCCTGTGTTGTTCTTGTGAAACCGAATAAGTCTCACAAGATCTGATGGTTTTATAAAGGGGAGTTCCCCTGCACATGCTCTCTCTCTTGCCTGCCACCATGTAAGACATGTCTTTGCTCCTCCTTTGCCTTCTGCCATGATTGTGAGGCTTCCCCAGCCACGTGGAACTGAGTCCATTAAACCTTTTTTTCTTTATAAATTACCCAGTCTCAGGTATTTCTTCATAGCAGTATGAAAGTGGACTAACACAGTATCAAACCCTGGTTTGGGGTAATAATCACTACCTTCTAGGTAACCAGAATGGAAAAAATATAACAGAAAAAAAATCCTAAAAATCATCCTGCGTACAAGAAAAATGAAACTGTATGCTGAATTCTCAGGGGGAGAAAACGTATTTAAAAATATATGACTTTCAAACCACAAGAAACTATAGAACATTGCTTTAAACTATTTGTCTATGAACAGTATGTAGAAACACATGGAATTTAGGAAATAGGAGATGAAGGCTACAATAACAAAAGAGGCTCATATCACAAAATGGGAGATAGCTGAGATGAGGCTTCTATGAAAACTAAAGTGCAAGGGCAGATTTTCCATCCACAGGGAAATCCGTGGAGAAAGAAACTGACACACTGAAAAGTTCAAGCAGCAATTGAATCAGAGCTCTGGAGGGCAAAGGAAGAGATGAACTAATGACAGAGAAGAAGGCGGATGGGTATGCCAGAGACCACAGGTTCCACCTCGAGAATAGTTTGTGTACTGGGGAAAGACACAAGGGCAAGGAGATCTGAAACAATAATCAAAGCTATCACTGAAGTACGAATAATAAAAGCACCAACCAGTTTCTAGGCAGGGAGGGGGAAGAAACAAGGAAGAGTTCTCCATATTTAAATAACAACTAGCCAAACTCCTGAATTTTACAAATAAAGAAAAAAACTTCCTTAAAAATAAAAAGTCAGGCTTAGATAAGACTTTTTTTCTTCTCTGTTAACATTATTAGAAGACATAAAGATTTTAAGAGAATAAAAATATGATCAAGAGGATCATAAATATCAGGTTGTCTTTACCTGAGTACGAAGCAATGGCATCTGTATATCCAGCACTGATTTGTCCTTCCAATAAAAATTTACTCAAAGACATATGGGTACATATTAGAAAAATAATCAAAATTAATATTTCAAGGATTAGGAAGTTGTGAAGCCAAAATCCTGCAAGGGGACAATTGATTCAGTTAATGGAAAGATTTATTTTTCATATTTTATGATTATTTACCAAAATAATATTTTTAAAGTATAATTATAAAATAAAAATAAAATATTTAACAATACTATAATTATAATCATGTTCCAAGTTATAAAACAAGATAGTGAGAATTGTCAGTAAGATAGTAAGAATTCTAATACTATCTCAAAATAAAGGATACAGAAGGTTTCAGGGCAAGAGAAAGGGAAAACCTTCTATATCCTTTAGTTTGAGACAGTATTAAAGCTTTCTGTAGGCTCACTCAAAATGTCCGGATTCTGACCACATTTGAATATGAGCACTCCCAACCTGACGATTCCTAGTCTAAGCCACACATATTTCCTCTTATGGTTATTGCAAAAGCTCCCTAACTGGTCTCCCAGCTTCTGCCGTTGATTCCTTTCAGCTATTTTTTACACAAGTGCCAGAGAAATCTCAGAAATGCAATTCAGATGATATCACTTCTTTGCTTATATCTTTCAATGTTGTTCCCCTCTACGTGTTCATGTATTCTCCCCTTTGACTCTCGCTTCTAAGTGGGAACATTTGGTTTTCTGTTCCTGCATTAGTTGGCTAAGGATAATGGCTTCCAGCTCCATCCATGTTCCTACAAAGGGTGTGATCTCATCTTTTATGGTGGCATAATATGCCATGGTGTATATATACCACATTTTCTTTATCCAGTCTACCATTGATGGGCATTTATGTTGATTCCATGCCTTTGCTACTGTGAATAGCGCTGCAATAAACATATGCATGCATGTGTCTTTATGACAGAACAATTTATATTCCTTTGGGTGTATACCCAGTAATAGGATTGCCGGGTCGAATGGTAGTTCTTTTAGGTGTTTGAGGAATCACCACACTGTCTTCCACAATGGCTGAACTAATTTACACTCCCACCAACAGTGTAGAAATGTTGCCTTTTCTCCACAATATTGCCAGCATGTTATTTTTTAGCTTTTTAATAATAACCATTCTGAATGGTGTGAGATAGTATCTCATTGTACTTCTGATGTGCATTTCTTTAATGATCAGTGATGCTGAGCTTTTTTTCTACGTTTGTTGGCTGCACGTATGTCTTATTTTGAAAAGGAGGGTGAAAGCTGGGAGGAGGGAGAGGATCAGGAAAAACAACTAGTGGGTAGCAGGTTTACCATGTGGGTAACAGAATAATCCGTACAACAAACCCCCATGACACAAGTTTACCTACATAACAAACCTGCACGTGTACCACTGAACTTAAAAGTTAAATTTAAAAAATAAAAAATAAAAAAATCTTTCAATGGTCCCATGTCAGTTTGAGGAACAGCCAAAGTCCTTAAAATGACGTACAAGGTGCTCGTTCCATCATCCGTCTTCTCATGTTTATTTCTCTGCCACCATCTACTAATACTCTTCCCCCTTCTCATTCTACTCCAGCTATAATGGCTTCCTCGATGCTGTTCTAAGAATAAGTCCACATGATTCCGACTCAGGGCTTTTGCCCAAGCTGTGGTCTCTCTTTGGAATGCTCTTGTTTCAGCAGAGCACGATTCCTCCTCATTTCCTTCAAGTCTGTCCCCAAATGCCTTCTACCTGGTGTGTAATTGTCATGTGTGGCAGTTTTAAACATAGTCCAAAAACAGGTTGATATTCTTCTCATCAAAAAATAGGTCTATGTCTCCCTTCCCTAAATCTGGACGTGCTTGTGACTGCTACAATCAATAGAGTATGACAAATAATTCTACCTGACCTTTAAAGTGAGATAAAAAGAGACCAGGCATTTTCCACCTGGTTCCCTTGGAGTGTTTGATCTGCGGAAAGCCAGCAGCCATATAAGAAGTTTACCCTGTGCAGGCCGGGCGCGGTGGCTCAGGCCTGTAATCCCAGCACTTTGGGAGGCCAAGGCGGGTGGATCACGAGGTCAGGAGATCGAGACCATCCTGGCTAACACGGTGAA
This sequence comes from Homo sapiens, assembly GCF_000001405.40. Taxonomy (NCBI): domain Eukaryota; kingdom Metazoa; phylum Chordata; class Mammalia; order Primates; family Hominidae; genus Homo; species Homo sapiens. The sequence continues at coordinate 700,399 of NT_187660.1, read as the reverse complement.
ACCCCGTCTCTACTAAAAATACAAAAAATTAGCCGGGCCTGGTGGTGGGCGCCTGTAGTCCCAGCTACTCGGGAGGCTGAGGCAGGAGAATGGCGTGAACCCGGGAGGCGGAGTTTGCAGTTAGCCGAGATCGGGTCACACCACTCCAGCCTGGGGGACAGTGAGACTCCGTCTCAAAAAAAAAAGAAAAAAAAAAAAGTTTACCCTGTGCAGGCACTATAACTAAGAGTCCTTCCCATCTGAGCCTTGCCTTCCAGACAACTCCATCAATTTATAAGACAGAAAAAAAGCACCTTGCACCTTCCAGACTGACTTGTTTGCCAGCCGACTAGCACTGAGTCACCCTAGTTAATGATGTGAGAGAGGAAGAATCACTCAGATGAATCCTGCTGGAATTTCTCACCTATAGGATCCATGAGATATAATGAAGTGGTCGTTGTTTTACCTTATTAAATTTAGGGTAGTTTCTTTTTTCTTTTTCTTTTTTTAAATTTTTTTTTTTTTGAGACGGAGTCTCCCTCTGTCGCCCAGGCTGGACTGCAGTGGCGCGATCTCGGCTCACAGCAAGCTCCGCCTCCCGGGTTCACGCCATTCTCCTGCCTCAGCCTCCCGAGTAGCTGGGACTTAAGGCGCCCACCACCACCAGGCCAGGCTAACTTTTGTATTTTTAGTAGAGACAGAGTTTCACCGTATTAGGCAGGATGGTCTCGATCTCCTGAACTCATGATCCGCCCGTCTCAGCCTCCCAAACTGCTGGGATTACAGGCGTGAGCCACGGCGCCCAGGCCATTTGGGGAAGTTTCTTAAGCAGCAATAGTAACTGTAACACTGACTCACTTCTACTGCCACCAATCACTATCCACTTTTCCTGATTTACTTCTTCCTATGTACCGTCTTTTAAAAAACAAATAATTAGGCCGGGCTAAGTGGCTCACGCCTGTAATCCCAGCACTTTGGGAGGCTGAGGCGGGCGGATCACGAGGTCAGGAAATCGAGACCATCCTGGCTAACACGGTGAAACTCTGTCTCCACTAAAAATACAAAAAAGTAGCTGGGCGTGGTGGTGGGTGCCTGCAGTCCCAGCTACTCGGGAGGCTGAGGCAGGAGAATGGCGTGAACCCAGGAGGCGGAGCTTGCAGTGAGCCCAGATGGCGCCACTGCACTCCAGCCTGGGCGACAGAGCGAGACTCCGTCTCAAAAAAAAATAAAAATAAAAAATAAATAAAAAAAGATTTTTAATATATATATACGAGAATATGTGAAACAGTATTTTTTCAAGTTTCCATTGAAAATTTTAAAAATAGATTATATAAAACCTCAATATATTTTTTAAAATAAAAACCACACAGGTCACATTACCTACTCAAAATTTAATTACATTAGAAATTAAGACAAAGTTAAAACAGGACAACCAGCACCCCTAGTATCACCCTCCTCAGAGTATTTAAAAATAGATTCCTTTAAATTATCTCTTTTTTTACAAGAATAAAATCTAATCAATTATTAGAAAGATAATCTCAAACTGAACTCAAAAGAAGAAGCAAAGCATCTTCAAAGTCAATAAGGGTGCTATAAATGCTTCTTGGACTCTGAAACTCTCTGACTTCCCATTCTACTCTCAGTTGTAGAAAACTCCCTGATTGTGAAGTTTTGGTGTGATTAGGTTAGGTTTACCCAGATACTCCCCCCGTCTTAAGACTGACGGATTATTAGCCTTAGTGACATGTGCAAGACTCCTTTGCCGTGTGAGGTATCAACAGGGTAACATGAGGTAATGAAGGTCATAGGGGCTATCTTAGACTTCTTCCTGCTACAACCTCTATTCACTTATTTTGAATCCTCAGGGTTTAATGAGCTCCTACTATGTTCTAGGTCCTTGCAATAGGAGTACAGCAGTGAACAAGACAAACATGGTTCTGGTCCTTGGAGTACAAAGTAAATGCTGAAAATTTAATAAATGGGTCAGTAGATAGATAGATGTATAAAGGTCTAAATGCACATTCAGAAAATAGCAGGAGAAGACTGAGACTCAGTATTATTGAATATGCTTTAAAGGCCCATGTGTCGTCTTGAATGAAAATGTTGCTCAATTTCTGATGAGGAGACTAATTCATCAATATCTGTTATCATTGACTGATGACCTCACATAATAAAAGATCTTGACTTGAGTGTACGTTAATAATCAACATAATGGGTAATGTATCAAAAGAGTATATGGAACATAATAAAAAGATATAAATTGAAATCTTAAACAGTTTTGTGCTAAAATATGTTTAGAATTGCTTGAACCCAGGAGGCGGAGGTTGCAGTGAGCTGAGATTATGCCACTACACTCCAGCCTGGGCAACAAGATCCAACCTCCGTCTCAAACAAACAAACAAACAAACAAACAGAAACAACCCAAACAAACACAAAAAGTTACTATAATTGTATCTCTTTTGACTATAGCCTGGAAGAAATCACTTTCTCCCCAACTTAAGGAAGGGGAGACTTATCTCTAGCCAAGCTTTGAGTATAAACATATAAAAAGTAATTTTCATTTTCTTGAAACTGACTGCATGAAAAGGCATATGGTGTTCCCAAAAAATGTCTGATGAGTGAGAATATTAAAATGACTAAACTGATGGGACATATTTAATTTAATATTTAAACTTGATAAAAACTAGTTAAGCATTTAACTCAAGAATTTCAAAATGGTACAGCAAAGCATACAAGCAAAATTAAAAGGAATGCTAATTACATATTAAGTTAGAAGGCAATAAATTATAAACAAAAACAGTAACAATTTATAAACATACACAAGTTCATTCTTTAACAAATAACCCATGATACAGAAAAATATAGCAAATGTGATAAAACAAAAACTGAGAAAACATAAAATTTAAAGTGAAAAAAAAACAAAACATGCAGAAATTGTTTTAAAGACAAAAAATACTATCTTAGAAAATTAAATACGTGTTTCACTAAAATAAACATGTACTGCTTAAATGAATCTTAATTTAATTTTAAAAACAGTAAATAGGTTGCAGGCATCAATTTTTGCAAGAAATGTAAAACATTATTTTAAAAATTTTTATTAAAGTCCCTATAACCAGTGTTTTTAATAAGCATCTGTTTAAAACATCTTGTAAAATGGACCCCAAACTAGGAAATATGGATAAAGTTATAAAAAGTGGCTTCCTTTCAGTTCATTTTACAAAGCAAATATAACTATTACTAACTCTTGATGAAGTGAATACAAAAAGAATAAAATTACTAAACAGTATCCCTTATAAACATAGTTAAAATATTCTTAACTGAAAGAAAAAGGAACTGAATTCTACACTTACTAAGAAATCACCCACCCCAGTGATTTGGCATACAAAGATTTAATACTAGAAAATATATATTAATATAATGCAACACAACAATAAAGCTATTTACTTTATATTGTACATTTACTGCTACAGACTAAATGTTTACATCCCTCTCAAATTCATATGTTGAAATGCTAACCGCCAATGTGAGGGTTTTTGAAGGTGGGGCTTTTGGGAACTAATTAAGTCATGAGAGAGCAGCCCTCATTAATGGGTTTAGCACCCTTCTAAAGCAGCCCCCTGAACTCCCTTGCTCCTTCCCCAACTGAGGTTATAGAGAAAGGGCAGCCTTCTTTGAACTAGAACAAAAGTTTTTCCCAGACACCAGATTGGCTAGTACCTTGGTCTTAGATTTCCCAGACCCCAGAACTGTGAGAAATTCCTTTCTGTTGTTTATAAGCCACCAAGTCTATGGTATTCTGGTACAGCAGCCCATTTTTGATATTTATTTAATGATATTTAACATGCATGACTGATGAAATTTAACAAAGTAGTTATAGATATGTCCTTACCATGATTAAAAATAACTCTTAAATTGATGCATACTTTTATTATCTAGTTCTAGCCAAAGCCATAAGATGAAAGCACAAATAAGAAACCACCTATATGGCACATGTATACCTATATAACAAACCTGCATGTTCCTTGCATGTATCCCAGAACTGAAAATCATATTTTAAAAAAATTTATTTATATAGAAAAAAAGAGAGCAAATGATAATATTTTTCAAAAACTGATAATTTAATTATGGCAAGTTCTGTGTGATATGTGCCTGATGTGTGTGATATGTGTCTGATGTGATATGTGTGAGATGAAAAACACTAAGGGAGTATGTGATTTTGAGCATTCACGTGCCCATAAATCCTTGTTAGAATTAAAATATCACATTAAACCTCTCTCTTTCTTTTAATGTCCATGGTTTCTTTATATGTTTTAGTAAGTGACACAGAGGAAAATACTGAGCGGACACCGTTTCTAAATTGGTAAACTGCCCTGAACTGCCACTTTACTCTTTTCTACAGCAAGTGTGGAAGATTAGAGTTCAGGCAAACATGTCATGTAAGTGGTGAAGATTCCCTTTTTCCACTGGGACAGCAGTAGAACTGAAGGGAAATCAGACAACAGCTACCTCAGCAGGAGAGCCTCAATGATGACACTTTTGCCTCAACAGTGGAAGCTGGTAGTTTCCAAAAATAGAGCTAAAAAGTGAATCAAGTTTTAAAGCACATTGAAAGTCACACGTAAAATTCATTATTACAGAAAAGCTATAAACCAATCACAGTAAATGAGTGAATTTAGAAATTAAATTTTAATATGAAAGGTTCATGTTGTCAAAACTGACTATGTTAGTCCATCTCAATGCTATAAAGGAATACCTGAGACTGGGTAATTTATAAAGAAAAGAGGAGTATTTGGGCTGATGGTTTGCAGGCTGTACAAACAGGCCACCAGTATCTGCTCAGCTTCTGCTGAGGCCCGGGAAGCTGACAATCATGGCTTAAGGCAAAGGGGGAGCTGGCATATTACATGGGGAGAGAGGGAGCAAGGGAGATGCCAGGCTCTTTTAAACAACAAGATCTCTCGTGAATTCATAGAGCAAGAACTCACTCATTACCAGGAGGACAGCACAAAACCATTCATGGGGATCCACCCTTGGGAAACAAACACCTATTACTAGGCCCACCTCCAACACTGGAGGTCGCATTTCAACATGAGATTTGGAGGGGACAAAACATCCAAACCGTATCACTAACGGAAAATTATTGTTTAAATTTCTGTATTCAGTCCCTTGGCCTTTTTGAGAAATGCCATTCATTTCAGCCATCAAGCAAATTATTATTTGAGACATTTATACCTCTTCATCCTTTAAAAGTTTCAGAAGCATGAATTTAAAAAGTATTCATTGTAAATTTGAGGCTAGTCAAATTGATGTGGCATCTAAGTAGCACGGTGATGGGATGAGGAGACAAAGTCACGAGGGAAGGTAGGAAGAAGCAGAGAGAAAAAGAGAAATAGGAAGAGAGAAAAAGAAATGAGGAGAGAGTATAAGAAAAATAAAGAAGAAAGAGGAAAAGAAAAATGGTTTAAATGAGAGGCAAATGTCATCTGATGTTTTACCATGGGGCCATAGGGTATTTGAAGATTCAGAAAATTCGTAAGTTATTAAAAAATGTGACTCTAGGGTAGTGAGGTTATAACTTGTAAGAAAACAAGAAGTGATTCCTTTTAAGAGAGCCTTCTTGGCCGGGAGCTGTGGCTCACGCCTGTAATCCCAGCACTTTGGGAGGCCGAGGCGGGTGGATCACGAGGTCAGGAGATCGAGACCATCCTGGCTAACACGGTGAAACCCCGTCTCTACTAAAAATACAAAAAAATAGCTGGGCCTGGTGGTGGGCGCCTGTAGTCCCAGCTACTCGGGAGGCTGAGGCAGGAGAATGGCGTGAACCCGGGAGGCGGAGCTTGCAGTTAGCCGAGATCGGGCCACACCACTCCAGCCTGGGGGACAGTGAGACTCCGTCTCAAAAAAAAAAGAAAAAAAAAAAGTTTACCCTGTGCAGGCACTATAACTAAGAGTCCTTCCCATCTGAGCCTTGCCTTCCAGACAACTCCACCAATTTATAAGACAGAAAAAAAGCACCTTGCACCTTCCAGACTGACTTGTTTGCCAGCCGACTAGCACTGAGTCACCCTAGTTAATGATGTGAGAGAGGAAGAATCACTCAGATGAATCCTGCTGGAATTTCTCACCTATAGGATCCATGAGATATAATGAAGTGGTCGTTGTTTTACCTTATTAAATTTAGGGTAGTTTCTTTTTTCTTTTTCTTTTTTTAAATTTTTTTTTTTTGAGACGGAGTCTCCCTCTGTGGCCCAAGCTGGACTGCAGTGGCGCGATCTCGGCTCACAGCAAGCTCCGCCTCCCGGGTTCACGCCATTCTCCTGCCTCAGCCTCCCGAGTAGCTGGGACTTAAGGCGCCCACCACCACCAGGCCAGGCTAACTTTTGTATTTTTAGTAGAGACAGAGTTTCACCGTATTAGGCAGGATGGTCTCGATCTCCTGAACTCATGATCCGCCCGTCTCAGCCTCCCAAACTGCTGGGATTACAGGCGTGAGCCACGGCGCCCAGGCCATTTGGGTTAGTTTCTTAAGCAGCAATAGTAACTGTAACACTGACTCACTTCTACTGCCACCAATCACTATCCACTTTTCCTGATTTACTTCTTCCTATGTACCGTCTTTTAAAAAACAAATAATTAGGCCGGGCTAAGTGGCTCACGCCTGTAATCCCAGCACTTTGGGAGGCTGAGGCGGGCGGATCACGAGGTCAGGAAATCGAGACCATCCTGGCTAACACGGTGAAACTCTGTCTCCACTAAAAATACAAAAAATTAGCTGGGCGTGGTGGTGGGTGCCTGCAGTCCCAGCTACTCGGGAGGCTGAGGCAGGAGAATGGCGTGAACCCAGGAGGCGGAGCTTGCAGTGAGCCCAGATGGCGCCACTGCACTCCAGCCTGGGCGACAGAGCGAGACTCCGTCTCAAAAAAAAATAAAAATAAAAAATAAATAAAAAAAGATTTTTAATATATATATACGAGAATATGTGAAACAGTATGTTTTCAAGTTTCCATTGAATATTTTAAAAATAGATTATATAAAACCTCAATATATTTTTTAAAATAAAAACCACACAGGTCACATTACCTACTCAAAATTTAATTACATTAGAAATTAAGACAAAGTTAAAACAGGACAACCAGCACCCCTAGTATCACCCTCCTCAGAGTATTTAAAAATAGATTCCTTTAAATTATCTCTTTTTTTACAAGAATAAAATCTAATCAATTATTAGAAAGATAATCTCAAACTGAACTCAAAAGAAGAAGCAAAGCATCTTCAAAGTCAATAAGGGTGCTATAAATGCTTCTTGGACTCTGAAACTCTCTGACTTCCCATTCTACTCTCAGTTGTAGAAAACTCCCTGATTGTGAAGTTTTGGTGTGATTAGGTTAGGTTTACCCAGATACTCCCCCCGTCTTAAGGCTGACGGATTATTAGCCTTAGTGACATGTGCAAGACTCCTTTGCCGTGTGAGGTATCAACAGGGTAACATGAGGAAATGAAGGTCATAGGGGCTATCTTAGACTTCTTCCTGCTACAACCTCTATTCACTTATTTTGAAACCTCAGAGTTTAATGAGCTCCTACTATGTTCTAGGTCCTTGCAATAGGAGTACAGCAGTGAACAAGACAAACATGGTTCTGGTCCTTGGAGTACAAAGTAAATGCTGAAAATTTAATAAATGGGTCAGTAGATAGATAGATGTATAAAGGTCTAAATGCACATTCAGAAAATAGCAGGAGAACACTGAGACTCAGTATTATTGAATATGCTTTAAAGGCCCATGTGTCGTCTTGAATGAAAATGTTGCTCAATTTCTGATGAGGAGACTAATTCATCAATATCTGTTATCATTGACTGATGACCTCACATAATAAAAGATCTTGACTTGAGTGTACGTTAATAATCAACATAATGGGTAATGTATCAAAAGAGTATATGGAAGATAATAAAAAGATATAAATTGAAATCTTAAATAGTTTTGTGCTAAAATATGTTTAGAATTGCTTGAACCCAGGAGGCGGAGGTTGCAGTGAGCTGAGATTATGCCACTACACTCCAGCCTGGGCAACAAGATCCAACCTCCGTCTCAAACAAACAAACAAACAAACAAACAGAAACAACCCAAACAAACACAAAAAGTTACTATAATTGTATCTCTTTTGATTATAGCCTGGAAGAAATCACTCTCTCCCCAACTTAAGGAAGGGGAGACTTATCTCTAGCCAAGCTTTGAGTATAAACATATAAAAAGTAATTTTCATTTTCTTGAAACTGACTGCATGAAAAGGCATATGGTGTTCCCAAAAAATGTCTGATGAGTGAGAATATTAAAATGACTAAACTGATGGGACATATTTAATTTAATATTTAAACTTGATAAAAAATAGTTAAGCATTTAACTCAAGAATTTCAAAATGGTACAGCAAAGCATACAAGCAAAATTAAAAGGAATGCTAATTACATATTAAGTTAGAAGGCAATAAATTATAAACAAAAACAGTAACAATTTATAAACATACACAAGTTCATTCTTTAACAAATAACCCATGATACAGAAAAATATAGCAAATGTGATAAAACAAAAACTGAGAAAACATAAAATTTAAAGTGAAAAAAAAACAAAACATGCAGAAATTGTTTTAAAGACAAAAAATACTATCTTAGAAAATTAAATACGTGTTTCACTAAAATAAACATGTACTGCTTAAATGAATCTTAATTTAATTTTAAAAACAGTAAATAGGTTGCAGGCATCAATTTTTGCAAGAAATGTAAAACATTATTTTAAAAATTTTTATTAAAGTCCCTATAACCGGTGTTTTTAATAAGCATCTGTTTAAAACATCTTGTAAAATGGACCCCAAACTAGGAAATATGGATAAAGTTATAAAAAGTGGCTTCCTTTCAGTTCATTTTACAAAGCAAATATAACTATTACTAACTCTTGATGAAGTGAATACAAAAAGAATAAAATTACTAAACAGTATCCCTTATAAACATAGTTAAAATATTCTTAACTGAAAGAAAAAGGAACTGAATTCTACACTTACTAAGAAATCACCCACCCCAGTGATTTGGCATACAAAGATTTAATACTAGAAAATATATATTAATATAATGCAACACAACAATAAAGCTATTTACTTTATATTGTACATTTACTGCTACAGACTAAATGTTTACATCCCTCTCAAATTCATATGTTGAAATGCTAACCGCCAATGTGAGGGTTTTTGAAGGTGGGGCTTTTGGGAACTAATTAAGTCATGAGAGAGCAGCCCTCATTAATGGGTTTAGCACCCTTCTAAAGCAGCCCCCTGAACTCCCTTGCTCCTTCCCCAACTGAGGTTATAGAGAAAGGGCAGCCTTCTTTGAACTAGAACAAAAGTTTTTCCCAGACACCAGATTGGCTAGTACCTTGGTCTTAGATTTCCCAGACCCCAGAACTGTGAGAAATTCCTTTCTGTTGTTTATAAGCCACCAAGTCTATGGTATTCTGGTACAGCAGCCCATTTTTGATATTTATTTAATGATATTTAACATGCATGACTGATGAAATTTAACAAAGTAGTTATAGATATGTCCTTACCATGATTAAAAATAACTCTTAAATTGATGCATACTTTTATTATCTAGTTCTAGCCAAAGCCATAAGATGAAAGCACAAATAAGAAACCACCTATATGGCACATGTATACCTATATAACAAACCTGCATGTTCCTTGCATGTATCCCAGAACTGAAAATCATATTTTAAAAAAATTTATTTATATAGAAAAAAAGAGAGCAAATGATAATATTTTTCAAAAACTGATAATTTAATTATGGCAAGTTCTGTGTGATATGTGCCTGATGTGTGTGATATGTGTCTGATGTGATATGTGTGAGATGAAAAACACTAAGGGAGTATGTGATTTTGAGCATTCACGTGCCCATAAATCCTTGTTAGAATTAAAATATCACATTAAACCTCTCTCTTTCTTTTAATGTCCATGGTTTCTTTATATGTTTTAGTAAGTGACACAGAGGAAAATACTGAGCGGACACCGTTTCTAAATTGGTAAACTGCCCTGAACTGCCACTTTACTCTTTTCTACAGCAAGTGTGGAAGATTAGAGTTCAGGCAAACATGTCATGTAAGTGGTGAAGATTCCCTTTTTCCACTGGGACAGCAGTAGAACTGAAGGGAAATCAGACAACAGCTACCTCAGCAGGAGAGCCTCAATGATGACACTTTTGCCTCAACAGTGGAAGCTGGTAGTTTCCAAAAATAGAGCTAAAAAGTGAATCAAGTTTTAAAGCACATTGAAAGTCACACGTAAAATTCATTATTACAGAAAAGCTATAAACCAATCACAGTAAATGAGTGAATTTAGAAATTAAATTTTAATATGAAAGGTTCATGTTGTCAAAACTGACTATGTTAGTCCATCTCAATGCTATAAAGGAATACCTGAGACTGGGTAATTTATAAAGAAAAGAGGAGTATTTGGGCTGATGGTTTGCAGGCTGTACAAACAGGCCACCAGTATCTGCTCAGCTTCTGCTGAGGCCCGGGAAGCTGACAATCATGGCTTAAGGCAAAGGGGGAGCTGGCATATTACATGGGGAGAGAGGGAGCAAGGGAGATGCCAGGCTCTTTTAAACAACAAGATCTCTCGTGAATTCATAGAGCAAGAACTCACTCATTACCAGGAGGACAGCACAAAACCATTCATGGGGATCCACCCTTGGGAAACAAACACCTATTACTAGGCCCACCTCCAACACTGGAGGTCGCATTTCAACATGAGATTTGGAGGGGACAAAACATCCAAACCGTATCACTAACGGAAAATTATTGTTTAAATTTCTGTATTCAGTCCCTTGGCCTTTTTGAGAAATGCCATTCATTTCAGCCATCAAGCAAATTATTATTTGAGACATTTATACCTCTTCATCCTTTAAAAGTTTCAGAAGCATGAATTTAAAAAGTATTCATTGTAAATTTGAGGCTAGTCAAATTGATGTGGCATCTAAGTAGCACGGTGATGGGATGAGGAGACAAAGTCACGAGGGAAGGTAGGAAGAAGCAGAGAGAAAAAGAGAAATAGGAAGAGAGAAAAAGAAATGAGGAGAGAGTATAAGAAAAATAAAGAAGAAAGAGGAAAAGAAAAATGGTTTAAATGAGAGGCAAATGTCATCTGATGTTTTACCATGGGGCCATAGGGTATTTGAAGATTCAGAAAATTCGTAAGTTATTAAAAAATGTGACTCTAGGGTAGTGAGGTTATAACTTGTAAGAAAACAAGAAGTGATTCCTTTTAAGAGAGCCTTCTTGGCCGGGAGCTGTGGCTCACGCCTGTAATCCCAGCACTTTGGGAGGCCGAGGCGGGTGGATCACGAGGTCAGGAGATCGAGACCATCCTGGCTAACACGGTGAAACCCCGTCTCTACTAAAAATACAAAAAAATAGCTGGGCCTGGTGGTGGGCGCCTGTAGTCCCAGCTACTCGGGAGGCTGAGGCAGGAGAATGGCGTGAACCCGGGAGGCGGAGCTTGCAGTTAGCCGAGATCGGGCCACACCACTCCAGCCTGGGGGACAGTGAGACTCCGTCTCAAAAAAAAAAGAAAAAAAAAAAGTTTACCCTGTGCAGGCACTATAACTAAGAGTCCTTCCCATCTGAGCCTTGCCTTCCAGACAACTCCACCAATTTATAAGACAGAAAAAAAGCACCTTGCACCTTCCAGACTGACTTGTTTGCCAGCCGACTAGCACTGAGTCACCCTAGTTAATGATGTGAGAGAGGAAGAATCACTCAGATGAATCCTGCTGGAATTTCTCACCTATAGGATCCATGAGATATAATGAAGTGGTCGTTGTTTTACCTTATTAAATTTAGGGTAGTTTCTTTTTTCTTTTTCTTTTTTTAAATTTTTTTTTTTTGAGACGGAGTCTCCCTCTGTGGCCCAAGCTGGACTGCAGTGGCGCGATCTCGGATCACAGCAAGCTCCGCCTCCCGGGTTCACGCCATTCTCCTGTCTCAGCCTCCCGAGTAGCTGGGACTTAAGGCACCCACCACCAACAGGCCAGGCTAACTTTTGTATTTTTAGTAGAGACAGAGCTTCACCGTATTAGGCAGGATGGTCTCGATCTCCTGAACTCATGATCCGCCCGTCTCACTCCCAAACTGCTTTGCTTACATGATAGCCACGGCGCCCAGGCCATTTGGGTTAGTTTCTTAAGCAGCAATAGTAACTGTAACACTGACTCACTTCTACTGCCACCAATCACTATCCACTTTTCCTGATTTACTTCTTCCTATGTACCGTCTTTTAAAAAACAAATAATTAGGCCGGGCTAAGTGGCTCACGCCTGTAATCCCAGCACTTTGGGAGGCTGAGGCGGGCGGATCACGAGGTCAGGAAATCGAGACCATCCTGGCTAACACGGTGAAACTCTGTCTCCACTAAAAATACAAAAAAGTAGCTGGGCGTGGTGGTGGGTGCCTGCAGTCCCAGCTATTCGGGAGGCTGAGGCAGGAGAATGGCGTGAACCCAGGAGGCGGAGCTTGCAGTGAGCCCAGATGGCGCCACTGCACTCCAGCCTGGGCGACAGAGCGAGACTCCGTCTCAAAAAAAAATAAAAATAAAAAATAAATAAAAAAAGATTTTTAATATATATATACGAGAATATGTGAAACAGTATGTTTTCAAGTTTCCATTGAATATTTTAAAAATAGATTATATAAAACCTCAATATATTTTTTAAAATAAAAACCACACAGGTCACATTACCTACTCAAAATTTAATTACATTAGAAATTAAGACAAAGTTAAAACAGGACAACCAGCACCCCTAGTATCACCCTCCTCAGAGTATTTAAAAATAGATTCCTTTAAATTATCTCTTTTTTTACAAGAATAAAATCTAATCAATTATTAGAAAGATAATCTCAAACTGAACTCAAAAGAAGAAGCAAAGCATCTTCAAAGTCAATAAGGGTGCTATAAATGCTTCTTGGACTCTGAAACTCTCTGACTTCCCATTCTACTCTCAGTTGTAGAAAACTCCCTGATTGTGAAGTTTTGGTGTGATTAGGTTAGGTTTACCCAGATACTCCCCCCGTCTTAAGGCTGACGGATTATTAGCCTTAGTGACATGTGCAAGACTCCTTTGCCGTGTGAGGTATCAACAGGGTAACATGAGGAAATGAAGGTCATAGGGGCTATCTTAGACTTCTTCCTGCTACAACCTCTATTCACTTATTTTGAAACCTCAGAGTTTAATGAGCTCCTACTATGTTCTAGGTCCTTGCAATAGGAGTACACCAGTGAACAAGACAAACATGGTTCTGGTCCTTGGAGTACAAAGTAAATGCTGAAAATTTAATAAATGGGTCAGTAGATAGATAGATGTATAAAGGTCTAAATGCACATTCAGAAAATAGCAGGAGAACACTGAGACTCAGTATTATTGAATATGCTTTAAAGGCCCATGTGTCGTCTTGAATGAAAATGTTGCTCAATTTCTGATGAGGAGACTAATTCATCAATATCTGTTATCATTGACTGATGACCTCACATAATAAAAGATCTTGACTTGAGTGTACGTTAATAATCAACATAATGGGTAATGTATCAAAAGAGTATATGGAAGATAATAAAAAGATATAAATTGAAATCTTAAATAGTTTTGTGCTAAAATATGTTTAGAATTGCTTGAACCCAGGAGGCGGAGGTTGCAGTGAGCTGAGATTATGCCACTACACTCCAGCCTGGGCAACAAGATCCAACCTCCGTCTCAAACAAACAAACAAACAAACAAACAGAAACAACCCAAACAAACACAAAAAGTTACTATAATTGTATCTCTTTTGATTATAGCCTGGAAGAAATCACTCTCTCCCCAACTTAAGGAAGGGGAGACTTATCTCTAGCCAAGCTTTGAGTATAAACATATAAAAAGTAATTTTCATTTTCTTGAAACTGACTGCATGAAAAGGCATATGGTGTTCCCAAAAAATGTCTGATGAGTGAGAATATTAAAATGACTAAACTGATGGGACATATTTAATTTAATATTTAAACTTGATAAAAAATAGTTAAGCATTTAACTCAAGAATTTCAAAATGGTACAGCAAAGCATACAAGCAAAATTAAAAGGAATGCTAATTACATATTAAGTTAGAAGGCAATAAATTATAAACAAAAACAGTAACAATTTATAAACATACACAAGTTCATTCTTTAACAAATAACCCATGATACAGAAAAATATAGCAAATGTGATAAAACAAAAACTGAGAAAACATAAAATTTAAAGTGAAAAAAAAACAAAACATGCAGAAATTGTTTTAAAGACAAAAAATACTATCTTAGAAAATTAAATACGTGTTTCACTAAAATAAACATGTACTGCTTAAATGAATCTTAATTTAATTTTAAAAACAGTAAATAGGTTGCAGGCATCAATTTTTGCAAGAAATGTAAAACATTATTTTAAAAATTTTTATTAAAGTCCCTATAACCGGTGTTTTTAATAAGCATCTGTTTAAAACATCTTGTAAAATGGACCCCAAACTAGGAAATATGGATAAAGTTATAAAAAGTGGCTTCCTTTCAGTTCATTTTACAAAGCAAATATAACTATTACTAACTCTTGATGAAGTGAATACAAAAAGAATAAAATTACTAAACAGTATCCCTTATAAACATAGTTAAAATATTCTTAACTGAAAGAAAAAGGAACTGAATTCTACACTTACTAAGAAATCACCCACCCCAGTGATTTGGCATACAAAGATTTAATACTAGAAAATATATATTAATATAATGCAACACAACAATAAAGCTATTTACTTTATATTGTACATTTACTGCTACAGACTAAATGTTTACATCCCTCTCAAATTCATATGTTGAAATGCTAACCGCCAATGTGAGGGTTTTTGAAGGTGGGGCTTTTGGGAACTAATTAAGTCATGAGAGAGCAGCCCTCATTAATGGGTTTAGCACCCTTCTAAAGCAGCCCCCTGAACTCCCTTGCTCCTTCCCCAACTGAGGTTATAGAGAAAGGGCAGCCTTCTTTGAACTAGAACAAAAGTTTTTCCCAGACACCAGATTGGCTAGTACCTTGGTCTTAGATTTCCCAGACCCCAGAACTGTGAGAAATTCCTTTCTGTTGTTTATAAGCCACCAAGTCTATGGTATTCTGGTACAGCAGCCCATTTTTGATATTTATTTAATGATATTTAACATGCATGACTGATGAAATTTAACAAAGTAGTTATAGATATGTCCTTACCATGATTAAAAATAACTCTTAAATTGATGCATACTTTTATTATCTAGTTCTAGCCAAAGCCATAAGATGAAAGCACAAATAAGAAACCACCTATATGGCACATGTATACCTATATAACAAACCTGCATGTTCCTTGCATGTATCCCAGAACTGAAAATCATATTTTAAAAAAATTTATTTATATAGAAAAAAAGAGAGCAAATGATAATATTTTTCAAAAACTGATAATTTAATTATGGCAAGTTCTGTGTGATATGTGCCTGATGTGTGTGATATGTGTCTGATGTGATATGTGTGAGATGAAAAACACTAAGGGAGTATGTGATTTTGAGCATTCACGTGCCCATAAATCCTTGTTAGAATTAAAATATCACATTAAACCTCTCTCTTTCTTTTAATGTCCATGGTTTCTTTATATGTTTTAGTAAGTGACACAGAGGAAAATACTGAGCGGACACCGTTTCTAAATTGGTAAACTGCCCTGAACTGCCACTTTACTCTTTTCTACAGCAAGTGTGGAAGATTAGAGTTCAGGCAAACATGTCATGTAAGTGGTGAAGATTCCCTTTTTCCACTGGGACAGCAGTAGAACTGAAGGGAAATCAGACAACAGCTACCTCAGCAGGAGAGCCTCAATGATGACACTTTTGCCTCAACAGTGGAAGCTGGTAGTTTCCAAAAATAGAGCTAAAAAGTGAATCAAGTTTTAAAGCACATTGAAAGTCACACGTAAAATTCATTATTACAGAAAAGCTATAAACCAATCACAGTAAATGAGTGAATTTAGAAATTAAATTTTAATATGAAAGGTTCATGTTGTCAAAACTGACTATGTTAGTCCATCTCAATGCTATAAAGGAATACCTGAGACTGGGTAATTTATAAAGAAAAGAGGAGTATTTGGGCTGATGGTTTGCAGGCTGTACAAACAGGCCACCAGTATCTGCTCAGCTTCTGCTGAGGCCCGGGAAGCTGACAATCATGGCTTAAGGCAAAGGGGGAGCTGGCATATTACATGGGGAGAGAGGGAGCAAGGGAGATGCCAGGCTCTTTTAAACAACAAGATCTCTCGTGAATTCATAGAGCAAGAACTCACTCATTACCAGGAGGACAGCACAAAACCATTCATGGGGATCCACCCTTGGGAAACAAACACCTATTACTAGGCCCACCTCCAACACTGGAGGTCGCATTTCAACATGAGATTTGGAGGGGACAAAACATCCAAACCGTATCACTAACGGAAAATTATTGTTTAAATTTCTGTATTCAGTCCCTTGGCCTTTTTGAGAAATGCCATTCATTTCAGCCATCAAGCAAATTATTATTTGAGACATTTATACCTCTTCATCCTTTAAAAGTTTCAGAAGCATGAATTTAAAAAGTATTCATTGTAAATTTGAGGCTAGTCAAATTGATGTGGCATCTAAGTAGCACGGTGATGGGATGAGGAGACAAAGTCACGAGGGAAGGTAGGAAGAAGCAGAGAGAAAAAGAGAAATAGGAAGAGAGAAAAAGAAATGAGGAGAGAGTATAAGAAAAATAAAGAAGAAAGAGGAAAAGAAAAATGGTTTAAATGAGAGGCAAATGTCATCTGATGTTTTACCATGGGGCCATAGGGTATTTGAAGATTCAGAAAATTCGTAAGTTATTAAAAAATGTGACTCTAGGGTAGTGAGGTTATAACTTGTAAGAAAACAAGAAGTGATTCCTTTTAAGAGAGCCTTCTTGGCCGGGAGCTGTGGCTCACGCCTGTAATCCCAGCACTTTGGGAGGCCGAGGCGGGTGGATCACGAGGTCAGGAGATCGAGACCATCCTGGCTAACACGGTGAAACCCCGTCTCTACTAAAAATACAAAAAAATAGCCGGGCCTGGTGGTGGGCGCCTGTAGTCCCAGCTACTCGGGAGGCTGAGGCAGGAGAATGGCGTGAACCCGGGAGGCGGAGCTTGCAGTTAGCCGAGATCGGGCCACACCACTCCAGCCTGGGGGACAGTGAGACTCCGTCTCAAAAAAAAAAGAAAAAAAAAAAGTTTACCCTGTGCAGGCACTATAACTAAGAGTCCTTCCCATCTGAGCCTTGCCTTCCAGACAACTCCACCAATTTATAAGACAGAAAAAAAGCACCTTGCACCTTCCAGACTGACTTGTTTGCCAGCCGACTAGCACTGAGTCACCCTAGTTAATGATGTGAGAGAGGAAGAATCACTCAGATGAATCCTGCTGGAATTTCTCACCTATAGGATCCATGAGATATAATGAAGTGGTCGTTGTTTTACCTTATTAAATTTAGGGTAGTTTCTTTTTTCTTTTTCTTTTTTTAAATTTTTTTTTTTTGAGACGGAGTCTCCCTCTGTGGCCCAAGCTGGACTGCAGTGGCGCGATCTCGGCTCACAGCAAGCTCCGCCTCCCGGGTTCACGCCATTCTCCTGCCTCAGCCTCCCGAGTAGCTGGGACTTAAGGCGCCCACCACCACCAGGCCAGGCTAACTTTTGTATTTTTAGTAGAGACAGAGTTTCACCGTATTAGGCAGGATGGTCTCGATCTCCTGAACTCATGATCCGCCCGTCTCAGCCTCCCAAACTGCTGGGATTACAGGCGTGAGCCACGGCGCCCAGGCCATTTGGGTTAGTTTCTTAAGCAGCAATAGTAACTGTAACACTGACTCACTTCTACTGCCACCAATCACTATCCACTTTTCCTGATTTACTTCTTCCTATGTACCGTCTTTTAAAAAACAAATAATTAGGCCGGGCTAAGTGGCTCACGCCTGTAATCCCAGCACTTTGGGAGGCTGAGGCGGGCGGATCACGAGGTCAGGAAATCGAGACCATCCTGGCTAACACGGTGAAACTCTGTCTCCACTAAAAATACAAAAAAGTAGCTGGGCGTGGTGGTGGGTGCCTGCAGTCCCAGCTATTCGGGAGGCTGAGGCAGGAGAATGGCGTGAACCCAGGAGGCGGAGCTTGCAGTGAGCCCAGATGGCGCCACTGCACTCCAGCCTGGGCGACAGAGCGAGACTCCGTCTCAAAAAAAAATAAAAATAAAAAATAAATAAAAAAAGATTTTTAATATATATATACGAGAATATGTGAAACAGTATGTTTTCAAGTTTCCATTGAATATTTTAAAAATAGATTATATAAAACCTCAATATATTTTTTAAAATAAAAACCACACAGGTCACATTACCTACTCAAAATTTAATTACATTAGAAATTAAGACAAAGTTAAAACAGGACAACCAGCACCCCTAGTATCACCCTCCTCAGAGTATTTAAAAATAGATTCCTTTAAATTATCTCTTTTTTTACAAGAATAAAATCTAATCAATTATTAGAAAGATAATCTCAAACTGAACTCAAAAGAAGAAGCAAAGCATCTTCAAAGTCAATAAGGGTGCTATAAATGCTTCTTGGACTCTGAAACTCTCTGACTTCCCATTCTACTCTCAGTTGTAGAAAACTCCCTGATTGTGAAGTTTTGGTGTGATTAGGTTAGGTTTACCCAGATACTCCCCCCGTCTTAAGGCTGACGGATTATTAGCCTTAGTGACATGTGCAAGACTCCTTTGCCGTGTGAGGTATCAACAGGGTAACATGAGGAAATGAAGGTCATAGGGGCTATCTTAGACTTCTTCCTGCTACAACCTCTATTCACTTATTTTGAAACCTCAGAGTTTAATGAGCTCCTACTATGTTCTAGGTCCTTGCAATAGGAGTACAGCAGTGAACAAGACAAACATGGTTCTGGTCCTTGGAGTACAAAGTAAATGCTGAAAATTTAATAAATGGGTCAGTAGATAGATAGATGTATAAAGGTCTAAATGCACATTCAGAAAATAGCAGGAGAACACTGAGACTCAGTATTATTGAATATGCTTTAAAGGCCCATGTGTCGTCTTGAATGAAAATGTTGCTCAATTTCTGATGAGGAGACTAATTCATCAATATCTGTTATCATTGACTGATGACCTCACATAATAAAAGATCTTGACTTGAGTGTACGTTAATAATCAACATAATGGGTAATGTATCAAAAGAGTATATGGAAGATAATAAAAAGATATAAATTGAAATCTTAAATAGTTTTGTGCTAAAATATGTTTAGAATTGCTTGAACCCAGGAGGCGGAGGTTGCAGTGAGCTGAGATTATGCCACTACACTCCAGCCTGGGCAACAAGATCCAACCTCCGTCTCAAACAAACAAACAAACAAACAAACAGAAACAACCCAAACAAACACAAAAAGTTACTATAATTGTATCTCTTTTGATTATAGCCTGGAAGAAATCACTCTCTCCCCAACTTAAGGAAGGGGAGACTTATCTCTAGCCAAGCTTTGAGTATAAACATATAAAAAGTAATTTTCATTTTCTTGAAACTGACTGCATGAAAAGGCATATGGTGTTCCCAAAAAATGTCTGATGAGTGAGAATATTAAAATGACTAAACTGATGGGACATATTTAATTTAATATTTAAACTTGATAAAAAATAGTTAAGCATTTAACTCAAGAATTTCAAAATGGTACAGCAAAGCATACAAGCAAAATTAAAAGGAATGCTAATTACATATTAAGTTAGAAGGCAATAAATTATAAACAAAAACAGTAACAATTTATAAACATACACAAGTTCATTCTTTAACAAATAACCCATGATACAGAAAAATATAGCAAATGTGATAAAACAAAAACTGAGAAAACATAAAATTTAAAGTGAAAAAAAAACAAAACATGCAGAAATTGTTTTAAAGACAAAAAATACTATCTTAGAAAATTAAATACGTGTTTCACTAAAATAAACATGTACTGCTTAAATGAATCTTAATTTAATTTTAAAAACAGTAAATAGGTTGCAGGCATCAATTTTTGCAAGAAATGTAAAACATTATTTTAAAAATTTTTATTAAAGTCCCTATAACCGGTGTTTTTAATAAGCATCTGTTTAAAACATCTTGTAAAATGGACCCCAAACTAGGAAATATGGATAAAGTTATAAAAAGTGGCTTCCTTTCAGTTCATTTTACAAAGCAAATATAACTATTACTAACTCTTGATGAAGTGAATACAAAAAGAATAAAATTACTAAACAGTATCCCTTATAAACATAGTTAAAATATTCTTAACTGAAAGAAAAAGGAACTGAATTCTACACTTACTAAGAAATCACCCACCCCAGTGATTTGGCATACAAAGATTTAATACTAGAAAATATATATTAATATAATGCAACACAACAATAAAGCTATTTACTTTATATTGTACATTTACTGCTACAGACTAAATGTTTACATCCCTCTCAAATTCATATGTTGAAATGCTAACCGCCAATGTGAGGGTTTTTGAAGGTGGGGCTTTTGGGAACTAATTAAGTCATGAGAGAGCAGCCCTCATTAATGGGTTTAGCACCCTTCTAAAGCAGCCCCCTGAACTCCCTTGCTCCTTCCCCAACTGAGGTTATAGAGAAAGGGCAGCCTTCTTTGAACTAGAACAAAAGTTTTTCCCAGACACCAGATTGGCTAGTACCTTGGTCTTAGATTTCCCAGACCCCAGAACTGTGAGAAATTCCTTTCTGTTGTTTATAAGCCACCAAGTCTATGGTATTCTGGTACAGCAGCCCATTTTTGATATTTATTTAATGATATTTAACATGCATGACTGATGAAATTTAACAAAGTAGTTATAGATATGTCCTTACCATGATTAAAAATAACTCTTAAATTGATGCATACTTTTATTATCTAGTTCTAGCCAAAGCCATAAGATGAAAGCACAAATAAGAAACCACCTATATGGCACATGTATACCTATATAACAAACCTGCATGTTCCTTGCATGTATCCCAGAACTGAAAATCATATTTTAAAAAAATTTATTTATATAGAAAAAAAGAGAGCAAATGATAATATTTTTCAAAAACTGATAATTTAATTATGGCAAGTTCTGTGTGATATGTGCCTGATGTGTGTGATATGTGTCTGATGTGATATGTGTGAGATGAAAAACACTAAGGGAGTATGTGATTTTGAGCATTCACGTGCCCATAAATCCTTGTTAGAATTAAAATATCACATTAAACCTCTCTCTTTCTTTTAATGTCCATGGTTTCTTTATATGTTTTAGTAAGTGACACAGAGGAAAATACTGAGCGGACACCGTTTCTAAATTGGTAAACTGCCCTGAACTGCCACTTTACTCTTTTCTACAGCAAGTGTGGAAGATTAGAGTTCAGGCAAACATGTCATGTAAGTGGTGAAGATTCCCTTTTTCCACTGGGACAGCAGTAGAACTGAAGGGAAATCAGACAACAGCTACCTCAGCAGGAGAGCCTCAATGATGACACTTTTGCCTCAACAGTGGAAGCTGGTAGTTTCCAAAAATAGAGCTAAAAAGTGAATCAAGTTTTAAAGCACATTGAAAGTCACACGTAAAATTCATTATTACAGAAAAGCTATAAACCAATCACAGTAAATGAGTGAATTTAGAAATTAAATTTTAATATGAAAGGTTCATGTTGTCAAAACTGACTATGTTAGTCCATCTCAATGCTATAAAGGAATACCTGAGACTGGGTAATTTATAAAGAAAAGAGGAGTATTTGGGCTGATGGTTTGCAGGCTGTACAAACAGGCCACCAGTATCTGCTCAGCTTCTGCTGAGGCCCGGGAAGCTGACAATCATGGCTTAAGGCAAAGGGGGAGCTGGCATATTACATGGGGAGAGAGGGAGCAAGGGAGATGCCAGGCTCTTTTAAACAACAAGATCTCTCGTGAATTCATAGAGCAAGAACTCACTCATTACCAGGAGGACAGCACAAAACCATTCATGGGGATCCACCCTTGGGAAACAAACACCTATTACTAGGCCCACCTCCAACACTGGAGGTCGCATTTCAACATGAGATTTGGAGGGGACAAAACATCCAAACCGTATCACTAACGGAAAATTATTGTTTAAATTTCTGTATTCAGTCCCTTGGCCTTTTTGAGAAATGCCATTCATTTCAGCCATCAAGCAAATTATTATTTGAGACATTTATACCTCTTCATCCTTTAAAAGTTTCAGAAGCATGAATTTAAAAAGTATTCATTGTAAATTTGAGGCTAGTCAAATTGATGTGGCATCTAAGTAGCACGGTGATGGGATGAGGAGACAAAGTCACGAGGGAAGGTAGGAAGAAGCAGAGAGAAAAAGAGAAATAGGAAGAGAGAAAAAGAAATGAGGAGAGAGTATAAGAAAAATAAAGAAGAAAGAGGAAAAGAAAAATGGTTTAAATGAGAGGCAAATGTCATCTGATGTTTTACCATGGGGCCATAGGGTATTTGAAGATTCAGAAAATTCGTAAGTTATTAAAAAATGTGACTCTAGGGTAGTGAGGTTATAACTTGTAAGAAAACAAGAAGTGATTCCTTTTAAGAGAGCCTTCTTGGCCGGGAGCTGTGGCTCACGCCTGTAATCCCAGCACTTTGGGAGGCCGAGGCGGGTGGATCACGAGGTCAGGAGATCGAGACCATCCTGGCTAACACGGTGAAACCCCGTCTCTACTAAAAATACAAAAAAATAGCCGGGCCTGGTGGTGGGCGCCTGTAGTCCCAGCTACTCGGGAGGCTGAGGCAGGAGAATGGCGTGAACCCGGGAGGCGGAGCTTGCAGTTAGCCGAGATCGGGCCACACCACTCCAGCCTGGGGGACAGTGAGACTCCGTCTCAAAAAAAAAAGAAAAAAAAAAAGTTTACCCTGTGCAGGCACTATAACTAAGAGTCCTTCCCATCTGAGCCTTGCCTTCCAGACAACTCCACCAATTTATAAGACAGAAAAAAAGCACCTTGCACCTTCCAGACTGACTTGTTTGCCAGCCGACTAGCACTGAGTCACCCTAGTTAATGATGTGAGAGAGGAAGAATCACTCAGATGAATCCTGCTGGAATTTCTCACCTATAGGATCCATGAGATATAATGAAGTGGTCGTTGTTTTACCTTATTAAATTTAGGGTAGTTTCTTTTTTCTTTTTCTTTTTTTAAATTTTTTTTTTTTGAGACGGAGTCTCCCTCTGTGGCCCAAGCTGGACTGCAGTGGCGCGATCTCGGCTCACAGCAAGCTCCGCCTCCCGGGTTCACGCCATTCTCCTGCCTCAGCCTCCCGAGTAGCTGGGACTTAAGGCGCCCACCACCACCAGGCCAGGCTAACTTTTGTATTTTTAGTAGAGACAGAGTTTCACCGTATTAGGCAGGATGGTCTCGATCTCCTGAACTCATGATCCGCCCGTCTCAGCCTCCCAAACTGCTGGGATTACAGGCGTGAGCCACGGCGCCCAGGCCATTTGGGTTAGTTTCTTAAGCAGCAATAGTAACTGTAACACTGACTCACTTCTACTGCCACCAATCACTATCCACTTTTCCTGATTTACTTCTTCCTATGTACCGTCTTTTAAAAAACAAATAATTAGGCCGGGCTAAGTGGCTCACGCCTGTAATCCCAGCACTTTGGGAGGCTGAGGCGGGCGGATCACGAGGTCAGGAAATCGAGACCATCCTGGCTAACACGGTGAAACTCTGTCTCCACTAAAAATACAAAAAAGTAGCTGGGCGTGGTGGTGGGTGCCTGCAGTCCCAGCTATTCGGGAGGCTGAGGCAGGAGAATGGCGTGAACCCAGGAGGCGGAGCTTGCAGTGAGCCCAGATGGCGCCACTGCACTCCAGCCTGGGCGACAGAGCGAGACTCCGTCTCAAAAAAAAATAAAAATAAAAAATAAATAAAAAAAGATTTTTAATATATATATACGAGAATATGTGAAACAGTATGTTTTCAAGTTTCCATTGAATATTTTAAAAATAGATTATATAAAACCTCAATATATTTTTTAAAATAAAAACCACACAGGTCACATTACCTACTCAAAATTTAATTACATTAGAAATTAAGACAAAGTTAAAACAGGACAACCAGCACCCCTAGTATCACCCTCCTCAGAGTATTTAAAAATAGATTCCTTTAAATTATCTCTTTTTTTACAAGAATAAAATCTAATCAATTATTAGAAAGATAATCTCAAACTGAACTCAAAAGAAGAAGCAAAGCATCTTCAAAGTCAATAAGGGTGCTATAAATGCTTCTTGGACTCTGAAACTCTCTGACTTCCCATTCTACTCTCAGTTGTAGAAAACTCCCTGATTGTGAAGTTTTGGTGTGATTAGGTTAGGTTTACCCAGATACTCCCCCCGTCTTAAGGCTGACGGATTATTAGCCTTAGTGACATGTGCAAGACTCCTTTGCCGTGTGAGGTATCAACAGGGTAACATGAGGAAATGAAGGTCATAGGGGCTATCTTAGACTTCTTCCTGCTACAACCTCTATTCACTTATTTTGAAACCTCAGAGTTTAATGAGCTCCTACTATGTTCTAGGTCCTTGCAATAGGAGTACACCAGTGAACAAGACAAACATGGTTCTGGTCCTTGGAGTACAAAGTAAATGCTGAAAATTTAATAAATGGGTCAGTAGATAGATAGATGTATAAAGGTCTAAATGCACATTCAGAAAATAGCAGGAGAACACTGAGACTCAGTATTATTGAATATGCTTTAAAGGCCCATGTGTCGTCTTGAATGAAAATGTTGCTCAATTTCTGATGAGGAGACTAATTCATCAATATCTGTTATCATTGACTGATGACCTCACATAATAAAAGATCTTGACTTGAGTGTACGTTAATAATCAACATAATGGGTAATGTATCAAAAGAGTATATGGAAGATAATAAAAAGATATAAATTGAAATCTTAAATAGTTTTGTGCTAAAATATGTTTAGAATTGCTTGAACCCAGGAGGCGGAGGTTGCAGTGAGCTGAGATTATGCCACTACACTCCAGCCTGGGCAACAAGATCCAACCTCCGTCTCAAACAAACAAACAAACAAACAAACAGAAACAACCCAAACAAACACAAAAAGTTACTATAATTGTATCTCTTTTGATTATAGCCTGGAAGAAATCACTCTCTCCCCAACTTAAGGAAGGGGAGACTTATCTCTAGCCAAGCTTTGAGTATAAACATATAAAAAGTAATTTTCATTTTCTTGAAACTGACTGCATGAAAAGGCATATGGTGTTCCCAAAAAATGTCTGATGAGTGAGAATATTAAAATGACTAAACTGATGGGACATATTTAATTTAATATTTAAACTTGATAAAAAATAGTTAAGCATTTAACTCAAGAATTTCAAAATGGTACAGCAAAGCATACAAGCAAAATTAAAAGGAATGCTAATTACATATTAAGTTAGAAGGCAATAAATTATAAACAAAAACAGTAACAATTTATAAACATACACAAGTTCATTCTTTAACAAATAACCCATGATACAGAAAAATATAGCAAATGTGATAAAACAAAAACTGAGAAAACATAAAATTTAAAGTGAAAAAAAAACAAAACATGCAGAAATTGTTTTAAAGACAAAAAATACTATCTTAGAAAATTAAATACGTGTTTCACTAAAATAAACATGTACTGCTTAAATGAATCTTAATTTAATTTTAAAAACAGTAAATAGGTTGCAGGCATCAATTTTTGCAAGAAATGTAAAACATTATTTTAAAAATTTTTATTAAAGTCCCTATAACCGGTGTTTTTAATAAGCATCTGTTTAAAACATCTTGTAAAATGGACCCCAAACTAGGAAATATGGATAAAGTTATAAAAAGTGGCTTCCTTTCAGTTCATTTTACAAAGCAAATATAACTATTACTAACTCTTGATGAAGTGAATACAAAAAGAATAAAATTACTAAACAGTATCCCTTATAAACATAGTTAAAATATTCTTAACTGAAAGAAAAAGGAACTGAATTCTACACTTACTAAGAAATCACCCACCCCAGTGATTTGGCATACAAAGATTTAATACTAGAAAATATATATTAATATAATGCAACACAACAATAAAGCTATTTACTTTATATTGTACATTTACTGCTACAGACTAAATGTTTACATCCCTCTCAAATTCATATGTTGAAATGCTAACCGCCAATGTGAGGGTTTTTGAAGGTGGGGCTTTTGGGAACTAATTAAGTCATGAGAGAGCAGCCCTCATTAATGGGTTTAGCACCCTTCTAAAGCAGCCCCCTGAACTCCCTTGCTCCTTCCCCAACTGAGGTTATAGAGAAAGGGCAGCCTTCTTTGAACTAGAACAAAAGTTTTTCCCAGACACCAGATTGGCTAGTACCTTGGTCTTAGATTTCCCAGACCCCAGAACTGTGAGAAATTCCTTTCTGTTGTTTATAAGCCACCAAGTCTATGGTATTCTGGTACAGCAGCCCATTTTTGATATTTATTTAATGATATTTAACATGCATGACTGATGAAATTTAACAAAGTAGTTATAGATATGTCCTTACCATGATTAAAAATAACTCTTAAATTGATGCATACTTTTATTATCTAGTTCTAGCCAAAGCCATAAGATGAAAGCACAAATAAGAAACCACCTATATGGCACATGTATACCTATATAACAAACCTGCATGTTCCTTGCATGTATCCCAGAACTGAAAATCATATTTTAAAAAAATTTATTTATATAGAAAAAAAGAGAGCAAATGATAATATTTTTCAAAAACTGATAATTTAATTATGGCAAGTTCTGTGTGATATGTGCCTGATGTGTGTGATATGTGTCTGATGTGATATGTGTGAGATGAAAAACACTAAGGGAGTATGTGATTTTGAGCATTCACGTGCCCATAAATCCTTGTTAGAATTAAAATATCACATTAAACCTCTCTCTTTCTTTTAATGTCCATGGTTTCTTTATATGTTTTAGTAAGTGACACAGAGGAAAATACTGAGCGGACACCGTTTCTAAATTGGTAAACTGCCCTGAACTGCCACTTTACTCTTTTCTACAGCAAGTGTGGAAGATTAGAGTTCAGGCAAACATGTCATGTAAGTGGTGAAGATTCCCTTTTTCCACTGGGACAGCAGTAGAACTGAAGGGAAATCAGACAACAGCTACCTCAGCAGGAGAGCCTCAATGATGACACTTTTGCCTCAACAGTGGAAGCTGGTAGTTTCCAAAAATAGAGCTAAAAAGTGAATCAAGTTTTAAAGCACATTGAAAGTCACACGTAAAATTCATTATTACAGAAAAGCTATAAACCAATCACAGTAAATGAGTGAATTTAGAAATTAAATTTTAATATGAAAGGTTCATGTTGTCAAAACTGACTATGTTAGTCCATCTCAATGCTATAAAGGAATACCTGAGACTGGGTAATTTATAAAGAAAAGAGGAGTATTTGGGCTGATGGTTTGCAGGCTGTACAAACAGGCCACCAGTATCTGCTCAGCTTCTGCTGAGGCCCGGGAAGCTGACAATCATGGCTTAAGGCAAAGGGGGAGCTGGCATATTACATGGGGAGAGAGGGAGCAAGGGAGATGCCAGGCTCTTTTAAACAACAAGATCTCTCGTGAATTCATAGAGCAAGAACTCACTCATTACCAGGAGGACAGCACAAAACCATTCATGGGGATCCACCCTTGGGAAACAAACACCTATTACTAGGCCCACCTCCAACACTGGAGGTCGCATTTCAACATGAGATTTGGAGGGGACAAAACATCCAAACCGTATCACTAACGGAAAATTATTGTTTAAATTTCTGTATTCAGTCCCTTGGCCTTTTTGAGAAATGCCATTCATTTCAGCCATCAAGCAAATTATTATTTGAGACATTTATACCTCTTCATCCTTTAAAAGTTTCAGAAGCATGAATTTAAAAAGTATTCATTGTAAATTTGAGGCTAGTCAAATTGATGTGGCATCTAAGTAGCACGGTGATGGGATGAGGAGACAAAGTCACGAGGGAAGGTAGGAAGAAGCAGAGAGAAAAAGAGAAATAGGAAGAGAGAAAAAGAAATGAGGAGAGAGTATAAGAAAAATAAAGAAGAAAGAGGAAAAGAAAAATGGTTTAAATGAGAGGCAAATGTCATCTGATGTTTTACCATGGGGCCATAGGGTATTTGAAGATTCAGAAAATTCGTAAGTTATTAAAAAATGTGACTCTAGGGTAGTGAGGTTATAACTTGTAAGAAAACAAGAAGTGATTCCTTTTAAGAGAGCCTTCTTGGCCGGGAGCTGTGGCTCACGCCTGTAATCCCAGCACTTTGGGAGGCCGAGGCGGGTGGATCACGAGGTCAGGAGATCGAGACCATCCTGGCTAACACGGTGAAACCCCGTCTCTACTAAAAATACAAAAAAATAGCTGGGCCTGGTGGTGGGCGCCTGTAGTCCCAGCTACTCGGGAGGCTGAGGCAGGAGAATGGCGTGAACCCGGGAGGCGGAGCTTGCAGTTAGCCGAGATCGGGCCACACCACTCCAGCCTGGGGGACAGTGAGACTCCGTCTCAAAAAAAAAAGAAAAAAAAAAAGTTTACCCTGTGCAGGCACTATAACTAAGAGTCCTTCCCATCTGAGCCTTGCCTTCCAGACAACTCCACCAATTTATAAGACAGAAAAAAAGCACCTTGCACCTTCCAGACTGACTTGTTTGCCAGCCGACTAGCACTGAGTCACCCTAGTTAATGATGTGAGAGAGGAAGAATCACTCAGATGAATCCTGCTGGAATTTCTCACCTATAGGATCCATGAGATATAATGAAGTGGTCGTTGTTTTACCTTATTAAATTTAGGGTAGTTTCTTTTTTCTTTTTCTTTTTTTAAATTTTTTTTTTTTGAGACGGAGTCTCCCTCTGTGGCCCAAGCTGGACTGCAGTGGCGCGATCTCGGCTCACAGCAAGCTCCGCCTCCCGGGTTCACGCCATTCTCCTGCCTCAGCCTCCCGAGTAGCTGGGACTTAAGGCGCCCACCACCACCAGGCCAGGCTAACTTTTGTATTTTTAGTAGAGACAGAGTTTCACCGTATTAGGCAGGATGGTCTCGATCTCCTGAACTCATGATCCGCCCGTCTCAGCCTCCCAAACTGCTGGGATTACAGGCGTGAGCCACGGCGCCCAGGCCATTTGGGTTAGTTTCTTAAGCAGCAATAGTAACTGTAACACTGACTCACTTCTACTGCCACCAATCACTATCCACTTTTCCTGATTTACTTCTTCCTATGTACCGTCTTTTAAAAAACAAATAATTAGGCCGGGCTAAGTGGCTCACGCCTGTAATCCCAGCACTTTGGGAGGCTGAGGCGGGCGGATCACGAGGTCAGGAAATCGAGACCATCCTGGCTAACACGGTGAAACTCTGTCTCCACTAAAAATACAAAAAATTAGCTGGGCGTGGTGGTGGGTGCCTGCAGTCCCAGCTACTCGGGAGGCTGAGGCAGGAGAATGGCGTGAACCCAGGAGGCGGAGCTTGCAGTGAGCCCAGATGGCGCCACTGCACTCCAGCCTGGGCGACAGAGCGAGACTCCGTCTCAAAAAAAAATAAAAATAAAAAATAAATAAAAAAAGATTTTTAATATATATATACGAGAATATGTGAAACAGTATGTTTTCAAGTTTCCATTGAATATTTTAAAAATAGATTATATAAAACCTCAATATATTTTTTAAAATAAAAACCACACAGGTCACATTACCTACTCAAAATTTAATTACATTAGAAATTAAGACAAAGTTAAAACAGGACAACCAGCACCCCTAGTATCACCCTCCTCAGAGTATTTAAAAATAGATTCCTTTAAATTATCTCTTTTTTTACAAGAATAAAATCTAATCAATTATTAGAAAGATAATCTCAAACTGAACTCAAAAGAAGAAGCAAAGCATCTTCAAAGTCAATAAGGGTGCTATAAATGCTTCTTGGACTCTGAAACTCTCTGACTTCCCATTCTACTCTCAGTTGTAGAAAACTCCCTGATTGTGAAGTTTTGGTGTGATTAGGTTAGGTTTACCCAGATACTCCCCCCGTCTTAAGGCTGACGGATTATTAGCCTTAGTGACATGTGCAAGACTCCTTTGCCGTGTGAGGTATCAACAGGGTAACATGAGGAAATGAAGGTCATAGGGGCTATCTTAGACTTCTTCCTGCTACAACCTCTATTCACTTATTTTGAAACCTCAGAGTTTAATGAGCTCCTACTATGTTCTAGGTCCTTGCAATAGGAGTACAGCAGTGAACAAGACAAACATGGTTCTGGTCCTTGGAGTACAAAGTAAATGCTGAAAATTTAATAAATGGGTCAGTAGATAGATAGATGTATAAAGGTCTAAATGCACATTCAGAAAATAGCAGGAGAACACTGAGACTCAGTATTATTGAATATGCTTTAAAGGCCCATGTGTCGTCTTGAATGAAAATGTTGCTCAATTTCTGATGAGGAGACTAATTCATCAATATCTGTTATCATTGACTGATGACCTCACATAATAAAAGATCTTGACTTGAGTGTACGTTAATAATCAACATAATGGGTAATGTATCAAAAGAGTATATGGAAGATAATAAAAAGATATAAATTGAAATCTTAAATAGTTTTGTGCTAAAATATGTTTAGAATTGCTTGAACCCAGGAGGCGGAGGTTGCAGTGAGCTGAGATTATGCCACTACACTCCAGCCTGGGCAACAAGATCCAACCTCCGTCTCAAACAAACAAACAAACAAACAAACAGAAACAACCCAAACAAACACAAAAAGTTACTATAATTGTATCTCTTTTGATTATAGCCTGGAAGAAATCACTCTCTCCCCAACTTAAGGAAGGGGAGACTTATCTCTAGCCAAGCTTTGAGTATAAACATATAAAAAGTAATTTTCATTTTCTTGAAACTGACTGCATGAAAAGGCATATGGTGTTCCCAAAAAATGTCTGATGAGTGAGAATATTAAAATGACTAAACTGATGGGACATATTTAATTTAATATTTAAACTTGATAAAAAATAGTTAAGCATTTAACTCAAGAATTTCAAAATGGTACAGCAAAGCATACAAGCAAAATTAAAAGGAATGCTAATTACATATTAAGTTAGAAGGCAATAAATTATAAACAAAAACAGTAACAATTTATAAACATACACAAGTTCATTCTTTAACAAATAACCCATGATACAGAAAAATATAGCAAATGTGATAAAACAAAAACTGAGAAAACATAAAATTTAAAGTGAAAAAAAAACAAAACATGCAGAAATTGTTTTAAAGACAAAAAATACTATCTTAGAAAATTAAATACGTGTTTCACTAAAATAAACATGTACTGCTTAAATGAATCTTAATTTAATTTTAAAAACAGTAAATAGGTTGCAGGCATCAATTTTTGCAAGAAATGTAAAACATTATTTTAAAAATTTTTATTAAAGTCCCTATAACCGGTGTTTTTAATAAGCATCTGTTTAAAACATCTTGTAAAATGGACCCCAAACTAGGAAATATGGATAAAGTTATAAAAAGTGGCTTCCTTTCAGTTCATTTTACAAAGCAAATATAACTATTACTAACTCTTGATGAAGTGAATACAAAAAGAATAAAATTACTAAACAGTATCCCTTATAAACATAGTTAAAATATTCTTAACTGAAAGAAAAAGGAACTGAATTCTACACTTACTAAGAAATCACCCACCCCAGTGATTTGGCATACAAAGATTTAATACTAGAAAATATATATTAATATAATGCAACACAACAATAAAGCTATTTACTTTATATTGTACATTTACTGCTACAGACTAAATGTTTACATCCCTCTCAAATTCATATGTTGAAATGCTAACCGCCAATGTGAGGGTTTTTGAAGGTGGGGCTTTTGGGAACTAATTAAGTCATGAGAGAGCAGCCCTCATTAATGGGTTTAGCACCCTTCTAAAGCAGCCCCCTGAACTCCCTTGCTCCTTCCCCAACTGAGGTTATAGAGAAAGGGCAGCCTTCTTTGAACTAGAACAAAAGTTTTTCCCAGACACCAGATTGGCTAGTACCTTGGTCTTAGATTTCCCAGACCCCAGAACTGTGAGAAATTCCTTTCTGTTGTTTATAAGCCACCAAGTCTATGGTATTCTGGTACAGCAGCCCATTTTTGATATTTATTTAATGATATTTAACATGCATGACTGATGAAATTTAACAAAGTAGTTATAGATATGTCCTTACCATGATTAAAAATAACTCTTAAATTGATGCATACTTTTATTATCTAGTTCTAGCCAAAGCCATAAGATGAAAGCACAAATAAGAAACCACCTATATGGCACATGTATACCTATATAACAAACCTGCATGTTCCTTGCATGTATCCCAGAACTGAAAATCATATTTTAAAAAAATTTATTTATATAGAAAAAAAGAGAGCAAATGATAATATTTTTCAAAAACTGATAATTTAATTATGGCAAGTTCTGTGTGATATGTGCCTGATGTGTGTGATATGTGTCTGATGTGATATGTGTGAGATGAAAAACACTAAGGGAGTATGTGATTTTGAGCATTCACGTGCCCATAAATCCTTGTTAGAATTAAAATATCACATTAAACCTCTCTCTTTCTTTTAATGTCCATGGTTTCTTTATATGTTTTAGTAAGTGACACAGAGGAAAATACTGAGCGGACACCGTTTCTAAATTGGTAAACTGCCCTGAACTGCCACTTTACTCTTTTCTACAGCAAGTGTGGAAGATTAGAGTTCAGGCAAACATGTCATGTAAGTGGTGAAGATTCCCTTTTTCCACTGGGACAGCAGTAGAACTGAAGGGAAATCAGACAACAGCTACCTCAGCAGGAGAGCCTCAATGATGACACTTTTGCCTCAACAGTGGAAGCTGGTAGTTTCCAAAAATAGAGCTAAAAAGTGAATCAAGTTTTAAAGCACATTGAAAGTCACACGTAAAATTCATTATTACAGAAAAGCTATAAACCAATCACAGTAAATGAGTGAATTTAGAAATTAAATTTTAATATGAAAGGTTCATGTTGTCAAAACTGACTATGTTAGTCCATCTCAATGCTATAAAGGAATACCTGAGACTGGGTAATTTATAAAGAAAAGAGGAGTATTTGGGCTGATGGTTTGCAGGCTGTACAAACAGGCCACCAGTATCTGCTCAGCTTCTGCTGAGGCCCGGGAAGCTGACAATCATGGCTTAAGGCAAAGGGGGAGCTGGCATATTACATGGGGAGAGAGGGAGCAAGGGAGATGCCAGGCTCTTTTAAACAACAAGATCTCTCGTGAATTCATAGAGCAAGAACTCACTCATTACCAGGAGGACAGCACAAAACCATTCATGGGGATCCACCCTTGGGAAACAAACACCTATTACTAGGCCCACCTCCAACACTGGAGGTCGCATTTCAACATGAGATTTGGAGGGGACAAAACATCCAAACCGTATCACTAACGGAAAATTATTGTTTAAATTTCTGTATTCAGTCCCTTGGCCTTTTTGAGAAATGCCATTCATTTCAGCCATCAAGCAAATTATTATTTGAGACATTTATACCTCTTCATCCTTTAAAAGTTTCAGAAGCATGAATTTAAAAAGTATTCATTGTAAATTTGAGGCTAGTCAAATTGATGTGGCATCTAAGTAGCACGGTGATGGGATGAGGAGACAAAGTCACGAGGGGAGGTAGGAAGAAGCAGAGAGAAAAAGAGAAATAGGAAGAGAGAAAAAGAAATGAGGAGAGAGTATAAGAAAAATAAAGAAGAAAGAGGAAAAGAAAAATGGTTTAAATGAGAGGCAAATGTCATCTGATGTTTTACCATGGGGCCATAGGGTATTTGAAGATTCAGAAAATTCGTAAGTTATTAAAAAATGTGACTCTAGGGTAGTGAGGTTATAACTTGTAAGAAAACAAGAAGTGATTCCTTTTAAGAGAGCCTTCTTGGCCGGGAGCTGTGGCTCACGCCTGTAATCCCAGCACTTTGGGAGGCCGAGGCGGGTGGATCACGAGGTCAGGAGATCGAGACCATCCTGGCTAACACGGTGAAACCCCGTCTCTACTAAAAATACAAAAAAATAGCTGGGCCTGGTGGTGGGCGCCTGTAGTCCCAGCTACTCGGGAGGCTGAGGCAGGAGAATGGCGTGAACCCGGGAGGCGGAGCTTGCAGTTAGCCGAGATCGGGCCACACCACTCCAGCCTGGGGGACAGTGAGACTCCGTCTCAAAAAAAAAAGAAAAAAAAAAAGTTTACCCTGTGCAGGCACTATAACTAAGAGTCCTTCCCATCTGAGCCTTGCCTTCCAGACAACTCCACCAATTTATAAGACAGAAAAAAAGCACCTTGCACCTTCCAGACTGACTTGTTTGCCAGCCGACTAGCACTGAGTCACCCTAGTTAATGATGTGAGAGAGGAAGAATCACTCAGATGAATCCTGCTGGAATTTCTCACCTATAGGATCCATGAGATATAATGAAGTGGTCGTTGTTTTACCTTATTAAATTTAGGGTAGTTTCTTTTTTCTTTTTCTTTTTTTAAATTTTTTTTTTTTGAGACGGAGTCTCCCTCTGTGGCCCAAGCTGGACTGCAGTGGCGCGATCTCGGCTCACAGCAAGCTCCGCCTCCCGGGTTCACGCCATTCTCCTGCCTCAGCCTCCCGAGTAGCTGGGACTTAAGGCGCCCACCACCACCAGGCCAGGCTAACTTTTGTATTTTTAGTAGAGACAGAGTTTCACCGTATTAGGCAGGATGGTCTCGATCTCCTGAACTCATGATCCGCCCGTCTCAGCCTCCCAAACTGCTGGGATTACAGGCGTGAGCCACGGCGCCCAGGCCATTTGGGTTAGTTTCTTAAGCAGCAATAGTAACTGTAACACTGACTCACTTCTACTGCCACCAATCACTATCCACTTTTCCTGATTTACTTCTTCCTATGTACCGTCTTTTAAAAAACAAATAATTAGGCCGGGCTAAGTGGCTCACGCCTGTAATCCCAGCACTTTGGGAGGCTGAGGCGGGCGGATCACGAGGTCAGGAAATCGAGACCATCCTGGCTAACACGGTGAAACTCTGTCTCCACTAAAAATACAAAAAAGTAGCTGGGCGTGGTGGTGGGTGCCTGCAGTCCCAGCTATTCGGGAGGCTGAGGCAGGAGAATGGCGTGAACCCAGGAGGCGGAGCTTGCAGTGAGCCCAGATGGCGCCACTGCACTCCAGCCTGGGCGACAGAGCGAGACTCCGTCTCAAAAAAAAATAAAAATAAAAAATAAATAAAAAAAGATTTTTAATATATATATACGAGAATATGTGAAACAGTATGTTTTCAAGTTTCCATTGAATATTTTAAAAATAGATTATATAAAACCTCAATATATTTTTTAAAATAAAAACCACACAGGTCACATTACCTACTCAAAATTTAATTACATTAGAAATTAAGACAAAGTTAAAACAGGACAACCAGCACCCCTAGTATCACCCTCCTCAGAGTATTTAAAAATAGATTCCTTTAAATTATCTCTTTTTTTACAAGAATAAAATCTAATCAATTATTAGAAAGATAATCTCAAACTGAACTCAAAAGAAGAAGCAAAGCATCTTCAAAGTCAATAAGGGTGCTATAAATGCTTCTTGGACTCTGAAACTCTCTGACTTCCCATTCTACTCTCAGTTGTAGAAAACTCCCTGATTGTGAAGTTTTGGTGTGATTAGGTTAGGTTTACCCAGATACTCCCCCCGTCTTAAGGCTGACGGATTATTAGCCTTAGTGACATGTGCAAGACTCCTTTGCCGTGTGAGGTATCAACAGGGTAACATGAGGAAATGAAGGTCATAGGGGCTATCTTAGACTTCTTCCTGCTACAACCTCTATTCACTTATTTTGAAACCTCAGAGTTTAATGAGCTCCTACTATGTTCTAGGTCCTTGCAATAGGAGTACACCAGTGAACAAGACAAACATGGTTCTGGTCCTTGGAGTACAAAGTAAATGCTGAAAATTTAATAAATGGGTCAGTAGATAGATAGATGTATAAAGGTCTAAATGCACATTCAGAAAATAGCAGGAGAACACTGAGACTCAGTATTATTGAATATGCTTTAAAGGCCCATGTGTCGTCTTGAATGAAAATGTTGCTCAATTTCTGATGAGGAGACTAATTCATCAATATCTGTTATCATTGACTGATGACCTCACATAATAAAAGATCTTGACTTGAGTGTACGTTAATAATCAACATAATGGGTAATGTATCAAAAGAGTATATGGAAGATAATAAAAAGATATAAATTGAAATCTTAAATAGTTTTGTGCTAAAATATGTTTAGAATTGCTTGAACCCAGGAGGCGGAGGTTGCAGTGAGCTGAGATTATGCCACTACACTCCAGCCTGGGCAACAAGATCCAACCTCCGTCTCAAACAAACAAACAAACAAACAAACAGAAACAACCCAAACAAACACAAAAAGTTACTATAATTGTATCTCTTTTGATTATAGCCTGGAAGAAATCACTCTCTCCCCAACTTAAGGAAGGGGAGACTTATCTCTAGCCAAGCTTTGAGTATAAACATATAAAAAGTAATTTTCATTTTCTTGAAACTGACTGCATGAAAAGGCATATGGTGTTCCCAAAAAATGTCTGATGAGTGAGAATATTAAAATGACTAAACTGATGGGACATATTTAATTTAATATTTAAACTTGATAAAAAATAGTTAAGCATTTAACTCAAGAATTTCAAAATGGTACAGCAAAGCATACAAGCAAAATTAAAAGGAATGCTAATTACATATTAAGTTAGAAGGCAATAAATTATAAACAAAAACAGTAACAATTTATAAACATACACAAGTTCATTCTTTAACAAATAACCCATGATACAGAAAAATATAGCAAATGTGATAAAACAAAAACTGAGAAAACATAAAATTTAAAGTGAAAAAAAAACAAAACATGCAGAAATTGTTTTAAAGACAAAAAATACTATCTTAGAAAATTAAATACGTGTTTCACTAAAATAAGCATGTACTGCTTAAATGAATCTTAATTTAATTTTAAAAACAGTAAATAGGTTGCAGGCATCAATTTTTGCAAGAAATGTAAAACATTATTTTAAAAATTTTTATTAAAGTCCCTATAACCGGTGTTTTTAATAAGCATCTGTTTAAAACATCTTGTAAAATGGACCCCAAACTAGGAAATATGGATAAAGTTATAAAAAGTGGCTTCCTTTCAGTTCATTTTACAAAGCAAATATAACTATTACTAACTCTTGATGAAGTGAATACAAAAAGAATAAAATTACTAAACAGTATCCCTTATAAACATAGTTAAAATATTCTTAACTGAAAGAAAAAGGAACTGAATTCTACACTTACTAAGAAATCACCCACCCCAGTGATTTGGCATACAAAGATTTAATACTAGAAAATATATATTAATATAATGCAACACAACAATAAAGCTATTTACTTTATATTGTACATTTACTGCTACAGACTAAATGTTTACATCCCTCTCAAATTCATATGTTGAAATGCTAACCGCCAATGTGAGGGTTTTTGAAGGTGGGGCTTTTGGGAACTAATTAAGTCATGAGAGAGCAGCCCTCATTAATGGGTTTAGCACCCTTCTAAAGCAGCCCCCTGAACTCCCTTGCTCCTTCCCCAACTGAGGTTATAGAGAAAGGGCAGCCTTCTTTGAACTAGAACAAAAGTTTTTCCCAGACACCAGATTGGCTAGTACCTTGGTCTTAGATTTCCCAGACCCCAGAACTGTGAGAAATTCCTTTCTGTTGTTTATAAGCCACCAAGTCTATGGTATTCTGGTACAGCAGCCCATTTTTGATATTTATTTAATGATATTTAACATGCATGACTGATGAAATTTAACAAAGTAGTTATAGATATGTCCTTACCATGATTAAAAATAACTCTTAAATTGATGCATACTTTTATTATCTAGTTCTAGCCAAAGCCATAAGATGAAAACACAAATAAGAAACCACCTATATGGCACATGTATACCTATATAACAAACCTGCATGTTCCGTGCATGTATCCCAGAACTGAAAATCATATTTTAAAAAAATTTATTTATATAGAAAAAAAGAGAGCAAATGATAATATTTTTCAAAAACTGATAATTTAATTACGGTAAGTTCTGTGTGATATGTGCCTGAAATGTGTGATATGTATCTGATGTGATATGTGTGAGATGAAAAACACTAAGGGGGTATGTGATTTTGAGCATTCATGTGCCCATAAATCCTTGTTAGAATTAAAATATCACATTAAACCTCTCTCTTTCTTTTAATGTCCATGGTTTCTTTTATATGTTTTAGTAAGTGACACAGAGGAAAATACTGAGCGGACACCATTTCTAAATTGGTAAACTGCCCTGAACTGCCACTTTACTCTTTTCTACAGCAAGTGTGGAAGATTAGAGTTCAGGCAAACATGTCATGTAAGTGGTGAAGATTCCCTTTTTCCACTGGGACAGCAGTAGAACTGAAGGGAAATCAGACAACAGCTACCTCAGCAGGAGAGCCTCAATGATGACACTTTTGCCTCAACAGTGGAAGCTGGTAGTTTCCAAAAATAGAGCTAAAAAGTGAATCAAGTTTTAAAGCACATTGAAAGTCACACGTAAGATTCATTATTACAGAAAAGCTATAAACCAATCACAGTAAATGAGTGAATTTAGAAATTAAATTTTAATATGAAAGGTTCATGTTGTCAAAACTGACTATGTTAGTCCATCTCAATGCTATAAAGGAATACCTGAGACTGGGTAATTTATAAAGAAAAGAGGAGTATTTGGCTGATGGTCTGCAGGCTGTACAAACAGGCCACCAGTATCTGCTCAGCTTCTGCTGAGGCCCGGGAAGCTGACAATCATGGCTTAAGGCAAAGGGGGAGCTGGCATATTACATGGGGAGAGAGGGAGCAAGGGAGATGCCAGGCTCTTTTAAACAACAAGATCTCTCGTGAATTCATAGAGCAAGAACTCACTCATTACCAGGAGGACAGCACAAAACCATTCATGGGGATCCACCCTTGGGAAACAAACACCTATTACTAGGCCCACCTCCAACACTGGAGGTCGCATTTCAACATGAGATTTGGAGGGGACAAAACATCCAAACCGTATCACTAACGGAAAGTTATTGTTTAAATTTCTGTATTCAGTCCCTTGGCCTTTTTGAGAAATGCCATTCATTTCAGCCATCAAACAAATTATTATGTGAGACATTTATACCTCTTCATCCTTTAAAAGTTTCAGAAGCATGAATTTAAAAAGTATTCATTGTAAATTTGAGGCTAGTCAAATTGATGTGGCATCTAAGTAGCACGGTGATGGGATGAGGAGACAAAGTCACGAGGGGAGGTAGGAAGAAGCAGAGAGAAAAAGAGAAATAGGAAGAGAGAAAAAGAAATGAGGAGAGAGTATAAGAAAAATAAAGAAGAAAGAGGAAAAGAAAAATGGTTTAAATGAGAGGCAAATGTCATCTGATGTTTTACCATGGGGCCATAGGGTATTTGAAGTTTCAGAAAATTCATAAGTTATTAAAAAATGTGACTCTAGGGTAGTGAGGTTATAACTTGTAAGAAAACAAGAAGTGATTCCTTTTAAGAGAACCTTCTTGGCCGGGTGCTGTGGCTCACGCCTGTAATCCCAGCACTTTGGGAGGCCGAGGCGGGTGGATCACGAGGTCAGGAGATCGAGACCATCCTGGTTAACACAGTGAAACCCCGTCTCTACTAAAGATACAAAAAATTAGCTGGGCGCCGCAGCGGGCACTTGTAGTCCCAGCTGCACGGGAGGCTGAGGCAGGAGAATGGCGTGAACCCGGGAGGCGGAGTTTGCACTGAGCAGAAATCGCGCCGCTGCACTCCAGCCTGGGGAACAATGGGGAACAAAGCAAGACTCCGTCTCAAAAAAAAAAAAAAAAAAGAAAAGAAAAAGAGGAACTTCTTAAAGATGCGGTTGTCTTTCTTATGCTTCCTTTAGCTCTTTTTTACCTCTCCACTGATACAGATTTTTATACCAAATAGCTGGCATTAGCTAAACCAATGTCTAGGAGAACTGATCCTCACGAAGGAAAATCATAATTTATTATTTTTTTAATTCATGGCATTTATTTGTACAAGAAATATATTTCTATTTAAGAGAAAGTAGAAAACAAAGGAGAACAGAAACAACTTTTTTTTTTTTTTTTTTTTTTTTGAGACAGAATCTCGCTCTGTCGCCCAGGCTGGAGTGCAGTGGCACGATCTCAGCTCACTGCAAGCTCTGCCTCCCGGGTTCACGCCGTTCTCCTGCCTCAGCCTCCCGAGTAGCTGGGACTACAGGCGCCCGCCACCACGTCCGGCTAATTTTTTTGTATTTTTAGTAGAGACGTGGTTTCACTGTGTTAGCCAGGATGGTCTTGACCTCCTGACCTCGTGATCCGCCCGCCTCAGCCTCCCAAAGTGCTGGGATTGCAGGCGTGAGCCACAGCGCCCGGCCGAAAAAACTTTTTAAAATTTGTTTGGGGATCTCCCATATTTGCCAAAGTAATCCCACAAAAACAATTAACATTTGACTTTGAAAATTAAGACAAAAAATACAATGATGAATATTTTCTTGTAAAAGCAAAGACAGTAAAAATATTCAGATTTAAAATAAGCCTGAGAAAAAGCATGATTTCCTTGAGCTTACCTAAGTAAACTTATTTACAAGTGACTGTATCAATAATTAGCAAAAGTAAAAGTCATTATGAAATCCTCCAAATCTTTCAAAGTACTATCTTACATTCAAGCATTGAGTTTGCCCATAAAATTATTTAAGCTCAACCTTTTCCTCAATCTCCAAAACTCTGGCGTGTAACTACACAAACACTTCAATAGGGGACAGAATCTCCTTTTATCATTCATTCTACCAAACATCAACTTCATAAGAATTAGAATCAAGTGTAATAAGAATGAACTATATAGAATCATTGATATAAATTTATAGGTGTTCAGACATAACCTTTAGACATATTTGTCAGTGTACATGTAAACAATACTCAATAACTTCTTTAATAGAGTTCTCCAGAGAAACAGAACCAATTGGATGTGGGTATATAACTCAGTTATATGTTTCATCAGCTTCCTTTTTATGTAATAGAAACTAACTACAGCTAATGATGAATTTTTTTCATTCATTCATCATTAAAAGGGGAGAGAGAAATCCAGGCTGGGTTTGTGCCATTTTTATTCCCTCACAGTTCTCTTCTTGCTGCATGATTCTTCCTTTCAGATATTAACCAGAAGGAATGGTTAGCCTGGCTATAGCTCTAGAGGAGCAACACAGGCTCTGGATAATGAGGATGCACGGGCTTTAATCAGTCCTAGCAGGAGGTCTTGGCTTAGACAACTATGTAGAGTTGATGGTATCCCTATAGGAAAAAAATATATATATATATGTTTTTGTGGTAGCAGGACAGAGTCAGTTTCAGACATTTGTTCAACAACTGTTGGTGTTCAACATATATTAGTATTTTGCACTAGGTACTATGTACTAAAAGTATAGTAAGGAATAAAAATAGGGAAATAAACAAAAACAAAGAAACAGAGAGAATTCCTATTACCCTTTAG
Source organism: Homo sapiens (assembly GCF_000001405.40). Taxonomy (NCBI): domain Eukaryota; kingdom Metazoa; phylum Chordata; class Mammalia; order Primates; family Hominidae; genus Homo; species Homo sapiens. The sequence goes on along the minus strand of NT_187660.1, from coordinate 658,629 downwards.
GAAAAACAACATAAAATAAAGTAACAGAATCTAGAAATAGAGAATAACAAGATAGAAGCCTACTATATACCACCATTATCAACCTGTCAAAATAAACATTGTCAGTAGTGAGACAAACTGGAATCATGTACCACCTGATAGGATGCAATGAAAAAAACGCAGCATCAATTCTGTGATATTCTTGCCAAAATGCATTGCCTGACTCTAGTCACAAGGAAACCTCAGAAAACCTAAAGGGAGCCATTCAAAAAAGAAGGAAGGGAAAAGGAAAAAGTAAGGGAAAGAGAAAAGGAGAAGGAAGGGGAGGGGGAAGGGAAGGGGAGAGGGAAGAGAAAAAGGAAGGGGAAAGCGAAGGAGAAAGGAAAGGAGAAAAGGAAGGAGAAGCAAAGCAAAGGAAAAAAAGAAGAAAATATGGGCCAGAAATCTTGGTTAAGTTAGGTCTAAAGATCTATTCTTGATACAAGGACATTAAAAAGACATGACAATGAAAGGCAATGCATGATTCTGAACTTGATCCTTTTGCTATGAAACATTATTGGGACTATTGGTGAAAAATTTTTTTTTTTTTTTGAGACGGGGTCTCGGTCTGTCGCCCAGCCTGGAGTGCAGTGGCGCAGTCTGGGCTCACTGCAAGCCTCGCCTCCTAGGTTCACGCCATTCTCCTGCCTCAGCCTCCCGAGTAGCTGGGACTACAGGCACCCACCACCACACCCGGCTAATTTTTTCCTTTTTTTTTTTGTATTTTTAGTAGAGACGGGGTTTCACCCTGTTAGCCAGGATGGTCTTGATCGCCTGACCTCGTGACCCATCCGCCTCGGCCTCCCAAAGTGCTGGGATTACAGGCGTGAGCCACCGTGCCCGGCTGACTATTGGTGAAATTTTAATGCGGACTTGATAATTAGATGTAGCAATATATTAATATTAATTTTCTGGTTTTGTTCGTTGTACTGTGCGTGTATTGCATTTGGGGGGGCACATATATTACTGTAATAGATTTGTAACATATAGAATTATATATATGTATATACATATATAGACACAATTGTGTTTGTAGAAAATATATATGAAAGCAAGGTTTTTCAACTTTGGCACTATCGCTTCTGACATTTGGGCCACATAATTCTTTGTTGGGGGCATTTCCTGTGAATTGCAGGATGTTTAGCGACTTGGTTTGCCTTTAATAACTAAATGACAGTAGCATCCTCCTCACACCTTTGCCCAGGCTAACAACTAAAAATATCTTGAGATATTATCAGATGTTTCCTGGAGGGCAAAACTCCCCCTGGTTGAGAATCAGTCTACTAAAGTATTTGGAGATGACAGAGCATCAGGTTCGTTTCTATATATTATTAAAGTATCTTTCAAAGTTGAAGGTAAAATTAAGACATTTTCGGAAAAATTAAATGGGCCAATTTGTCACCAGCAAATCTGTACTACAAAACATGCTAGCAGAAGTTTTCTGGCCTGAAGGGAAATAACATCGAATCTAAACTCCAGATTAGAGGAAATGAAAAGCATAGAAATGGTAAGTATATGAGTAACAGGAAATACTTTTTTTTAATCTGTCGATTTTGTTGAAGGGAAACTGACTATTTAAATTTAAAAAGATATCATTTTATTGTGGGCTTTATGATGTGGATAGAAAAACTTATACTAAAAAAAATCACAAAAGACAGAGGGGGAGTAAAGGAAATGTTACCATCATCAGTTTTTGTTGTTGTTGTTTTGGGTTTTTTTAATAGACTTTATTTTTAGGGCAGTTGTAAGTTCACAGCAAAATTGAAAGAAAGATACAAAGATTTCTCATACATCATTGTGTCCACACAGGCACAGCCTGACCCCTTGCTGTCATTCTCCTCTGGAGTGGCACATTACTTACCGCTGATGAACCTGCACTGGCACATCCTTATCACCAAGGTCCATAGTTATATTAGGGTCCACGCTTGCTGTCATACATTCTATGAGTTTAGGCAAATTCATATACCAGTGTAGTATCATGCAGAATAGTTTTCTGCCCTGAAAGTCTTCTGTGCATATGAATAGGATAGGTGGAGCACAGATCACTTTTTAGGAAAATGTTGCCTTGTTTTGATTTGACAAAGTAGGCAACACTATCAATCACTGGAGAGAATGTAAAAATAGAACAGATGTCATCAGTTTTTTACATTATATATGAAGTTGTCAAAAATTACCTCTAAGTAAAATTTAGATTAGTTAAGTATAAATTGATGATTATTGTAATACAAATAACTCAATACAAAAAAGCGTTGCAACTAACTCATCTATGCAATTTAAAATGAATACTTAAAATACAATTAAACAAAAATACGAGAAGAGAAACAAGAGATTGTACAGTTTTTAAAAGTGGCAACACATTTCATTTAACATATTTATGAACTAAATTATTCAATTACAAGGTAGAGACTGTCATATTAGACAAAAGAATGAGACCCAACTAATGTTGTCTACCAGAAGCATATATTAAACATAAAGACACAGATAGATGAAAAGTAAACCTACAAGAAAAGATAAACCATATACACAGCAAGCATTAGGAAGCTTGTGTGGCTATATTAGCAAAATGCAATGTAGACTGGAAAAGAGGGTGCATTATAAGAGAAAATGGGGGCATTTCATAATTATGAAATAACCAATTCATCAGAGGACAATAATATTGCTTATATTATTGTCCTCTGATGAATTGGTTATTACATTATTGTCCTAATATGACATAGATGTCCATAATTATGAAATGCCCCCATTTCATAATTATGAAAGGGACACCAACTTAATAACAAAGCCTCATAATTCATGAAGGAAAAAGCAGAATTGAAGGGAGAAATGGATAAATGACAATAATAATTAAAGATTTTAACATCCCTCTGTTCATCACTGATTGAACAGTAAGACAAACCATTCGTATGGCTATAGAACATTTCAACTTCATTATAAATCACCTTGATCTTATTGACATTTATAAAAACTACATTTCAAATGCTGAATATACATTGTTTTCTTGTGTATTGAAAGCACCACCAACATAGGCCAAATGCTGAATCAAAAAGTAAGTTTAAATGAATTTAAGCTTTAGATTTTATAGAATATATTCTCTGATCACAATAAAATTTAATTTGAAATTGATGACATAAGAGATTCCTAGGAAACCCCCAAATAGTTGTAAATAACATGAAACACTATTTAACTCATAGTTCATAAAAGAAATCAAAAGATAATTTAGAAAAAATATGAAATAAGGAAAACAGTGTATTAAATAAACATCTGCACCTAGATGTTTATTGCAGCACTATTCACAATAGGCAAGATATGGAATCAACCTAAGGGTCCAGCAACAGATGATGGTTAAAGAAAATGTGGTATATAGGCCGGGCACGGTGGCTCACGCCTGCAATCCCAGCACTTTGGAAGGCCAAGATGGGTGGATCACTGGAGGTCAGGAGTTCGAGACTAGCCTGGCCAACATGGTGAAACCCCATCTCTACTACAAATATAAAAATTAGCTGGGCATGGTGGCACGTCCCCAGCTACTCGGGAGGCTGAGGTGGAAGATCACTTGAATCCGAGAGGCAGAGGTTACAGTGAGCCAAGATCACACCATTGCACTCCAGAGCAAGACTCCATCTCAAGAAGGGAAAGGAAGGAGAGGGGAGGGGAGAGGAGGGGAAGGGAGGGGACAGGAGGGGAAAAGGAATAGATACACAATGAAGTACTATTCGGCCATAAAAGCAACGTGCATAGAAATGGAGTGTATTATGTGAGTGAAATGAGCCAAGAAGAGAAAGTTAAACATTACAGCTTCTCACTCATATGTGGAAGCTAAAATATTTTGATCTTATAGAAGTTAAAACAGAGGATGCTAGAGGCTGGAAAGTATAAGAGGAAGGGAGGGATAGGGAGAGATTTGTTAAAAGATTCAAAATTAAAGCTAGATAGGAGGAATAAGTTCTAATGCTCTATACCATTATGGTATGACAATAGTTAACAATAACATATAGCTTCAAATAGTTAGCAAAGGATATTGAATGTTCCCAAAACAAAGAAATGATAAATGTTTGCAATGATGGATATGCTAATTACCATCACCTCATCAGGGTAATTAAATATATACACTATGAGTATTGAAACATCACTATGTACCCATAAATATGCACAATTATTATGTGCCAATTAAAAAAATAAAATAAAACAAAATTATGATAATAAAAGCTTCATATTTGTGGTGTAGAGTTAAATTGAGAGGGTAATTTATTATTTGAAATTCTTGTATTAGAAAAATACGTAGGTTTAAAAGTCAATGAAAAAATAAACAAATAAAACGTAATTTGAAAAAATAAAATAACAGGTAATGAAAGAAATAAATGAAATTGAAAGTAAATAAATTCACAAAGTGAAAAGTTCCTTTGAAAAAATCAGTAAAGTTGTTACATACTAGTAAGACTAAGAAAAAAGGACTGATAAAAGAAGAAATATCATTACAGAACCTCTATATTTAAATGATAATAACTATTATGAACAATTCCATACTCAAGAATTTGGCAGCTTAAAGTTCTTTAAAGAGACAAATTACCAAAGCTTATTTGAGAACAAATTCATAATGTGAATTTTTCTGTATCTATATGTATCCATATAGTCTAGGTTTTCTAATTTCTGGCCTATGGTTGCTCACAGTAGCCTCTAATGATCCTTACAATTTCAACAAAGAAATTCAGAAGAAATTGAAAAATTTATTGAAGCAGATAAAAACGGCAACACAACATACCAAAACCTATGGGATACAGCAAAAAGCAGTAGTAAGAGGGAAATGTATACCTATAATTTCCAAGATCAAAAAAGTGAAAAACCTCAAATAAATAACCTGATGATACATCTTTTTTTAAGGTCACTATAAATTTTAATCTATGATATAAAATATTACCTACAGATATAATTGAACATCAGGTATCAGAAAATAAAACATAACAATGAAATGCAATTTTGTAAATACTTCTATGGTACAAGCATTATTTTCCTCAGATTCAACCTTTTAATTGTGTTTTGTTTGCTTTCTGAAAATCACACTTTATAAAGAACACAAGTAGAGCTTGTTAAAATGATTGTCACAGATGTACTGTTTACTAATTCAAAAAATACTACATTCATTCGCTCATATCAATTTTATTCATTAATTATGAAGAAGAAAATATAATATTCCATGCTTGTCATGAAATAGCGGTTTCTTCTTCCAGTCTAATCAGGGAACTAATAAATGCTTAGTTCATGGCAAAACTTCCATTTGATTTACATTGACTTAATTACCTCTTAGGGTCTAGCCTCATCAATGGAGAAAAAGCACTTTTTCTTGAGGCAACAGCACATTAACAGCACTGAATACAAAATATGGCAAATTCAATGGCTGTCAGCATTGCTTTAGGAATTTTGAGACTATAAAAAAACTATAACCATGAATAAAAGAAAAGGGCTTATTAATATCTTCTTTTTGGGAGAGTGATACATTCTGAAGGTTTCTTGTTATTCTGTTGAATAGCAAGGACTTCCAAACTTAAGTGTCTTAAGGCTGAAAATTAGTTACATTCCTCAGATTTTAGCCTTATTAATGAAATTCCAAAAGTATTATAAGATTTAGTATGTCTTGAAATTATAAATTTGTAACAGATATTTTTCAAAATACATGCCTTCAAACAACTTAAATGCAAAAATCATTCGTTCTTAATAATACCTAGCAGTTCATCCCTTGCTTCCCAGAAGTACTCATACAAACATGTGAATTTAAAAAATAGATTTTTCTGTTCAAAAAATAAAGCTTCTGCCCTTTTAAAAACTTGTCAGGCTTTCATTTGCCAAAATGTTGAAAACTGCACATATTCAAACATAGTTCCCGTAGGAACACATATTCCTCAACTCTCACACCTTTGAAGACACAGGAGACGGGCAATATAAATGTTCCCTTCTTTCCAGCTGATGTTAAATAGTTAGGTTTGCTTCATGAGATTATCGGAATAAAGGGTTAGATTTTCATTTTCCATTACTCTATCTAGTAAAATTAGACTTAAAGTAGGTAGAATACTACCAGAGGAATTACACAGTGATTGGCAAACTGGCCTAAAATAATCAGGCTTTTTATTTATACTTCCCTTTTTAAAGTTGTCATTTGACAACAGCTTCCATCTTTAACAGCAGGCAAAAGAAAATGAGGTGCCATGCTATATTAATTAAAATATTCCACAATGAAAGAAAATACAAAACCTGAAAATAACTTCAGTGCTACAGACATTTAAAAAGTTACAATGGTTAAAACTCTGAATAAAAAGATCTTGAGAACAGGTACATTTCAAAGCAATATTTTACACGCTTTGGAAAAAATAGCTATTTTTCAAATAACTTGATATATGGTTTACATATTTCATGCAGTCTCTGAGGTGTTTTTTTTTTCTACAATACTGTTTTGCATTAAAGTCTCTCATGTTGTTTACCAGTAATTGTTTCCTTAGGCTGAAATAAAACTTTGCTTGTTCATTAGTTTTCTGTATATCCCATTTGGTTTTGAAAGCAGCTCTTCATGTTTTCCATATTCAGTAATTTTTCCTTGGTCAAGAACAGCAACCATATTAGCATTCTTAATGGTGGAGAGATGATGGGCAATAACTAACGCTGTTCTTCCATCCATCAGTGGATCTAGAGCTTCTTGAACAAGGTACTCATTTTCAGCATCCAGCGCACTGGTTGCTTCACTAGGAGAAGAACTTTGGGATTCTTCAGCAGAGCACGGGCAATTGCAATCCGCTGTTTCTGCCCACCTGAGAGGAGAACACCCTTTTCTCCAACCACAGTGTTGAACCCTTGGGGGAAATTCCGGATCAAGACCACTGCATTGGCCACTTCAGCCACTCTCTGGACTTGCTCAGCGGTCACAGAGGAAGGCCATCAGCACCATAAGCAATGTTCTCAGTGATAGAGCAAGAAAACAAAATGGGTTCCTGTCTCACTGTCCCAATCTTGGATCTCAGCCACACTGGGTTTAGCTGACGGATGTCATGGCCATCAAGACTGATAGTTCCAGAAGCAGGGTCGAACAACCTCAGCAGGAGCGAAAGCACTGTTGATTTGCCAGAACCACCTGGGCCAACCAGTGCCGTGACAGATCCTGACGGAATGGAAAGGCTGAAATCCTGAAATATGGGCGCCTCTGGGCAAGCGGGATCGGCAAAATGCACGTTCTTAAACTCCAAAGCACCCTGGAAGCTTTTCTCATTTAAGATAACCCTTCCCCCTCCTTAAAAGGCAGATTGGGCTCTCTCTCCAGGAGCTCCCAGAGGCGCCCCCCGGCACCCAGTCCTTTCATCAGCTCCGAGTAGAAAGAGCTCAGACCTCCAATGCTTATTCCAACCCCGAAAGCATACATAGGAAGGGAGAGAGTTCACCCATGGTCATGTGGGCACTGCCCATCAGCAGCCCCCCTTTGTACAGGTTCAGAAAGCACAATCAGGTTTCCGGACAGCCTAGTTCTCCAAAGAAGCCAGCCTGAGCGAATGCCTCTTTCCTTGCTGACTACATCACATGGTCCACTTTGCTGGCCTATTTTTCTATTTCAGTCATTTCTTTCCCAAAAGCTCGAACAGTTCTTAACATTTCCAATACGTTCCTCCTGAGTGGCTTGTGCCAGCGAATCCTGGGTGACTTTGGTCAGTTTCCGTAGATATCGTCCATAAATTACATCAATGATTGACACTAGAGGCACCACGCTCACAACAAAGGTGGCCCGATTAGGTGAGACACAAAACATCATCCTGATGCCTATAGAAGCCCGGGCCCCGGCCCTGAGCCCATCTGAGAGGTTTTCAGTCACTGAGCGCCCCAGGAGTGCAGTGTCCGATGAGAGGCGGTTAATCAATTCCCCTGTGCCAGCCTTGTCAAAGAAAGCAACCTCCTGCTTCAGAATGGAGAATAACGAAGTTCTCAGCCTCTTCACAACGCGCTGACCTGAAGTTTGCATGAGGTAGACACGAATGGCATTGGCGGCAGCACCACACAGAAACACGCCACTGAGGCCAAGGCAGAGGCGGGTCAGGTTGTCGCTGTAGTCCACAGTGGGGTTGGTATAGATGGCATCGATGATCTTCCCCAGGAAGAAAGGGGCAGACATGGAGATAACACCGGACATCGGAGAAATCCAACCGCAGCTGCCAGCCTCTGGCGCTCAGGGTACTCCAGCCCCAGGAGCTTCCCGGCCTCCGAGAGTCCGGGCGCCATGGGTCGTAGCCGCTGGTCGTCCCGGGAAGGCGCCGCCCGCCCGCGCCGCCAGGCCTCCTCCCCTGCCCAGGCAGTGGCGGTGGGACCGCCCGGGAACCCGGCGCGCGGGAGCCGAGGAGCGCCCGGCCGGCAAGAGCCCCGCACCTGCAGCTGCCGGGCCCAAGCCCACAGCCCCGGGAGCCGTCCGAGGCCCGCGTGGCCCCCCGAGCCGCCCAGACCCCCGCCCCGGCAGCAGCTCCTCCAGCGGCGCGCGGCTCCAACGCCCCAGAGCAGCGCCGGCCCCGCGCCCCATAGCCGCGCCAGCCTCGGGGCAGTGAAGGGCGATATGGACTGGGGGCGCGGCTGGCCGGGGCCCACACACAGGCTACCGGCGGGAGCCGCCCTGGCTCTGCGGGGCCCGTGGCGCCGATACATCTTAAAAGAACTAGAAAAGCAAGAATAAACCAGACCCAAAATAAGTATAGAAGAAAGGAAAGAATAAAGATAAGAGCAAAAATTAATGAAATTGAAATGAAAAAATACAAAATATGAACAAAACGAAAAGTTCGTTTTTTAAAAAAGATAAACCAAACCAGTAACCTTTAGCCACACTAAAAAAAAACAAAAAACCCTAAATAAATAAAATCAAGATGAAAATGGGGACATTTTCATTGATACTGTAGAAATTCTAAGGATCATTAGAGGCTAGTATGAGCAACTATAGACCAATAAATTAGAAAATCTAGAATAAATGGATACTTTCCTAGATACATACAACCTAGCAAGAATGAACCACAAAGAAATCCAAAACCTGAAAAGACCAATAAGTAGTGAGACGGAAACAATTTTCCCAGGAAAAGCCGGGTGCAGTGGCTCACGCGTGTAATCCCAGCACTTTGGGAAGCCGAGGCGGGCGGATCACGAGGTCAGGAGATGGAGACCATCCTGGCTAACACGGTCAAACCCCGTCTCTACTAAAAAAAATACAAAAAAAAAAAAAATTAGCTGGGCATGGTGGCGGGTGCCTCTAGTCCCAGCTACTCAGGAGGCTGAGGTAGGAGAATGGCGTGAACCTGAGGGGCGGAGCCTGCAAGTGAGTCGAGATCAGGCCACTGCACTCCAGCCTGGGCGACAGAGCGAGACGCCCTCTCAAAAAATAAAAAAAAGTTTCCCGGGAAAGAAAAGCCCAAGACCCGACGGCTTTACTCCTGAATTTTACCAAATATTTTTAAAAGTAGCACAAAATGCAGCAGCAGGATTCTCCTGCCCCAGCCTCCTAAGTAGCTGGGGCTACAGGTATGCACCACCACGCCTGACTAAAACTGTTTTTGTAGAGACAAGATCTCACTATGTTGCCCAGGCTGGTCTCAAACTCCTAGGTAAAATGATCCTCCCACCTCTGCCTCCCAAAGTGTTAAAATTGCAGGCATAAGCCATTGCCCCTGCCTGAAAAAATTATATGTATATATATTTATATATATATATATTTATATATATATATATATATATATGTTTTTGTTTTTTTTTTGAGACAGAGTCTCGCTGTGTCACCCAGGCTGGAGTGCAGTGGCACGATATTGGCTCACTGCACCCTCTGCCTCCAGGTTCAAGTGATTCTCATGCCTCAGCCTCCCGAGTAGCTGGGATTACAGGCATATGCCACTACACCCGGCTGATTTTTGTATTTTTAGCAGAGACATGGTTTCACCATGTTGGTTAGGCTGGTCTTGAACTCCTGACCTCAAGTGATCCGCCCACCTCAGCCCCCCAAAGTGCCGGGATTACAGGTGTGAACAACCATGCCTGGCCAAAAATAATTTTTTTAAAAAGATTTTGTTCTGATTCTGATGGGAAAGGGACTCTTTTCTAAAGTTACTAGCAGTTCTTTAACTGGTTAGCTCTATGTTAGGCATAGGTATTACTTTTTAGGGTGGCAGGTATGTGAAAAAAGAAGGGAGGTGGACAAAACCAAGACAGCAGAAGTAACTATTTGAGGGATTTCAAAACCTTTGACTGACACTCACTTCCTGGGACAGTCTTGATTTTGCTACTCTTTCCTCATCTGTTTCTTTTCAAGCCTTGCTCCCTACACACTTACCCTAGTTCTAACCCTTCCTGCTGATGGGCACCCTATTCACAAGGCAACAGATACCAGATGTGAGGAATGGAAAGAAAAACATTCTTACTTGATTGTTCTTAGGAGTTATACAGTCAGGCTCTTGGTTGGAGGGCTCTGATGTGAAAGCTTGGCTTCAAGTCCACTGAGAAAGTCGTATGATTGAAGTGGTGAACTGGAGATGGGGTGGGGGTGGCCTACCACGAGGACTAATTTGTTCTTTACGTGTTTTTGTTTTTTTATTTTTTTAGACAAAGTCTCACTCTGTCGCCCAGGCTGGAGTGCAGTAGCGCAATCTTGGCTCACTGCAAGCTCCGTCTCCGAGGTTCATGCCATTCTCCTGCCTCAGCCTCCTGAGTAACTAGGACTACAGGCACCTGCCACCACACCTGGCTAATTGTTTGTATTTTTAGTAGAGACGGGGTTTCACACTGTTAGCCAGGATGGTCTCGATCCGCTAACCTCATGATCCACCCGCCTGGCCTCTCAAAGTGCTGGGATTACAGGTGTGAGCCACTGTGCGTGACCTGTTCTTTATCTAATGGTTTGCAAGGGTGGAAATACCTCTGGGGAAATGTGATGGATTCTCCTAGGAAACTGACTTCACCAAATAATTCTTTTGAAACTGTTCAGAAACGAGACAAATGACATGAATCTATTTACAAAGAGAATTACCTCTGTGTCTGTGACCCAAGAGGCATTCCCATAGTGATACACTTGGACATTTGTTCAGGGGGCAAGCGCTCACGCCGAGTGATTTTCTTTTTTCTTTTCTTTTCTTTTTTTTTTTTTTTGTTTGTTTGTTTTTAAGACTGAGTCTCGCTCTGTCGCCCAGGCTGGAGTGCAGTGGTTCGATCTCAGCTCACTGCAAGGTCCCCCTCCCGGGTTCACACCATTCTCCTGCCTCAGCCTCCCCGGTAGCTGGGACTACAGGCGCCCACCACCATGCCCGGCTAATTTTTTGTATTTTTTTTTTTTTTTTTTAGTAGAGACGGGTTTGACCGTGTTAGGCAGGATGGCCTCGATCTCCTGACCTTGTGATTTTCAAAGCTGTTCGAGGGCATTTATCAGGCTTTTAACTCTAGGTACTCTTTCCCACAGTGTGAAGGCCAAGAGAAGGGATCCTGGGCTCTCTTCCCTGGCCCCAGGATGGGAATTCAGGGGGAAAAGGTCACCTATTCTCCTATTCTTATCCCACAAAAGAAAACTTATGCATCAGTTGTCAAGCTAAGGAGCTTCAGAGTCCACAAATAGGGAAATTGCTAAGAGCTTATCAGTAGTGTCCACTACCCATCCCCACCTGGGGTCACGTGGAGAATGATGGTGGGGGCGACGATCTTGTCCTACTTCAGGTGAAAAGCAGGGGTGTGGGGGGGTTTCATTGTGAAGGGCTCCTTTGTTAAAATTCCTTCCAATTCCAGGAAAAACATGCACTCGAAAGCCATTATCTCTTTTACTTCTTACTAGGGAACTTCCAGGAAAGAGACGGGGGGGGCGGGTGGGGAAGAAGAGGGCAAAACAGCTGCAGTGAATGTAGTCACCTCTCCGATTGCTTTTCTTGTTGCAGAATATTTCACATGCCAGGATTTTCCTTCTTGTCCTCCGGACTGTTGATACACCCAACATCTTAATACGCTTTCAATCACAAGTTAAAGACATCCAGAGCCAGATTGCTTGAGCCTAGGAGTTCCAGACCGGCCTGGACAACATGGTGAAACCCAGTCATATATATATATTTTTTTTTAGGGGGAAATTTGCTCTTGCTGTCCAGGCTGGAGTGCAGTGGCGAGGTCTCAGCTTGCCAGACCTCCGTCTCCGGGGTTTGGGTGGTTCTCCTGCCAAAGCCTCCCGAGTGGCTGGGATTGCGGTGTGAGCCACCATGCCCGACTAATTCCTTAACTGTGCAACTACAAGGTCACTAAACAAATAAACTCAAGTCACAAAACATATTTTTCCTTAAATAGTAAAAAATAATATAATGCATGTTTCAATTAAATAACAATCTTTGTTTCTCGCTTCTATAATATGCTTCTCCCTGCACAGATCTCCCCCTTCGCCCCACATAATGCTTGAAAGGTAACTCTTGGTTCAGTGCTCAATCCTTTAAATGTTAATCCGACTGGGCCGGTGCACCTAAATAATTAATAAATGTCCTCCTAAACCCCATGAGTCTATCTAATTCCTTAAAAATCCCTCTACAGGACTGCAGGTGTGAGCCACTGCACCCCGCCTAATTTATTAATCAGAGAGGAATAGATCGGCCTGGCGTGGTGGCTCACGCTTGTGATCCAGGGACTTTGGATGATGGAGCACTGGGGATCACTTGAGCCTAGGAGATCCAGACTGGCCTGGGCAACATGGTGGAACTCGGTCTCTCTCTTTTTTTTGTTTTTTTGGAGGCAGAGTTTTGCTCTTGTTGCCCAGGCTGGAGTGCAGTGGTGCAGTCTCGGCTCCCTGCCACCTCCACCTCTTGGGTTTGGGTGGTTCTCCTGCCTCAGCCTCCCTAGTGGCTGAGATTGCAGGTGTGAGCCACCATGCCCGGCTAATTTTCTTTTTTTTTTTTTTTGGTACACACAGGGTTTCTCCCTGTTGGTCAGGCTGGTCTCAAACTCAGGACCTCAGGTTATCCGCCTGCCTTGGCTTCCGGGGATGCTGGGATTGCAGGCGTGAGCCAGCGCGCAAGGCCCAATTGATTAATCAGAAAAGAATAGATCAGCCTGGCGTGGTGGTTCACGCTTGTGATCCCAGGACGTCGGACGGCCGAGCGCTGGGGATCACTTGAGCCTAGGAGTTCCACACCGGCTTGGGCAACATGGTGAAACCCGGTCTCTCTTTTTTTTGGCGGGGGGGGTACAGGCAGGGTTTCTCCATATTCATCAGGCTGGTCTCAAACTCCCGACCTCAGGTTATCTGCCCGCCTCCTCGGCCTCTGGGGATGCTGGGATTGCAGGCGTGAGCCAGCGCGCCCGGTCCAGTTTATTAATCATAAAGGACTAGATCGGCCTGGCATGGTGGCTCACGCTTGTGATCCCAGGAATTTGGACGGCAAGCGCGGCGGATCGCTTGAGCCTAGGAGTTCCAGACCTGCCTGGGTAACATGGTGAAACCTGGTCACTTTTTGTTTGTTTTGAGGCGGAGATTCGCTCTTGTTGCCCAGGCTGGAGTGCAGTGGTGAGGTCTTGGCTCAACGGGCCTCCGCCTCCAGGGTTTGGGTGGTTCTCCTGCCACAGCCTCCCGAGTGGCTGGGATTGCACGCGTGAGCCACCATGCCCAGCTCATTTTGTTTTTTGTTTGTTTTTGTTTTTATTGTTGGAGATGGGGTTTCTCCATGTTCATAAGGCTGGTCTCAAACTTCCCACCTCAGGTTATCCGCCCGCCTCGGCGTCCGGAGGTGCTGGGATTGCAAGCGTGAGCCAGCGCGCAAGGCCTAATCTATAAATCAGAAAGGAATAGGGCCGGGGATCCCTTGAGCCTAGGAATTCCAGACAGGCCGGGGCAACACGGTGAAACCCGCTCTCTCTTTTTTTTTTTTTTTTTTTGCGGCAGTTTCACTCTTGTTGCCCGGTTGGAGTGCAGTGGCGCGGTCTCAGCTCCCCGCTGCCTCCGCTTCCCGGATTTGGGTGGTTCTCCTGCCTCAGCTTACCAAGTGGCTGAGATTGCAGGCATGAGCCAACATGCCTGGCTCTTTTTGTATTTTTTTTTTTTTTTTGGTATAGACGGGGTTTCTCCCTTCGTCAGGGTAGTCTCAAACTCCTGACCTCAGATTACCCGTCTGCTTCGGCCTCCCGGGGTGGTGGGATTGCAGGCGTGAGCCACCATGCCCAGCTTATTTTTTTTTCTTTTTTGGTAGAGACGGGTTTCTCCATGTTGGTCAGGCTGGTCTCAAACTCCCGACCTCAGGTGATCCGCCCGCCTCGGCCTCCCAGGGTGGTGGGGTTGCAGGAGGGAGCCACCGCGCCGGGCGCAATTTATTAATCAGAAAGGAACAGATGGGCCTGGCGTGGCGGCTCATGCTTGTGATCCCAGGACTTCCGATGGCCGAGCGCGGCGGATCCCTTGAGCCTAGGAGTTACACGCCGGCCTGGGCAACATGGTGAAACTCAGTCTCTCTCTCTCTCTCTTTTTTTTTTTTTGAGAGGGAGTTTCACTCTTGTTGCCCAGGCTGGAGTGCAGTGGCAGGGTCTCAGCTCCCCGCAGCCTCAGCCTCCCGGGTTTGGGTGGTTCTCCTGGCTCAGCCTCCCGAGTGGCTGGGATTGCAAGCGTGAGCCACCATGCCCTGCTAATTTTTTTTTTTTTTTTTTGGTAGAGATGGGGTTTCTCCATGTTACTCAGGCTGGCCTCAATCTGACCTCAGGTTATCCGCCCGCCTCAGCCTCCCGGGGTGCTGGGATCGCAGGCGTGAACCACCGCAACCGGCCCAATTTTTAATCAGACAGGAATAGATCGGCCTGGCGTCATGGCTCACGCTTGTGATCCTAGGATTTTGGACGGCTGAGTGTGGCAAATCGCTTGAGCCTAGGAGATCCAGACCCGCTTGGGCAACATGGTGAAACCTGTTTTTTTTTTTTGAGACGGAGTTTCCCTCTTGTTGCCCAGGCTGGAGTGCAGTGGCGCGGTCTCGGCTCGCCGGGCCTCCGCCTCCCGGGTTTGGGTGATTCTCCTGCTTCAGCCTCCTGAGTGGCTGGGATCAAGGGCGTGAGCCACCAAGCCTGGCTACTTTTATTTATTTATTTATTTATTTATTTATTTATTTATTTATTTAGGTTGAGATGGGGTTTCTCCATGTTGGTCGGGCTGGTCTCCTGCTCCTTACCTGGGGAGATCCGCCGGCCTCGGCCTCCAGGGGTGGTGCGATTGCAGGCGTGAGTCACTGTGCCTGGCCGGAAACCCAGTCCCTTAACGGAAAAACAAAACAAAAACCACAAAGATTAGCCAGACCTGGTGGGCCCCCCTGGGTAGTCCCAGCTACTCTGAAGGCTGATGCAGGAGGATTGCTTGAGCCCGGGGTGGAGGTGGCAGTGAGCCATGATGGCGCTGCTGCAGTCCAGACTGGGTGACAGAGCAGGACTGTGTCTCAGGAAAAGGGAAAGGAAAAAAAGAATAATAAAAAGAAGTATATAAAATTGCTAAATCCAGGAACAGCTTCACAGTATATTGAGAGAAATAGAGGCAAAGGTTAGCAGACACCAATGTTCACTTAGTGGAACTGCAGGTGTCCCCAGACAGGAGGCTGCTACTTTTCCAACAGAAATCTATTATTGACCAAAAAAAGTTAGTTTGTTACAATATACAAATAGCTAAACTTTATATAGCCACGACCCTCTTCTAGCACTGCTCTAAGCCTTTTCCTGCTCTGGAATAGCTACTATTGTTACCTCCATTGTAGAGAAAACAGATGGGGGAGGTTGTTGTGGAAGGACCAGGGAAACTGACTATGAAATTGACTTGTAAGTTTAGGACTTAAAGGTTCTTCCTGCTTTGCTCCTTACATTGCCACATTTTAGTTAACATACCTCTTAAAATACTGGTCCTTTCTGTATTTGGAGGGACTCCTCTTGCAGTTTGAAGTTTTTTCTTACACTAAGCATCTGGTTAGAAGATCATCTCCATTTTATGTCAGTTTAAGTTTAGACATTGTTCAGTAAGGAATGTAAATATGAGCAAACAGTTATCTGATTGAAATAGATAAACTAGAAAAAAAATCACCTATGAGAAAGTCAACAAAATGTCAACTCTGGATTTGTGGCTATTTTCAGAATATTAATTTTTTGATATTTAATGGCATTGTGAATATATTTATTTTTAAGAATTCCTTGTCTTCTACAGATACATATAAGGTAATTAAAAATGATAGGATGTATAGGTTTTACTTCAAAATAATTCAGAGGAAGAAGGAATGTATATAAATGAAGTGGGAATATAAATGAAACAAAACTGGCTGTGGCCAGGTGTGGTGGCTCACGCCTGTAGTCTCAGCACTTTGGGAGACCGAGGCAGGTGGATCACCTGAGGTCAGGAGTTCAAGACCAGCCTGGCCAACGTGGTGAAACGCCATCTCTACTAAAAATACAACAATTAGCCGGATGTGGTGCCGGGTGCCTGTAATCCCAGCTACTCGGGAAGCTGAGGCAGGAGAATCGCTTGAACCTGGGAGGTGGAAGTTGCAGTGAGCCAAGATCATGCCACTGCACTCCAGCCTGGGCAACCACAGCAAAATCCCACCTTTAAAAACAAACAAACAAACAAAAAGCAACCAAAAAAAAAAACTGTCCATACCATGAATGAAAAATTGTTGATGATGTGTATATGTAGGGCAATTATATCATTTATTATATATAATATATATATTATTTTTCTCAACTTTTTTTTACATCTGAAACTTTCTATTGAACACATGGACATGTCCCTTGATAACTGGGGCTGCTTCCCCATTATTCTCTCAGCAGCCCTTCTGATTTTCACTCCATCTTCATTCTTAGAGATTCTGGATTTTATTTTTTTTTTTTTGGGAAGTTCAAGTATGTCTTTGCAAGGATTATCCAGCGTGTCTACCTACTCAATCATATTATCAGAAACAGAAAAAGTGTCCAGATTCTTGTCTTGTCCTGTTCAGATTTTTTAAATTCCAAGAACAGTCACCTTCTACCAGACACTCTGATGTTGGAAGACAAAGCATATTTGGTAAGTGGCGTGATTTCTGGGCTCCGATTTAGAACAGTCACAGCTTTCAACAATCCAAAAATAGCTGACTGTGACTCACCATATTTAGAAAGATGGAGATTATTAAAAAAAGAAAACCTTAATTTATCATGTGACCTCTAAGTATCTCGGCTGAAAATTGTAAAGATAGAAAGGTAAATCAAAAGATACAGAGACTGTAATCATGCACTTAATAAAGCGCTAAATCAAAATATATTTGGCATATGTGAAAGAGTTTAATTTTATCCCATTTTCTACTGGCACTATAGGTATTTGTAAGTACATATAAAACTACAGTGTTACATATAAACTACCAAAAAAGAACTTAAGAAACGAGACTAATCTAGCAACTTTATTTAAAAGTTTATCTTAAGGGAATAATTAAGGATGTCCATACAAAAGGATTTAGCCATGACACGAGAATGTTCTTCCTGGCAAATCAATGGAAATTATTAAATGTGCAAAAGGGAACTGTTGGAATAAATTCTAATGCCTTCATATGATCGTATGTCGTAACCTTTTAAAATGATATTAAAGAGTTGCATACATTGACTTAAACAGATATTCATAACACATCACTGAATAGGAGAAATACGGGCCAGCAAAGAACATAGAGTTGGTCCAATTTCTACAAAAAAAAGAAGACTAATAGCATGACAGCAGGGAAGGGGGAATATGTCAATGTATGTGTGTATATATATATGTATGCATAGCAAGTATGAACTTGAAAGGATATATATCAAATTGTTTACACAGATTACCTCAGAGAGGTAAATAACTGGCCTTTGGTGTTCTGTGTTCCATAGATTCTGAATTTTCTTTTTTTATTTAAATAGAGATGGGATCTTAGCCAGGAGCAGTGGCTCACACCTGTAATCCCAGCACTTTGGGAGGCTGAGGAGGGCGGATTGCTTAAGGCCAGGAGTTGAAGACCAATCTGGCCAACATGGCAAAACTCTGTCTCTACTAAAAATCCAAAAATTAGCCAGGCGCAGTGGCTTATGCCTATAACCCCAGGTACTCGGGAGGCTGAGGCATAAGAATTGCTTGAACCAGGAGGCGGAGGTTGCAGTGAGCAGAGATTGCACCACTGCACTCCAGCTTAGGCAACAGACCGAGACTCTGTCAAAAAATAAAAACAAAACAAAACACCACCACCAACAACAAAACAGTAATAAAGAGAAAATCTTATGGACAGGAGCAATGTCTCATGCCTGTAACCCCAGTGCTTTGGGAGGCCAAGATGGGAGAATCGCTTGAGCCCAGGAGTTCAAGACCAGCATGGGCAACATAGCAAGACCTTTTCTCTACAAAAAATTTAAAAATTAGCCAGGCATAGTAGTGCATGCTTATACTCCCAGCTACCTGGGAGGCTGAGGTGGGAGGATCACTTGAGCATGAGAGTTGGAGGTTGCAGTGAACTGTGATCACACCACTGGGAAGCCATGACCCCATCCCTGCCTTCTTCCTCTGTCCTATGCTAGCAATAAGTAAGTTTCCCAGCCACAAATAATTATTAGAACCTCCTCCCCATGTGCCACCTCCAACCACCGCTAGGTATGATACAGGGGTGGCCCTACCCTCTGGAATATACAAAACCTTACACAGACACAATATATACACCGGGGAAGGGGGGCCACCCCAGCAGCCCGTGCCTTCGCCTGGTCCACAGTTAGCCCCACTGTCCTGCCTCAGCTACCTCTCTGAATAAGAAGATTGGAGCCCCCACTGAGGGAAAAGTTGCTATGGTGAGAGTAAGGAGGCCATGAGGCCTCCTCCAAACAAACCAACTCCACCAGCCTCTGGCTCTTAAATAACAATATCATCCAGAAATTTAAGGACTCAGCTCTGGTCAAGGTGGCAAAGGGTCTGTTTGTCTTTCCTCGTTAGACAGAGGTCTTGTCCTGCTACCCTAATTGTAAAGGGGTGACTGGGAAGGGGAGATAGGGACAGTGTGGTGGTGGAGACCCCGGCCCCACTTCTCCAGGCTTTGCTGACAGGGGCCTGCTTTTAATTTTAATTTTTATTTTTATCCCATGCCTTTTTTTTTAAATCCCATAACTTCTTTTTCATAACTTTTTTTGGTAACTTTTCATAAAACTTTCTTCTACTTTTTGGTCACAAGATTTTTTTGCCACAACTTTTTTACATTTTTTATCCCATAACTTTTTCACCCCATAACTTTTGTTAATCCCATAACTTTTTTATTTTGTGTTCTTTTAATAAACCCTTGCATAGTTATATTACAATTTTGTAAAAATGAAACATTATCTCATGCCAAGCATGCCCAGCATTTGCACAGTATCAATACCTTTAATACTATATTTTTGAAGACACACAGAATAAAATTTTAAGGCAAAAACAGCACTTTGCAACAACTTAATAATTTATTACATTACAGTAGCATCACACCAGCAGTCAATAATGCCACTTTAGGCAAAAGTCTTTCAGTATTTCCGTTTTACATTCCGCTTACAAGAATTCATAAATTGGTAAAATTCATTCTAAGAAAACTTGGCAAATAAAGCTTTGGACTGGAATTGGCATTTCTTTCTCTACTTTTCCTTCCCACCGTTTATTTCCTTTACAGTATTCATATTTTAAAATGTTTTAACTTATTTCAGAACATTAAGATAGCAGTTACATTGTTTAATAGTTATTTTAAAATGACTCTTTCAGATAAAGTTTTAGAGAAACTATAGTATGGATAGGGCTGATTTACATTTTCAAATTTTCTAAAAATCAGCTTTGGTTTTAGAGCTGATTTTTGTTCATTTCTGGAAAACCTATCAGATTTAATCCAATACTTTAAAAATGATTATTATATATTGCAATCTTTAAATCGGTGATTTGATTCTTCCTACAGAAATTCAAATTTATTGAATTGAACTCACATTTTAGAATTCTGTTTCTGATGAACTCTAACCTTCCAATGTTGCCCTCTAAGCAAATTGAAAGCTGCCTTATACCGAATGAGGAAGAATACCAATACTTGGCTGAATGAGGTATCGCAAAAGACTGCATGCACTTTGAAGAAAGACTTAAGTTATAGTCATGCGATTTCCATTCTTTTTAGCTTTTTCTTCAATATACGACAAATATCTACACAAAGAGTGGTATTTCCGTTAATACAGTCAATTTATTTTCCAGATTGACATTCAGCTTAAATATGCCAGTATGTGATTTAATCCACAGGCACCTGATGAACACATTATTGTCAGATTGGTTACAGATGCTCGTAGTTGTCTTTAAACTGAACTCAAAGAATGCAAAAACATCAAGTTCAGAAAATAAAAGGCAAGGACAGGACTTTAAGTGCATTTTAAAGCCACGGGCGAGAAATCGTACCACTGTTAACTAGCCGCATTATTTGGTCTAACATTTTTTCTTTATCATTCTGAAACTGGGTTTATCTAATACATTGATACATTCATACAATTTGGAAGAGTCCGTTGAAGTCACAAGGACCCGATGTTTGCACTCTTTCAGTGATTGCCGGCAAATCTGTTATTCCATCGGCAAAATCGTACTGCTGCTCTCCTGTTAATGTCGTATTTATAAAAGTATCATGAGGATGCCAAATGCTAAAAATGGAGATGGTCTAGTAACTAGAAATCCCCACCCCAGGGAGCACACATACATATCTCCCTACATCCTAATAATGTGATGTGTTTTGGAACACAGACATTAGAACTTCATGAAGTTTTAACTGTTGAGTCTTTCCCAAGCATCATCAAGTTATGATTTAGGCAATGTACAACTGAAATTCATTCATTCATCATGCATAGGCACAATCACATAAATACTGCACAAAATATGCCCGTAAGTGAAACCCAGAGGTACAGAAACACATTTCACTCTTCACAAAGAAGTTTGTGAGGAAATATAACTCTGTGATTGTATAGACATGTTTCCTGATAATACACTGACATTCACCAACAGTAGATTGCACTGCAGTTTGTACACATTTTAAGTTGCATAAACTTCTCCTTGATTTTCAAAGATAGTATAATACTGTCTACTAAAACTCCTTTTTGTTTCAACTAAGCACTCTCACATATATTAGTTTATAACAATGTTTATTATTATTTCAAAGTGTTTTCCATTCAAGGAAAAGAAGTCAATTCCTATGTCAAAGTAACCAAGGTGGTTGAAGAATAGGCAGAGTGGTCTAGATGGTAAAATCAATCTTCAAGCCTCAAAGAAGCTCCATGAACAGAGGAATGCCAGGTGTCACACAGCTTTCCTTCACTCTAATTCATTCTTGACTAGAGCCTGTATGCCTGTTCCAGGGACATTTGAACTCTTAAAGGATTTCTTCTGATCTTTACTAAATACATTAAGAAGAATGCCAACCAGTGCCCTTTTGTGTACTGGGACATGCAGTCATGTGATTAAAACAGGTAACATGAACTCTGACTTTAAAATATAGATACAAATGCTCTAAGCTAGGAAAGGTTTTCCACATCCGTAGTCAATGATGGGAACCTTTCATTCCTCAGAAATAAGCCCTTTTTAGGTCATCAAAAAAGAGTACAACTGCTGAAGCTCATGATGCAATATCTTCATGAGCCCAGAGCACATACAAATCCTAAAGGAACTACAATAGTACAGCACTAATTCTTGGCAACAGAACAAATGAAACACACTCTATCTTGCACATACCTGCCAGAGCAGGCAACTTTCCTCTTCTGTGAAATTTAAAAAGCTCCCCCAAAATGTTATTACTCCCATCACCAATACACAGAAAATGAGGGAAAGGCTGTTTCCAGTTCTCGGCCTTTAAACAACTCTAAATGTCAGTACTCTTGGTGGCATATTACAAAGTATTAAATAGTGCACACTTGGGGCAAACCACATATTGTGCTAATGAAGAGCTCACTGTGATTAAGATTAGATCAAACAACAGCAGAACATAGGCACATTTTATCTGAATTCTGTAATGAATATACATGCTGCAATAACATTAAAAACACATGGCAGCCTATTCCAAACCAGCAAGAATAGTTTTGTGCAAATAGTGGGTCTTTGTGTGTTTGAACTCCCACCACGTAAGGGCAAACTCAATATGCATGCTAATGACCTACAATTATGAAATTGAAAAAGAAAATTGCGAAAGTATGCCAGAGTGAACATCAGTGAAAGCCACAGAGACCCACTCTCTTTTAACTATTTACAAATAAACTTAAACTATAAATTAGAAACACAAATAATCATAAGTGGCTATAACATTCAAACGAAGTAAATGAATTGTGTAGGAGATTAACCCCATAACTTTGTTTCTTTTTTAAAAATTTCTTCAGCAGCTCTTTGACGATGGTGATGTTTATCTCCTTCTTCTTGGCAGCCAAGCCCAGCAAAAGAATGGCACACAGCAGTTGCTGCCCAAGCCTGGGTGCTCCTGGTGGTCCTGCACGATCGGCTGTGCAGTAGGGTTGTCGTGGGGAGAACCCTCCCTGGCCTCTCCTTGCACAGGCTCCACGCTGTCAGTGAGGCTCACCTCACAAAGATCTTTGGAGAGAGGGAGGCGGGGATCTGAGCTCAGTGAGAGCCCCCCTGCTCCTGCCTGCCCACCCCGCCTGAGGGCTCTACTCACCACCATGCTTGTGGGCAGCCCCAAGCTCCTGGGGGGCTGGGGCTCCTGGACTGGGCTCATGAGCAGGGTTCTGGGCAGTCACCAAGAATTTGCTGTGTCCCTTGTAGTCGCCACCAGCTGCAACACCATCTCCTGCAGCTCCAGCAGCTTCACCTGGAGGGAGGGGTGCTCAGCTGTCACGCTGCTGCCAGCGCTCACCGTCACAGCCACCCCCACCCCCGCAGAGATGTTGCACACTCTACCTTCATCTCCTCCCTGTCCAGGGCCAGCCTGATGGTGTCCTCCTCCCGGTGCTGCATCTTTGGCACTGCCCCCTGGCTTTGTTATAGGGTGATAAACTTTCCTGCGGGAGGACAGGGCTCAGACGCTGGGGCCCCTCCAACAGCCCTGCAGCTCCCCCTGCCATGCCCTGGCCTCCCACTCACTGATGGCATCTCTCTCTGTAGTACTGGAAGAATCCAAGTTCTTCTTTCTCCACCAGCTCACTCAGGTCTGCCTTCTCCTCCAGGTGGTCCATAAAGCCGCTCTGGAGCCAAAATAATGGGGTCACATCTCGCCAGCGACCTGCCCTCAGGTGGCATTTTCAAGTCATGGAGAAGGCGGAGGTGAGTTCCGGCATGGGCCAGCTTCTCCGTGACTTCCTGCAGGGCCCGGTGGGTCTCCCCACTCACAGACTCGCCCCCAGGCCCTGGGGCTCCAGGGCCTCTGGCTGCCTCTGGCTCCTTCTGGGCCGAGGCCACCGGGTGAGCCAGGCGCTGGCAGCACACCCTCTGCTCTTTCACCTGCTCTTGTAACTGTGCCTGCTTCTCCTGGGCACTAGCTCCAGCGGACTTGAAAAATGCCACCTGAGGGCAAGATGTGAGCATTCTTGCAGGGGCATACACAGAACAAATGGGGCAGAGAGGTGGAGCGCAGCCCCTTCCCTTGGGGCCCCAGAGACTGCACATGTTGGTCACAGGTGAAATGGTGTCTGACCACTGGCTCCCAGAAGGGGTGAGGGTCCAGAGAAATCAGAAGGCAGGGAAACGAAGAGCATAAAGGGGTCTTGGAGGGACCACAGAGGAAGGAGGCAAAATGGGTTCAGGTGGAGTCAGGCTCACCATGGCCTCCCTGCTCTCCAGGTCCTGTGGGATGCTAGGAATGGGCCGAGGTGCCTCCTCCCCCTCACTGTCCAGATGTCCTCCTCCATCTCCTGGGGGTGGGGGTGGTGGCCAGAGGGGTCCTCAGACAACTCAACAAGGGAAGTATTGTGGGCCCACCTCTGCCTCCACCCTCATTGTGTAACCCTGAGCCAGGCCCTCCCCAGAGAGGAATGAGCTGCTGTTATTTATTTTTACTTTGAAGAACCAAGATCTTGCTATACTGCCCAGGCACATTCCCACTACTGGTCGGTGCGGGAGTTCTGACCTGCTCCCTTTCTGACCTCGGCCAGTTCAGCCATCCTTAGGCAACTTGGTGGCCCCCCGCTCACAGGAGGTCACCATATTGATGCTGAACTTAGTGCAGGCACCCGGTTAGTATAATGACCAGCTGTTCTAAAGGTCTCTTCCAACTCCTGAATACTATGCTGCTAGCAGTCCCCCCTTCCTCCTGGGGCTCTCTCCTCTTCCTCTGAGCGGTCTCCCGTACCTTCCCCAGGGAGAGCCATGAGGCTCAACTGGGCCGTTAGCTGCTGGTTCTGCTGGCTGGCAGCTTCCAGACGCTCCTAAGGGGCCAGGAAAGAGTGAGAAGGCACAGAGTTTGCCAGGTCGTCCCCCTCACAGCCCCATCCTCGGCAGCTCCCTCCCCTGGGTCTCCTGCAACTTTTGGCAGGCCATCTCGGCCACCGCTTTGCCCCAAGCTTCCTGCTGCTGCAACTGGTTCATTAGCTGGGTCTGCTGCAGTCACTGCCTGTACAGCGCCTCCTTCTCACAGGTCAGCTGCTGATAGGCGGCCACCTGCTGCTGATAGGTGGCCACGTACTGCTGCAGGTGACCCAGGTAATGGTCTGGCTGCTGCTGCAGACTCTGAGCCTCTTGGCTCTTCAGCTCCACCTGCAGGAAGACCCTGGGTGTGAGGGCACGTGGTGGCTGGTTTGCAGATTCTGGGCCCATTAATAGGGTAGCGAGGGCACTGTGGGGCTCTGTCGCCTGCCCAGGCCCCTGGCCCCTTACTTCAGGCCTAAGTGACTGCCTTGCTTTCCTAGAACCCCATGCCTCCTTCCCCAGCCTCAAATCTCATGTCCTCTTCCCACCATTTCAACTGTAGGCCACAGAATGGTAGAAAAGTATGGGAGCCAACCACCATCTGCTAAATGTGCTACAGGCCTAATGCTTCCCATGTATTATCTCATTTAATCCTCAGCACCTCTGTAAGGAAAATGCTAACTTCCTTTTGAAGTTAAAGAAACAGAGACCTAGAGATGCGAAGTACTTGAATGGTGACCAGTGGAACTGAGGCTGGAATCCAGTTTTAATCTAAGGAGTCTTTTTGTTTTGTTTTGAGACAGAGTGTCACTCTGTGGCCCAGGCAGGAGTGCAGTGGTGCAATCTCAGCTCACTGCAACCTCCACCTCCTGGGCTCAAGCAATTCTCGTGCCTCAGCCTCCTGAGTAGGTGGGATTACAGGCATGCGCCACCACCATGCCCCACTAATTTTTCTTTCTTTTTTTGTTTTTTGTTTTTGTAATTTTAGTAGAGATGAGGTTTTACCATGTTGGCCAGGCTGATCTCAAACTCCAAACCTCAAGTGATTCTCCTGCCTCAGCCTCCCAAAGTGTTGGCACTATAGGCGTAAGCCACCGCATCTGGCATAAGAAGACTGTTATACCACTCTGTCTCTTCCCCTGTGATTGGGGGGGCTCCATGTCTCTAGCTGGAATGATGATGTCCAGACCTGGGAGGAGCCCAGGGCTACCCACCTCTAAAATCAGAGGGCAGGAAGCAAGAAACAGCCACAGGACTGCCCTGGAGGGTGCTGGGGTCACCTGCCCCCGGGCTGGAGCTACCGCTGGCCTGGCACCTCCCCTCCCCAGAGGCTGGTGCCCACCCACCTCCCAGACCTTCTTGGATGGGGTGGAGGTTACCGTCTCCTTCACCTTGCCTAGCTTCTCCTGCAGCTCCTTTACTTGCTGCTCCAACTGTAGTACGCTCTTGTTCTCATTGTTCTGGACAGAGAGAAGCAATCAGCAGCCACCCACTGCAGCTGGAGACCCCAGAACTTGGTGACTGCCTCCCATGGCACCGGGAAGGGTGGAGGCAGGTTAGAAAAATCATCCCCTGTCTCCCACAGCCACCAGAGCAGGGCTCTGGCTCACAGGTGCCTTTAGGAGTAACATTTCACTTGAGGGCTACACTGCCCCATTTTATAGGTGGGGAAACAAAGGCCTGGAGGGCTAGGGAGGAGGGCAGGCTCCCCAGCTGGGGCAACGCACCAGCTCCTTGAAGCTGTTCTGTGGCTCGGCCAGCTGCTGAAGCCTCTCCTCCTGCTCTGGAAGCCTCTCCTGCTGCTCCTGAAGCCTCTCCTCCTGCTCCCGAAGCCTCTCCTTTTGCCCCTCATTCAGGAGACTTATGCGCTGATTGTACTCCACCTGGGCCTGGAGCTCTCCTGCCACTCTCTCTAGTTCCTTCCTCAGGTGCTGCAGCTCCACCTCAGAGGGCACTGCTGGGGGCTCCGGGGGCAGAGGTTCAGCTGAGAAAGGAAGCAGACAATAAGAGCCTCTGGATTCCAAAAAAAAAAAAAAAAAAGAAAAGAAAAGAAAAAACCCTCCTCTTGGCGCACAGCTCCTCTCCGGCTCCTCAAACTTAGCCTCACTGCTAATGATTCCTCGCACCCAGATGGTAGCCAGTCTTCCAAAGCACTTTCAGAGAAAGAGCACTGCGGGTGGCTGACAACGGGCCCTCTTTGCTGATGGGGACACTGAGGCTCATTGAGATGACAAGACTTGCCGTCTCCTGGCACAGACCTCTTTCCCTCTGCCTCAAAGCCCTTCCATCCACCCACCTCGCTGGGGCACTCCAAGCCACCCTCACAGCCCTCTGATGCCAGTCCTGCTGCCAGGTCACGCCAGCCCCATCTTACCCATCTGGTGTTTGAGTTTGGACAAGCTCCTCTCCAGCTTCTCTACCCGATATTTATCATGCTTCTTCTCCTTCTTCAACGAGCAAACCTGCCCAAAGCACAGGGGGAAAGGGCCCTGGAGAGAGGGGCTGGAGGCTGGACATGCTACCATCTCCCTCTCTGCCCCCACCTCCACAAAGCCCAGTCCCAGGACCACCTCTGGCTCTACTATTCCCATTTTACAGGTGCCCAGAAAGATCCAGTGACCTATCTAATGTGGGGGGGCTGAAGGGTCAGATCTCACCTCCTGCGACATTTTTCTCATCCTCTGCTGCCACCGGGCCCTCTCTCCTTTTAGATGTTCAGCATATTCATCCCTCTCTAGCTGGACTTCTTTAAGTGACTCCTTCAACTGCAAGAATGGGCACAGAAATTAGGAAGGGCTGTCACTGGTCCTCACCTGCTCCTGGTTACCTGGGGTCATCTTCCTTCCACATCCCTCCCTCTGAACACCTCACCTGTGTCAGCTGCGCTTTCAGCAGTGCCTGCTCCCGCATGGACTGCTCTAACTTCCACTCCATACGTGCTTTACTGCGGCTGGAGAACTGCTGAAGAGTGAGAAGTTTCAATCTGGTGAGGCCGGGCCATTCCACACAGTGCCCCTTAAAAGGGCCAGGGCTAGGCCCAATATACAACTCGGTCAGTAAAGATCAAGGCATTTCCAAGCCCGTGGTTTGGTTTTTAAAGAACTCAGTAAAGTTGGAAGGGACAGGGAAAGAGATCGAATTTATAGCTGGCTAACAGAGGCCCAGAGAGATCAGATAATATTGCTATTGTTATTACTGTTATTATTACCACTGTTTGAACTTTTATGGAGTGCTTCACCAGATACCATGCTAGCAATCCCATTTAATCCTCGCAACTACCATGGGAGACAGTTACTATGATGACCTCTATTGTGTAGATGAAAAAACATGGAGTATTTGAGGTTAAGTGCTTGCCTAAGATCACTTAGGCAGAGCTGGGATTTAAACACCCAGATCTATCCAATTCTCTAAGCCCATTTTTCTTGCTGGGGGTGGGGGCACAGCTAGGAAGGGGAAAATTAATCTTTTGTTCACTTTTTGAAAGGATAATACATTCACATAGTCCCAAACTCAGAAGGTACAGAAGGGAAGTATCTCCCAGCCACCCTGTTGCTCTCTCCTGAGTTTTTATGAACACTTGCAAACATATTTTATGTATATTATCATAATATGTACACACACACACACGTTTCCTCTCTCTACAGAAATGGTAACATACTAAAGGTACTCTTCTGTACCTTCACAGTACAAGTACCCAATACCCACTGAGGACTTGGCCAAGACCACAGCCAGGTAAAGGCATGGCAGGCACTTGGCCTCCAAGCTCTACGTCCTGTGCTCTCTCCCCAGAGTGCCCCCCAACTCACCCACAGCAGCTGACTCAGTCCCAAGCTGCCGCTAACAACCATACAAAAAAGCAGTGAGAAATGGCCATGCTGCCTTCTGGGCAGGACACTCCATCCTGCAGAAGGGACCTTTAGGCTCACTCCTCTGTCTGCGAAGCCAGGCTCCCAGGGGACGGGGCAGGTGGTTGGACTCACCCTCTCCGCCTTCTTCTTCTGTGTGGCGGTGACAGCAGAGAGAGCCCGCTCTAACTCTCCTTTACGCTGCAATGAATGTTGCAGACGGACGGCCAGATCCTTGGACTCTTCTGTAATGAGAGAGTTGAGATGGGGCCCAAAGGACTCCCCCTGAAGACCTGTCAAAGTGCCAGGTTGAAGGATGACAGGGTACCCAGATTCCCACCTTCAAAGTATCTGAGAGAACGTTTCGTGTGGTACAGGTCCGTATTTAGTTTCCCTTTCTGTATGTTCAATCTCTGGATTTGAACCTTTGGGAGAAAAGCCAAGCAAGTGCTGAAAGAGAAGGAAAGAAACATTCTCCGGAGGACAGGAGAAAACTGCACACCGTCCACTCACCTCTAGCTCCCTTTCGGCTTTCTGTTTCTCGTTGTTTGCTTTCTTTTCCTGTAGGAAGAGGAAGACAGAGATCTAACCAGGCAGAGGCAGAGATGGTACTGCAAGAGACATGTCCCCAGAATGCCACCACTGCCCCTGCCCCGGGACAGGCCCACCCATGGGACCGGGTTATCAGGGACCCTGTGGGGGATGGGGTGGACTCTGGGGGGTGAGCCTTCTTCCCCAGGCTGGGAGTGGGTGAGACGAGACTCGGGGCCTCTACATCTGAGTGTCCCCCAAACCGAGCAGTCATGTCGCGAGCAAACAAAGAAATCATGTTACTTCTTCCAGCTGATGTTCCACTTGTTTATTCTGTTGTTTCTGTGGGGAGAGTCACATTAAGGTGATGGAGGGTGGCCCCCTCAACTCTATTCCCCAGAGCAGGAAGTGGTAGGCAGGGGCCAGGAATGGATTTTAAAGGCAAAGTTCTCAGACCCAGTGGGAACTCGAACTGGTAAACTCTCCTCAAGCTCCCAAGGACAGAGGATTTGGGTCTTTGTTGGCTTTTGTCCACAGCCACAGAACTCAAGGTCTGAATCTGGAATCTCTTGACAGGACAGTAACATAAACCTCTAGAGATGGAGTTTGAGAAAGGCCCCCCCTTCTGCCAGCTTGTGATTTAGAAAAGTGCATTCATTCAATAAACATTTACTGAGCACGTACGGGCCAAGTACGGTTCTTCACAGAAGATTTAGGGCGGAAAAGGACAGACAGGAGCCTTTGGCCCTGAGGTTTCCATTCTAGGAGGCCTTTAAATCTCAGACTCGAGAGCTAACAGAGACCTTTGATACTCACTACTTCCTCTGGAAACATGAGCCCAAAAAGGAGAGGTGGCTTGTCCAGAATCAAAGAGCAAATTAGGGACTGAGTCATGGCAGAAATACGGGGCCCCTGACAACCAGTCAGGCTAGCACTTCCCCAAGAGGCAACAATCCCAGGGCGTGTGTAGCAAGGACTCGAGCAGGGGCGTCTGGAGAGGGGAGAGTCAGCAAACAGGGCAGCAAAAAAAGAGCCATGCTGCATGCTCCGGGGTCCCTCCAGGTGAGGCCTGGGCGCCCCAGCTCCCTATTCGCCCTTGGCACCAGGGGCCGCCGTCCCCTTTCTTCAGGGCCCCAAGGGGAAACTAGAGCCCAGGATTGGCAGCGTGGAATCAGGGGACCCCAGTGGACTCTTACCAAAGATTTGATGGTGTTCTTCAGTTGACTGACTTTTACGGACCTCGAGTCTGGGACTACTGCTAGTTCTTGGCACGGGCTCTGAGGCGCATGCAGAGAGGAGGAGGTGGAGGAGGAGTGGGGGGAGAGGTAGAGAGAGCAATCATTAGGGCTGGGGTGTGTGTGGACTGTCTCAGCTGGCAGAGGGGCACCCCGTCCCACCTGGAGGAGGAGGTTGGAGGGCTGGCCTGCAGGGTCACTGCACCTCTGCCCAGAGCCTCTTACCTCCAGATCCTTCAGGGTAGCAGATGATGTAGGGCTCTCCCCGTGGATACCTGTTGCTGACTACAAGAGATGAGAGTGCACATGAAGATGTTCTGTCCCACTCAGTATCTAAGCCCTCTGACTTCTTTTCTTCCCCATCAACTGGCACAATTTTCTTTTCTGCCTATCTTGGACCCTTTGTCCCATAACTCCTTTGTGCCAACTTCTCTCATGGTTCTTATCTCCCCACCACAGCACCCTGTGGCCCTTTCAGTGACTCCTGTGCCAAGTGACTGTTCTCATTGTCCTGGCTTCCCCTTGAGACTGGGGATGAGGAAAATCGAACAGCAATGACCATATCCTGGGTGTTCTGGGTGTTTACAGCAGGCCATGTACTAGGGATTAACATAAAAACAACAATAACAAATCTCATTTAAACTTCACAAATGGAAGTGAAACAATACCACCTCTATTATACAGATGTGAAAAGAGAGGCCCGATGAGGTCTAGCAACTTGCCCTAATTCATATCCCTAGCAGACAAAGAGGCAGGATTCAAACCCAGAATTCTTCACAGGTACCCAACAGTCCATCCACAATCTTAACAATTACCCTCTAGTGCCCCTTGGGTCCCCTGTCCCCAGGAACCTAGTCAGCCAAGACTCACATCTCCAGGTGAGTGGCAACCACCAGAAGTGGCTGTCTCATGGATGCTGCCATTTGTTTTCCTGTTCCTCTTGGCTCCTGCTGGAACACCAGGGCTGTTTCTCTGCCAATATTCTTTTAACTGTCAGAAACAAGAGCAGTAATACTCATGAGAACTATCAGCCCCTGCAGCCACATCCTCCTTTACAGTTTTTATAAAATACTCTTATACACCATCTGATTTAATGATACCAACAACTGTACAAGGTGTTGTCACAATCATTTAGTGACTCAAAGAGATTGATATCATGGCTAGAAAAAAAAAGAAGAAAAGAAAAAGGCGACAGACGAACTTTGAAACTCAGTCTTCTGACTCCAAACTCTGGGGTTTTACCAAGAATCAGCAGCTGCCAGGGACCAAAACCAGAGGCAGAGGTAGAAAAGTAAACATTAAGTAGGCAGGAACTGTATGCCATGTGGTTTAGTCATACATCCTCACACGTCTGTTAGTGTGAAGAAGTGCACCAGTACCTCTCAAACTCTTATATCAATGTGTCCTCATGGCAGAAGGCAGCCTTTCTGTTAAATCTGGGAATTTATCAGAAAGAGGACAACCCAAGCCTCATTTCAGAGAGAAGTCTGGTATACTCTTAGAAACCTATGTGACTGTCATCCCTAAGTACATTAATGTTTTTTCTCTTGATCTCAAGAGAATCAATGGAAACTGATGCTTCAGAAAGATGTCCCATATGTATCCTGTGGCACTCAAAGTACCCCAGGTTTACATAATATGAGGAAGATTCAAGCTGTCAAGTTCAGTTTCCCAAGATCTATTCCACAGAAGATGAGCAAATCTCACTTCACAGACCACTGGCTGAAGGGCAGTCTGGTCCCAGAACCATGGAGAATTAGAATGTGAGGTGGAGAACTCACAAAAAATTTGTTAAAATCTCTCTGGAAAGTAGAAGCCTGGGAGAAAACCAAACCAAGTCAAACCCATTCTCCAGTTGCCATCCAGAGGTACTGTCAATGTTTTGAGCTCACAGGGGAAGTGTAGGCTTTTCCCGCTGTCAATGTTTATGTTAAGGGAGTGAGGCAGCCTGAAACCTCTTGCTCCTAGGTCCCAATCTCCATTCCCCTTCCAGCTGGAAATTTGTGCTGTGACAAGAGGAACCAGAAATGGGGTGGCAATGCTTAGGGGACTGGGTCATAAGATCAAAGGCCAGTCTTGCAGTAATGACAGTTACTGGATGGACCGTGACATCACTACATTCCACTCTTCCTGGTGAGGGGGAGGGACCACATCAGCATGATGTCCGAGTCACCGCTCCATGATAGGGGAGGGAAAAACAGAGCTGGGACCCAGGTCCTTGGAGACACCAGTGCACACAGCCTAGGGAGGTCCACCTTGAGGCAGCAGGAGGGAAGGGAAGAGTCAGCAGCAGGGAGCCCCAGGATTCACCAGCCTAAAGTCACCCAGGGATGACTGGTGAGGGTGGGGTCTGGGGCTGTGGGACCCAGGTCCTTGGAGATGTGAGCCCAAAAAGCCCTGGGAGGTCAAGCTTGGGGTGGCAGGAGATGGGGGCCCAGTAAAGGAGCGGGGAGCCCCAGGATTCACCTGCCCAAAGTCACCCTGGGGTGATTGGTGAGGGCAGAGACTGGGCTGCTTGCTGAAGGGGTGGGGCTGACTGACAAAACTTTGGTGGGGGTAGCCCAGAGGCACCGGTGTGGGGGTCCCAGTCCGGTGAACCTCGGGAGTGGTATGGACTCTGGCAGCAGTCTTGTCGTTGGAGAGGATCTATGGCTGGGTTGGGGGTCCGTGACCTGGTGTGTTTTTACCTTTCTCTTGGCTGCTGCCAATTTACTTTGTCGAGTTTCTTCTGCCATCGCAGGGTGGGGAGGGAGGCGGGCTTGGGGCCACATCAGCAAAATCCCACCAAGCACTGATCAACACCTCCAGTCACCTACCAGGTAGCTGTGCGACTGAGCCAGAGGAGGCGTAACCAGGGATGCAGTAGAAGGCAGAATAGGGGCGTGGCCTTAATGCTCCAAGCCCATTGGTTAATGAGAAAGATGAAAGGGAAAGGGGGCGTGGCCAGGCATCATGTGTCCAGAGGGACCTTTGGCTCACAAGGAAAGCTGCCCAGGCAACCACTGTCCCCACCCACCCTAAGAGAGGGGAGAGGCCGCCAACTCTGGGAGAGGGGCAGGGCCGGCTTTTGCTTTAAAAGCTTTTAAAAATATATATATGTGTATACTTTATATATATGTGTGTCTGTGTGTGTGTACCTGTGTGTTCCTCCAGAGCTGTCTTCATGATCCAGCTTCTATGCAAGGTCTATGATTTTGGCCTATATTTTTCATAGAGTACAAAAATTACCAGTATTACCTTAACCGAGATACAGATCCTATGAAAATGGAAAATCCATAGCATGCTTGATGATTACTGAAGCAGACTATATTATCCAACATTCCAATAAGATAAAATAATCACAATGACTTCTCTTTTTTGGAAAAATGTTTCTCTTATTCTCCTACGTTATTGTGAAGACTTTTTTTCTTAAACAAGAAACATGTGTAATATTTGTAAAAACACAAAGCTTTTGGGCCGGGTGCAGTGGCTTATGCGTATAATTCCAGCACTTTAGGAGCCTGAGGCTGGCGGATCATGAGGTCAGGAGATTGAGACCATCCTGACTAAAAAGGTGAAACCACATCTCTACTAAAAATACAAAAAATTAGCCAGGCGTGGTGGTGGGTGCCTGTAGTCCCAGCTACTTGGGAAGCTGAGGCAGGAGAATGGCGTGAACCCAGGAGGTGGAGCTTGCAGTGAGCTCAGATCGTGCCACTGCACTCGAGCCTGGGCTACAGAGCGAGACTCCTTCTCAAAATAAATAAATAAATAAATAAATAAAACTTCTATTTCTTTCACTTTCTAATATAATTTTAATATCTCCTCCTGGGATTTCACTAAGACACATTTTGGACCTCATTCTGATCTTCCTCTCCCCTCCAAGCCCACCAACTTCTGCCCTATCATCCATCCTCATGTCTCTCTGTGTGACATGCTGACTTACTTTTTGGAGAGAATCGCCTAAACAATTAATTCTTTCTTCTCGTGTCTAATCCATCCACTAGTTTCTTATTTCAACAATTACATTTTTATTTCCTTATTTCATTTTATTCTGAGACTGAGTCTCATTCTGTCACACAGGCTGAATTGCAGTGGTACGAACCTGCAGACTCGGCCTCCTGGGCTCAAGTGATCCTCCCACCTCAGCCTCTTGAGTAGCTGGGACTATAGGCAGGTGCCCCATACCCAGCTAATACCATACCCACACAGCAGAGACATAAAAGATTTCCATCCTCAAAGAAGGTTCCATTGAACAGCACTGCTCTAATTCAATAAAAAATACCACTGAGCACAACATAGTAATAGAAAAGATTGAAGAGGCAGTGCTGATACTTAAAAACCTGGTATTTTCAGCCAGGCATGGTGGCTCATGCCTGTAATCCTGGCACTTTGGGAGGCTGAGGTGGGAAGATCGCTTAAGCCCAGGAGTTCTAGACCAGCTTGGGCAACATGGTGAAACCCTGTCTCTACAAAAAATACAAAAAATTAGCTGGGCATGGTGGCATGTGCCTGTAGTCCCAGCTACTTGGGAGGCTGAGGTGGGAGATCACCCGAGCCTGGGAGGTCAAGGCTGCAATGAGGTGAGATGGCACCACCACACTCCAGCCTGGGTGACAGAGTGAGACCCTGTCTCAAAAACAAAAAACAAAAAACAAAACAAAAACACCTGATATTTATTTTTAAGTACACTATTTTCAAACATTCAGAAGTTATTTCATCCTACCTTCATGGTTTCCATTCTATGCCTGGTTTAGAATTGGGATCTGATAAAATAAACGTGTTCAACAGAACCACTTCTCATGGCTGTATAACAGATGATCAATATGTATTTGCTGAGGAAATTATACAATTTTCTTAATTTTTTTTAACAAAAATTGTGGTTTCAAGGGACCAAACTTGAATACTACACCTTCATGTTCTAAGAATCAGGGGACTTATATAAAACCTCAGTTGCCTGATAAGGACTACATCAAAGTGAAAAGCCATGGGAAAGAACTAGAAAGTATACTTTTGACCCTAGTTCTGTAAAGTTTCCTTATGCCACAGGTAATACACATCGCAATTCCTGCCAAATTCTTTCCCTCACCTCTGTTTATGGTCTCGATTCCATAAATAGGAGAAGGGCATGAATTTGCTTTAGTTAGATAGACAGATAGATGGATAGAGAGATAGATGGATGGATGGATGGATGGATAGATAGATAGACAGAGATAAAGACAGAGACAAAGATGGAGACAGAGATGGACATAGAGACAGATTTGCAGAAGATAAGTTCTAGGTGAACTAGTGTCAACATTAAAGTGGTATGCCTACATCTAACTATTCTGGAGAGAAAAACATACCTCAAAGAAATTGACTTAAATATATACAGAGAAAAAGTTTAAGCTGAAAGCTACTGCCTTTTTATATGAGACACTTTAGGAAATTACTTGGGGGGCAAGAGAGAAAATGGGTGGACATAGCTCAGAGGTTACACAGTAGCAGATATGTAGGATGAACAAGCCTAGAAATATAATGTACAACGCGAGAAATATAGGTAATAAAATTGTGCTGTATTTGGGATTCACGCTAAATGAGACTTTAAGCTCCTCTTGCCACCAAACAAAAAGAAAACGGGTAACTATCTGAGTTGAAGGATACGTTAATTTGCTTCACTGTAGTAATTTTTTTTAACCATCTATATGCATCCCATAAAATCATGTTGTATACCTTAAATACACAGAATACAATTTATTTAACATAAAAAACTACTCCAATATTTTCTGCATTTTTAATATGCTCACCCAAAGAAAGCATTAATTTGCATCTTTGATGTTAAACAGATAGCCTAATCAAGTCACTATCAAGATCAAGACTAAAAGTTACAGCTTTTTTCTTTTGATGCCTTTCAGATATATCTATTTATATATAAAAATATATATACACACACACATACATACACACACACACACACACATATATATGTAGTTATGTGTGTGTGTATATATAGTTACAGTTTTGGCCAGGTGCAATGGCTGACACCTGTAATCTCAGCCCTTTGGGAGACCAAGGCTGAAGGCTTGCTTGAGGCCAGGAGTTTGAGACCAGCCTGGGCAACGAAGCAAGACCCTATCTCTACAATTTTTTTTTTTTAACAAAATTAGCCAGGGATGATGGCATGCACTTGTAGTCCCAGATACTTGGGAGGCTGAGGCGGAGGATCCCTTGAGCCCAGGAGTTCAAAGCTGCAATGGGCTGTTACTGTGCCACTGGATCCCAGTCTGAGCAACAGAGCAAGACTTTGTCTCAAAAACAAAATTTATAATTAAAGATAAATAGTTATAGTTTTATGAACCTTGACTGCAACTGAGGGAAAATCCCGTAATTGGCAAAATGAATTCTGCCTGCTTGCAAAACTTCTGACTAATACGGAATGAATAATAGGAAGCCCATATTAGAGGATCCACATCAGTTAAAAAGTTTCCAAATAAGAGTGACTCTGAGTTCTGCAGAGTGAAAAGATTGGGTTCAAACCAAACACTTGCAAGATCTTGAGTAAGATACTTAATCCCTCTGTGACTCACTGTTCTCAAATGTAAGTGAAGATAATTTGTAACTCAAAAAAAATGAAAAAGTTTTCTCTAAGATTGCAAATCCTAAGGATAATTTCATTTTAATATCAGTTATTTAGTCTGGATACACCATAATGCAGACTAATTTTCCCTCTGCTTAAAGACCACACAAAAACATTACCAATAAAATTTACTTGTGTATCAACTTTTACTCCTGAGACTTCATCGTTTGTTTGGTTAAAAAAAAAAAAAAAAAAAAAAAGCGCACTAGACCGGGCACAGTGGCCCATGTCTGTGATCTCACTTACGGAGGCCAAGGCAGGTGGATGAGTTTGAGAACAACCTGGGCAACATGGAAAAACCCCGTCTCTACAAAAAAAAAATATAAAAATTAGTCAGGTGTGGTGGCACATAACTGTGGTCCCAGCTACTCCAGAGAGTGAGGCGGGAGGATTGCTTGAGCCCACGCAGAGGTTGCAGTGAACCAAGATGGCACCACTGCACTCCAGCCTGGGTGACAGAGCAAGACCCTGTCTCAAAAAAAAAAAAAAATCACTATAAAATTGAAATTCACAACAAAATGTGCATACTTAACCTTCTTTTTATTTATTTATTTATTTTTAATATTTTGAGACAACATCTTGCTATGTTGCCTAGGCTGGTCTTGAACTCCTGGGTTCAAACCATCCTCCAGTCTTGACTTCCCAAGTACTGGGACTACAGGTGTGAGCCACCAGCCCCGCCAGCCCTGTTACACTATTCTTGGCCCCTCAAGTGACTGTATGAATTTTAGGATCAGCCTCTCGAGTTCCACAAAAAAATTCTATTGGGATTTGTGTAGGAATTTCTTGAATTTATAGATTAATTTGTTGAGAAGTAGTATGTTTATAGCATTGAGTCCTACGATTCATAATATATATGGCATGTATTTCAGTTTAGTCAGTTCTTCCTTTAAGTCCCTGGGTAATTTTTATATTTGTCTTAGTCCCTTCATAGTGCTATAACAAAACACCTGAGACTGGGTAATTTACACAGAGCAGAAGTTTATTTTCTCAGTTCTGGAGGTTGGGAAGAACAAGATCAAGACTCCAGCAGACACAGTGTCTAGTGAGGGCCTGGTCTCTGCTTCCAAGATGGTACGTTGAATGCTGCTTCCTCTGGAGCAGGCAAATGCTATGTTCTCATGAGGCAGAAGGGACAGATTTACCACCACCCACAAGCCCTTTTATAAGGAAGGCACTAATCTCATGCATGAGGGCTCACCCTATGTCTTAATCACTTCTTAAAGGCCCCACTTCTTAGTACTATCATCTTGGGAATTAAGTTTTAATACATGAATTTTGGGAGACACATTCAGGCTATGGCAATACTCTTCATGAAAGGCCTTGTGTATACTTTGCTAGATATATTCTCAGGGTTTTGTTGCTATTGTGAATAGAATCTCTTTTTTTTTTTTTTTTTTGCCACGGAGTCTGGCTCCTTTGCTCAGGCTGGAGTGCAGTGGCGCGATCTCGGCTCACTTCAAGCTCCGCCCCTCCAGGTTTAAGCAGCCTGTTGCCCAGGCTGCAATGCAGTAGCATAGTCATAGTTCAATACAGCCTCAAACTCCTGGGCCCAAATGATTCTCTAAGCTAATATTTTTAATTTTTTAGAGATGGAGTTTCATTCAAGGATCACTAAAGGCCAGTGATCCTCCCGCCTCAGCTTCTGAAATTGCTGGGATTACAGGTGTGATTGAGCCATGGAGCCTGGCCAGACATGGGCTATTGATTCTCGCTGTTACTCTTTTCCCTTTCCTTCTAATCCTTGTATTGGGAAGAAAACAGTATGGAAATTTTATTTCTTCATTTTATTGATACGTAGATCTCTGCTTAGAAGACAATTTTAGTTTTAAATTATAAATGTTTTGTTCATTATTCATAGAAAACTAGATTTGCCATGGGATATTTATAAGTGTTGCACGAATGAAGGGTTTTCTAGTCAAATAAGTTGAAACACATTACGTTAAACAAACTTGGACAGTTTTGTTTCTGGTCAATTTTAGAGTTCTAAATTATGATTCTACTCAAGAGGATATTGTATGCGGTATTTTCAAACCAACTCATCCTGCGTCAGGTTGTGGTTACACTTTGGGAGAGGAAGCTATAATCTTATACTGGGACTGTAATGAATGTATTAAAGTAATTTTCGTAGCTTTCTCTTTTTGGAGTTACCTGAGAAATTATGACACCCTTTTCCAAACAGGCCAAGCTGCTTTGCAAACACGATTTCCATAATTTTAACAATGGTGAGGCCAGGCACGGTGGCTCATACCTGTAATTCCTTCCAGCACTTTGGGAAGCCTAGGCAGGAGGATCACTTAAGCCAGGAGTTCAATACCAGCCTGGGCAACATGGCAAAAACTCATCTCTACAAAAAATACAAATATTAGCCAGGCGTGGTGGCACACACCTATAGTCTCAGCTACTCAGAGGTTGAGGTGGGAAAATTGCTTCAGCTCAGGAGCTCGAGGCTGCAGTGAACGGTGATCACGCCACTGCACTCCAGCCTGGGTGACAGAGCAAGACCCTGTCTCAAAAACAAACAAAACAAAACACAAACCAAGGGTGAGAGAGATGTTAGATGTTTTTGTCCTTGTTACAGATGTAAATGCTCAGTTGGAAAGAGGGAAGTATTTAGAGTGAAAAACTTTCGGTGGAACACACACAAAAATAGGAAGATCAGGTATAACTGTTCCAAAAAAAAGAGTATGGCAGTATAGAAGAAAAGGTCTCCATGAAAATGCAGAAGAACAATTTCACAGCTGGTGCTGGCATTTCAGAGACCTTGAGCTGGGAATCAAAAGATGGGAATTTCAGTCTCGGATGTGCCACTCCTTAGAGGTTTAATATCTACTAAACCCGGCGGGCTCCACTTGGTGGTGTTTGCTATTTAAAAAAACAAAAACATGTGGCAATGATCTTCCACGTGATTCTGACTTGAGCCCCACCCGAGTCTGCAGACTTACCCTTCCACTGCTTTGCCCTTCAAGTTTGTGCCCATTAGCAAAGAGAAATTTTCTCTTTGGGATCACTGCTGTGTTGATCTCAGGAATATTTGGCGTTGAATTTAACATATTTTTCATATGTGTGTGCAATAGGGAGGCTGAGAAACTTGTCTTTTTTTTAAGGTGTTCATTTTTGGGGTACAGGTAGCAGCCTGCTCTACAATCCACACAGAAGCTGGAAATAGCCTCTAGAGAATTTCCACTTTTAGAGAAGATAAATTTATACATTTGTATCTAATCAACATTTTTTAGCTAACATAGTAGTCTAATTATACTATGTATAATTATGGGTACTGAAATGACACCTGGCATATGCTGTATGCTGTGTTATATATACATATATATTTACACATATACATATATATTACACATATACATATATATTTACACACATATATTTACACATATACATATATTTACATATTTTACATTTACATTTTACATTTATTTTACATTTTACATTTATTTTACATTTTACATTTATTTTACATTTTACATTTACATTTGACATTCTACATTTATTTTACATTTACATATTTTACATTTACAAATATTTACATATTTTACATTTATATATATACATATATTTACATACATATATTTACATACATATTTTTCCATACATATTTACATGTGTATATATTTACATACATTCACATACATATTTACATATATACTTACATACATACATATTTACATAATATTTACATACACATATTAC
Organism: Homo sapiens; assembly: GCF_000001405.40. NCBI lineage: Eukaryota > Metazoa > Chordata > Mammalia > Primates > Hominidae > Homo > Homo sapiens. The sequence continues at coordinate 618,378 of NT_187660.1, read as the reverse complement.
ATACATATATGTACACATATACATATATTTACACATATACATATACTATGTATAATTATACTATGTATAATCATGGGTACTGAAATGACACCTGGCATATGCTGTATTTAAAAATGTGAGGTTCAGTGAGAACACATGGACACAGGAAGGGAAACAACACATACTGGGGCCTGTCAGGGCGGGTGGGGGAGGAGCATCAGGAAAAATAGCTAATGCGTGCTGGGCTTAACACTGAGGTGATGAGTTGATAGGTGGACCAAACCACCATGGCACACGTTTCCCTACGTAACACTCCTGCACATGTACCCTAGAACTTAAAACAAAATTTTAAAAATAATAAAAAATAAAAATTTGAAATTCAGCACATGAACTGTTGGTTTTATTATTCATATTTTCTTAATTCAGAAATTATTTTCTGAACTATGGTTTATTCGATAATTTTGACGTAACAATTTTTTAAGAGGAAATTTAAGTTTTACTTTTTAATTGGGGCTCTTGGTTCTTTTTAAGAAAGACAGAGATAAATCATTTATACATTTAATTAGAAGAGACTGGGCTTGAATTTTTAAAAAGTACTAGAAATCGTAGCCACTATATATGTTATCTTTGAAATGTTTTAGACACTAATTACCTAAACAAGGAGCAAATAAGTTAAACCTCTTGGATTTTAATAAGAGCTAAAATGTACAGTTGTATTTTCTGGTTTTTTAAATTGTTACAGTCTAAATTTATTCTTCCTAATGAAGAAATGTATGTGCCGTCAATATCAGGTTCTTTGTGGGTACTCACAGTTCCCTTTGCCTTTTACGCAGTGAATGTGGGCAACATGCGTGGAACAGAAATGATGTCGTTTTCTTTCTTTTGAATATCACTATGAATCTAATAATTCAAAGATTCCTAACTTTCTGAATGCCATTATTAATTGGATTCACAATGACTTACCAGGTACAGAGTTGTCCAGTGTGTCTTGGGGTGAACTACTGAGAGTGGTATGAGGGAAGCGATTCTCAGCTAGCACTGAGTGGGGCCACTTCCAAAGAGGTGATGGGGTAAGAAGCACACACAATGTGGCATTTTCACTGCAAAGGGAGGTTTGTGCTGCCTCTCCTCCTGTGGCAGGTCTGCTCGCAGGGGAGGCTCCAAAGTTTGGCTTTGCTGGGTTTGGCATGTGAGAACTGATGAAATATCTGTATGTAGTATCTTTCAAGGATTTATATCGGTTGGATTTCTGTGTAAATTTGCATATCCCTTTGACTGCTTTACCCTATAGAAGCTTTGTATGCTTAACAAAATCTGTAACTTTTCTGTCACTTTCTCATTTAGCATCTGCCTTTCTGGCTTTTTACTTTATCTTTTTATTATTGTTTTTAGTTTAATGAGATTATGGTTAGAGAGAAAGATGGATGCATGATTCCGCTTCTTTGGAATTTGTTGAGATTTTCCTTATGGCTCAGTACATATGTACTTGGGGGGGGTGAATGCTGTCACTTTGGAGAGATATGTTTTTTCTCTACATTAGGTCAAGCTTGTTAATTTTCTAGAGAGATGTAAATCTTCTATGTCTATGCTGATTGTTTTTTGTCTCTTTTATCAGATACTGAGATATGTATTTAAATTGCCCTCTGAGGGTTGCAATTTTGTCATATTTTGCTTTCATGTATTTTGAGTGCTAGTTATTAGATACATTAACATTTTAGATTACCTTCTCCCTTGGTTTATTAGAATTTTTATCATCATATTGTGACCTTAAAAAATCTCCCATATTGCTTTTTGCCCAAAGCCTATTTTATCTGATAATAATATAGCTTCCAACCCTTCTTTGGGTTAGGTACATATGACATGTGTATCTTTTTTCAATCTCTCTCAGTCTTTCTGTGACTTTATGTTTTAGATGTCTTTTCATACTGTTTATTTTCTGTTTTTTGTGTTTTTTTTGTGTGTTTTTTTTTTTTGATACGGAGTCTTGCTCTGTTGCCCAGGCTGGAGTGTAATGGTGTGATCTCGGCACTGCAACCTCTGCCTCCTGGATTCAAGCGATTCTCCTGCCTCAGCCTCCTGAGTAACTGGGATTACAGATGTTCACCACCACGCCGGCTAATTTTTGTATTAGCAGAGATGGGGTTTCACCATGTTGGTCAGGCTGCTCTCGAACTCCTGACCTTGTGATCCCTCCGCCTGCCTCATCCTCCCAAAGTGCTGGGATTACAGGCATGAGCCACCACGCGTGCCCTAATTCTGTTTTATAGTCATTTTCTCTTAATTATTCAGTCTATTTACATTTATTGTGATTGTTGGCATAGTTTCTTTTATAACTTTCATCGTATTTTGTGCTATTTGTTCCATCTGTTTTTATTTCTTCATGTCTTTTTTGTCTCGTTTTTGCTAATTCCTTTTATATTCATGGTTATTCTGCTCTTGAAATGTATGCTATGTGAATATATTTGTGAGTTGACAATACTTTATTAGCAATTAAATATACTATTTCTCTTTTTTTTTAGAACTTGCTCAAATGTTACATAACCTCAATATCCTTAGTATCTAAATTAAACTGACTTTCTGAACAATCATCATTTTAAGGCAGTTACCACGATCTACTAAAAAATAAAAAAAAATTAGCCAGGTGTGGTGGTGGGCGCCTGTAATCCCAGCTACTCAGGAGGCTGAGGCAGGAGAATCCCTTGACCCTGGGAGGCAGAGGCTGCAGTGAGCCGAGATAGCGCCACTGCACTCCAGCCTGGGCAACAGAGAGACTCCGTCTCAAAAAAAATAATAATAATAATAATAATAAAGGAATTTAAAAAAAGACTGGGTTTAACCATGTTGCCCAGGCCGGTCTGGAACTCCTAGGCTCAAGCAATCCCCCACGCTTGGCCAGTCCAAAGTCCTGGAATCAAAAGCGTGAGCCACCACGCCAGGCCGATCACGCCTGTCATCCCAGCACTTGGGGAGGCGGAGGTGGGTGGATCACCGGAGGTCAGGAATTTGAGACCAGCCTGGCCAACATGATGAAAACCCGTCTCTACTAAAAATACAAAAAAAAAAAATTAGCCGGGTGTGGCGGCAGGTGCCTGTAATCCCAGCTACTCAGGAGGCTGAGGCAGGAGAACCACCAAAACCCGGGATGCAGAATTCGCCGCGAGCGGAGACCCAGCCACTGCACTCCAGCCTGGGCAACAAGAGGGAAACTCCGCCTCAAAAAAAAATAATAATAATAATAAGAGACAGATTTTCACCATGTTGCCCAGGCAGGTCTGGAACTCTTAGGCTCAAGCAATTCCCCACGCTCGGTTGTCCAAAGTCCTGGGATCAAAAGCGTGAGCCACCACGCCAGGCCGATCTATTTCTTTCTGATTAATAAATTGGGCCAGGAGCGGTGGCTCACGCCTGCAGTCCCAGCACCCCGGGAGGCCGTGGTGGGCGGATCACCTGAGGTCGGGAGTTTGAGACCAGCCTGACCAACATGGAGAGACCTGTCTCTACCAGAAAAAAAAAAAAAAAAAAAAAAAAAAAAGAGCCGGGCATGGTGGCTCCCGCCTGCAATCCCAGTCACTCGGAGGCTGAGGCAGGAGAACCACCCAAACCCAGAGGCAGAGGCCGCGGGGAGCCGACACCGCACCACTGCACTCCAGCCCTGCAACAAGAGGGAAACTACGCCTCAAAAAAAAAAAGAGAGAGAGAGAGACCGGTTTTCACCATGTTGCCCAGGCTGGTCTAGAACTCCTAGGATCAAGGGATCCGCCACGCTCGGCCCGTCCAAACTCCTGGGATCAAAAGCGTGAGCCACCACGCCAGGCCGATCCTTCCTGTCATCCCAGCACTTTGGGAGGCCGAGGTGGGTTTACCTGAGGTCCGGAGTTCGAGACCAGCCTGGCCAACATGATGAAAACCCATCTCTACTAAAAATACAAAAAAAAAAAAAAAAAATTAGATGGGTGTGCTAGCGGGCGCCTGTAATCTCAGCTACTCAGGCGGCTGAGGCAGGAGAATCGCTTGAACCTGGGAGGCAGAGGTTGCAGTGAGCCGAGACAGCGCACCACTGCACTCCAGCCTGGGTGACAAAGTGAGACTCCGTCTCAAAAGTATATATATATAAAAATAAAAAATGAAATAAAAATAAATTGGGTGTGTGCGCTGGCTCACGCCTGCAATTCCAGCATCCCCGGAGGCCGAGGTGGGCGGATAACCTGAGGTCTGGAGTTTGAGATCAGCTTGCCCAGCATGGAGAAACCCCGTCTCTACCAAAAACAAATAAAAAAAAATTAGCAGAGCAATGTTGGTCAGGCCTGCAATCCCAGCCACTCCGGAGACTGAGGCAGGAGAACTACTAAAACCCTGGAGGCAGAAGTCGCTGTGAGCGGAGACCCAGCCACTGCACTCCACCCTGGGCAACAAGAGCGAAACTCCACCTCATAAAAAAAAAGAGAGAGAGAGAGAGAGAGACCGGGTTTCACCATGTTGCCCAGGCAGGTCTGGAACTCCTAGGCTCAAGGGATACCCCGCGCTGGGCCATCCAAAGTACTGGGATCACAAGCGTGAGCCACCACACCAGGACGATCTATTCCTTTCTGATTAACAAATTGGGCCGGGAGCGGTGGCTCAAGCCTGCAATCCTAGCACCTCAGGAGGCCTAGGCAGGTGGATCACCTGAGGTCGGGAGTTTCAGACCAGCCTGACCAACAGGGAGAAACCCCATCTGTACCAAAATAAAAATAAAAAAAAAAATACAAAATTAGCCGGGCTTGGTGGCTTATGCCTGCAATCCCAGCCACTCTGGAGGCTGATGCAGGACAACGACCGAAACCCGGGAGGCGGAAGTCGCGGCAAGCAGAGACCCAGCCACTGCATTCCAGCCTGGGCAACAAGAGCGAAACTCCGTCTCAAAACAACACAAAACAAAAAGACCAGGTTTCACCATGTTGCCCAGGCCTGTCTGGAACTCCAAGGCACAAGCGATCCACCCTACTTGGCCGTCCAAAGTCCTGGGATCACAAGAGTGAGCCACCACGCCAGGCAGATCAAAGCGTTGAGCTGAATAAAGAGTTATCTTTTAGCATTTTGTGGAGCCCGGGTAGATCTGTGCAGGGGGAAGCATATTACAGAAGCGAGAAACAGAGGGTTATTTAATTGAAGCACGCATTATGTTTTTTTTTTTTTTACGTTTTTAGGAAAAATATGTTTTGTGACTTGCATTTGTTTGTTTAGTGACCTTGCAGTTGCACAGTTAGGGAATTAGGGTTTTGATAATGCCTGGGAAGGGAGCGATAAGGCTCACTAGCCATAGGAAAACAGGTAGTTTTTTTAAAGGACTAAGGCTCTTTCTCATTCTCAGGGGGAATTGGGTTTTTTTTACATACAGCTGAGTTTTTGCTTACACATTTTTTCATTTCTTTTAATTCCTGTTCCAATGCCAGCATCCTTGCGGTGCGGTTTCCCAGCGGCTCTCTTGCCTTGCAGCTTGTGTCGGGAGTTGCAGACAGCCATGGCCCATGGGCCTGGCGCTGACGGACCCCGGAGCGGTGTCTGAGGGAGGTGGGCAAAGCCACTGGCTGGCCCGAGTGCATCCTCACGTAAGTGCACAGATCCCGGGCTCGGGTGCGACTGCGGTCGCACGTGGACACGGGTTGCAGACCCCTGGCAAATTGTGGAGCTGGGGGAAGGTAAGGGGAAATGTAAATCACTTTTCCCCACATTTCAGAGGACCTAGGCTATCAAAATTTTAAAAATTGTTAAAACTTTTACAGTATGGATCTCTCAGTTGAATGTTATTGAAATCAACCTAACCTCAGTTATTCACGCCTATAAGCTCCCCTTGAGGCTTATTACGGCCCCCATCCCCCTACACACAACTGTGTTGGTTTCTCCTTCCGCCTGTGCTCCTAAAGCACTCAGTGTTTACCTGCCATCATACTTTATTGAAAGCACAAACTTGTCACTTGTCTGTCTACCCCACTAAGCTTCTTGAGAATTAGAACTTTCATGTCTCTTCCCAACACAAACGTTTTATGTGTATTTTGTTGAAGAACTTCAAATATGACCTATAAAATTATGACTCATTTATGTTTCAAACTCCAACCTCTCCCTTGAGTTCCTTGCTCACAAGCAACTCCAGACTGAGCTTAGTTGGAATTCAGTAGCGCACAACTGGGATATCTGCACCGTACGGCTTTTAACAATTTTTTAAATTTTGGTCCTCTCAGCATCACAAATTCACTGTGTCCAAAATACAGTAGAATGTTGTTTCTACCCACCTACACTCTGCCATCCGCTGAAGTCCTTTCCCCTTGCTCCACCACTCAAGCCTTGCCTATCACAGTAAATGGCAGTTCTGTCTCTCCAGTTGCTCGCACATAAAACTAGGCTGCTATTTTGATGTCTTCACTTTTCTCTATTCTGTATCTAATTCCTTAGCAATCCTGTCAGTTCTACCTCCAAACTGTACTCAGCATATTCACTGCTCTAACTCCAGCTTAAATCACCATCATCCTTTGCCTGGAATGCTGCATCAACCTTCTAATCACTCTACTTTCCTCCTCCTCCTTCCTCCCTTTCTTCTTCCTTCGTATAAATCATCATTTCATCCTTCTGCTTAAAATCTTCTCACATTTTCTTATTACACTTAAAACGGCAAACTCTTACCCTTGAGCCCTGCAGAATTTGGCTCCCATCAGTCTCTCCAACTTCACCTTCTGCCTCCTTCACGCTATAGCCATGCTCACTTTTTTATTCCTCAGGCTTACCAAGCTCAATTGCATCTTAGAGAATTTGTTCTTGCTGTTTCTTCCGCCTGGAATACATGTTTCCCAATCTTTATAAGACTATACTTGTCTGTAAGTTTCATCTCAGATGTCACATCTAGGAGAGGTTTTCCTTGACCACTGTAGCCAAAGCAAATGTTGATCATTGAGTGAATAAGGGAATGAATGAATGGAGTGGTATATAATGTAGCAGAGTAGATAATTTAAGGCTAATTCACTATATATCTCCAAGCAAATAGATTTGTAATGCTTTTCCTGCCAACAATCTATACAGCTGATTCACAAATACTTGGTTGACAGGTTTTATATATCATTGTGGCTCATCAGCTTATATATTGTTGGGGCCAGAATCTATACTTACACTTTATTCAAATTTGATTTTACAGAAGAGTTGAGGTTTTTATTTTTCTTTTAATTAAGAGGGCTGTGAAATTATTATCTATAATTCTAAATCTCATTTAATTCCTCCCAATAGGTTTCAAGATGGATTGGAACCAAAGTTCACTTCTTTAACAAAAGTGCTTTATGACTTTAATAAAACAGTAGAGAATGGTAGAATCCATGGCAGCTCTTTACAAAAACTTGTGATAGAAAGTTTTGATGATGAGCAGACTTTGCAACAACTGGAATTGCAAAATGAAGCAATTTTACCGTGCTTCCAGAATGCGGTTAGTGAAAGAAAGATGAAGATATCAGTCTTCTCCCAGAGAGTGAAGAACAGGAGCATGAAGAGGCTGGTTCAGAAACAGAGGCTGATGGCCAGGAGGACCTAGAAGATTTAGAGGAGGAGGAGGACGTGTCAGATATGGGTGGTGACAATCCTGAAATGGGTGAGAGAGCTAAAAACTCAAGCAAATTCAGGGCCAGGCGCGGTGGCTCACGCCTGTAATCCCAGCACTTTGGGAGGCCGAGGCAGGCGGATCACGAGGTCAGGAGATCGAGACCATCCTGGCTAACAAGGTGAAACCCCATCTCTACTAAACATACAAAAAATTAGCCAGGCGTGGTGGCAGGTGCCTGTAGTCCCAGCTACTCGGGAGGCTGAGGCAGGAGAATGCCATGAACCCGGGAGGTGGAGCTTGCAGTGAGCCTAGATCACGCCACTGCAGTCCAGCTGGGCGGCAGAGTGAGAGACTGCATCTCAAAAACAAAAACAACAATTACTTAACTTTAGGATGCTCCAATAATCAAAACTGATAGTGGCTTGTGAACAGATAGATTACTTGAATAGAATAGAGCCCAGAAATAAACCCAAATGCTTCTGGGGGAGTTTGGCACATTATAAACATGAGATTTTAAATCAATGAGGAAAAGAAATCATTTGCAGCTCACCCCACCATACACAGCAGGAATAGGAAGTCATTGGCAGAATAAAAAGATGGTAAGAACAGAACAGAATTGTAGAACAGTACATTTCTTGCTTCCCCACTTTTCAAAGTATTTTTTGCTTTTTCACAAATGTAAGTGTAATTTTATTTTCTAAATGTATACTAATTCTTTTCTTCTCTTTCTTAGATGAATGACAAAAATTACATCTTTAGAAAAAGAGTTGTTAGAAAAAAGCCTTGGCTGCATGTGGGGGAAGTGACAGCACAGAAGAGACCAGAGAAGAGCCTCCTGGAGGAGAGCCTGCACTTTGACCATGCTGTCCGGATGGGTGCAGTGCTCTTTTCTGCAAAGTGTTCACTTCTCTGCTTTTTCTATGGTCCCATTTCATAGAAAGATTTGGGGTGATGTTTCTTTCCCTCAACTTTTATTTTGAAAACTTGCAAACACAGAAAAGTTGATAAAATCATACAGTGAACATCTGTATGCTATTCAACTGGATTCACTAGTTAATGTTTTGTCACACTTGTTTTCTGTCTTCTGCGTATGGAAGATTGTATATGTGCCCTTTTTCCCTCTGAATCATTTCAAAGTAAGTTGGCAGTATCAGAGCATTTCACTGTTAAGTACTTTCGCAGATATCTTCTAGGAACCAGGACTTCTCCTATATAATCACAATACCATTAATCCACCCCCAAAATTTAACATCAATACACTAATGATACCTACTGTATAGATTATAATCAGCTTCCTTGCAGCAATCTGTTTAGAAGGCTTGCATCCTGTCACTGTCCACTGATTAAATTTTGAACTCTAACTTGAAACCCTGGTCATCTCATTGCCTTCTTTCTTATACCCATTAAGTCAAAAGGAGCTCTCATTTTATTTCAACAGAAAAGAGAATGGAAAAGAGGGGAAGAGTCCCTAGTACCTTGGATAAAGTATGAGCACTTACTACCATATGTATTCTAGTTCTGTAGTTTTCAAACTTCAGGGAGCATCTCAAGGCTTATTAAAGCACAGATAGCTGTCCTTCCCCACTTTCTGATTCAGGAGGTGTGGGGCTGGCCCAGGAATTTGCATGTCTAACAAGTTCCCACGTGTTTCTGATGCTGAGGGTCTAAGGACTACAATGCATGAATCCGTGGTTTAGTGGATATCCACCTAATGAATACATGTTGTATTTCCTTTGGCACCCGTGATTACAGAGGAAACACCTTTCAACTGGAAGGTATCATTAAACAGAGGATAAGAGATCAGGTCAGTAAGAATTAAATTTCACTTAATTGAAATGTCCCTCAAATGTTAGAAATAATATGACAGGCCAGGCACAGTGGCTCATGCCTGTAATCCCAGCACTTTGGGAGGCCAAGGCAGACGGATCACTTGAGGTCAGGAGTTCGAGACCAGCCTGTCCAAGATGGTAAAACTTCCTCTCTACTAAAAATACAAAAATTAGCTGGGCATGGTGGTGCATGCCTATAGTCCCAGGTACTCGGGAAGCTGAGGCAGGGGAATCGCTTGATCTCGGGATATGGAGGTTGCAGTGAGCTGAGATGCACCACCGCACTCCAGCCTGGGCAACAGAGTGAGACTCCATCTCAACATAAATAAATAAATAAATAAATAAGATAAAAATAAAAATAAAGGGAAGATGGGGCAGCTTTGTGTATTGCATGTCCTGAAAATGGGCTGATTTCTCTCAAGAGGCAGGGATTTAAGCTCTGTAGCCTATGTGGGATACATACAGGAGAAAAAAGAAGAAAAAGAAAAGAAATGTAAATATAAATAAATGAAAATAACACTTTTCCATGATTATAAAGGAAATCACATTGTTTTTGTAATAATTTGGATGACAAAATGTAAAGAAAAATCTTTAATTTTGCCACTCAAAACATTCCGGTTTGTTGCTTTTCACACTTTTTATGCTGTAAACATTTTAAAAAGTAGAATCACAATACATGGTCTTTTGTCACTTACTATATTTTAAGCATGTTTCTATGGAGAAATATACCCTGGCATCATCACTTTCAACAGCTGGATGTATGTTAAGTGAATCATTGCCACCCCAGAGGTGGATTTCCTTCTATATATATTTTAATGGACTCGAGTGAGGATTTTTGCACTGAATTCATAGAAGTAGAATTTCTAGAAGAAAATAATATAAAACCGTTTTAGGATTTTTAAAAGAAATGTTCAAATCATCCTATAGGAAAATTGGTTGAGTTTATGCTCCCACCAACAGGGACAGAGCTCCAGGTTCCCCCTTCCATTTGTCGTCTTCGCTGGTCTTTAAGCAGAAAATCTCATTGTTTTCATTACCTTTCTTTGATTTCTAGTGCTTTTGAATCTTTTTCATTTGCTCATTGGCCATTTTTATTCTTGTGGGAAGTGCTGGTTTCTCCATTGCCCATTTTCTGCTGCAAATCATTCATTTTTTTTTCTGAGTAATTTTAAAGATTTCTTTATAGGCTAAGGATACAAACCTTTAATCTGTCATTGAGGTTACAAAGATCTTCTCCCAGTAAGTAATTTGTCATTTCACTTTATTTATTTTTTGCTAGCAAAGCACCAAAGTCAAATTTCACTTAATTTTTATCCTGCTGAATGAACACATTTTAAGTTAGTGATTTTAGTGGAAACAGGAGCAGGAGAGAATGTAATAATTAGATCTCGCTCTGTCACCCCAACTGGAGTGCAGTGGCATGATCATAGCTACTGCAGCCTCAAACTTCTGGGCTCAAGTGATTTTCCCACCTCAGCCTCCCAAGTAGCTCTAGGACTACAGGTGTGTGCCGCCAAGCCCAGCTAATTTTTAAATTTTCTTTGTAGAGATATGAATTCGCTATGCTGCCCAGGCTGGTCTTTAACTCCTGACTTACCCCACCTTAGCTTGCCAATATGCTGGGAGTACGGGCGTGAACTACTGCTCCCGGCCAAGAGCTTACTTTGGTTTGCTAGCAAGGTTCTTGGTATCTTTTTATATTTGAGGCTTTCGTGCTAGTGCTGAAGTATTACACTCACCATCTGAGGTTTACAGGACTTTTGTTTTAATATTGAACCGAGGGAACTGTTTAGTTTTGCATCTTTGCAGGTATACAAAATGTGCCTACCAGGACTCTGCTTTATATCCATTGAAAAGCAAGAAGTAATACAGTAAAAGTTTGCCTGGCTACAGGCTTTGGAAGAATGGAGTATTCTGGTTTAATTCTATTAACTTGGAAGGATGAAGGTGGAAAAAATTCAAACCTTTAATTTCCTGTTGAATGCAATTTGAAAATATAGCCAATGAGTCCACTTTTCTTCTCTAGTAAGTTTGGACATTCAGATCTACTTGGTCTTTTATCATAGAACTCCTAGTGCGCCTGAGTCTTACGTTGTGAAAATCCTTTTCTAAAACTTTAGATGTAAGAGGATAGAAATGATATTGGATGAGATCAGGCTGGATGAGAACTGATACCTGTAGATATATTTTTTAGATGAAATCTCTGATTGCCACACGTTTTCTTATTGAACTCATAAAAATAAAACACACTGGCTGGAGGGTGGAAGTAGGAAGGAGATTTATGTCTTTTAATTGCATGTCATTGTTTCATATTGAGACAGAACGTATAGTATCCCTGGCTGTGGCCCTACAGAAGGAAACACATTTTTCTACCTGCTGTATGGCAGAGGTTCCTGAGCACCTGGAGGGATTATTGCAGCACGGATTGCTGGGCCCTACTGCAGAGTTTCTGATTCATTCATGTCTAGGGTGGGGCCTGAGAATTTACATTTATAAGAAGTTCCCAGGTGCTCCTGGTCCGGAGACTACATGTTTGAGAGCCACCCTTACATACTAACTGTAAATTGTAGATCTCTAGAAAAAAGCGTAGTTTGGACTGGGAGAAGAAGCACACAGGTAATGGAGCAAATCATGAAAAAGTCAACCCTTGATCCCAGGTAACAAGCAATACACAGTGACATAACACAATTCTTGGTTTTTATGATTGCAAGTCATAGCCAAGTATCGAGTGAGAAATTCAGTTTCATTTTCAGGGCTTAGAGGCCAGGTGATTCTAGAAAAATCGGATTTAGTGATTAACTCATGAGAGTAGGAGTTATTTATGTCCTTTTTCTCTCCCCCATCACTTAGCATTTAGCCTTACTTTAGAAGGGTCCTGTATTTGCTTTAACCTTGTAAAGAACTTTGAGTGCTTATTAAATGGAAAGCCTTGTGTGTGTGTGTGTGTGTGTGTGTCTGTGCGTGTGTGTGTGTGTGTGTGTATTTAGAGACAGAGTCACATTCTGTAGCAGCCCAGGCTGAAGTGCAGTGGCATGATTTTGGCTCACTGCAACCTCTGCCTCACAGGTTCAAGGGATTCTCCTGCCTCAGCCTCCCAAGTAGCTAGGATTACAGGCACCTGCCACCATGCCCAGCTACTTTTGTATTTTTAGTAGAGACAGGATTTCATCATGTTGGCCAGGCTGGTCTTGAACTCCTGAATTCGGGTGATCCACCCGCCCCAGCCTCCCAAAGTGCTGGGATTACAGGCATGAGCCATCATGCCTGGCTCAAAGCTTTGTATTTTTAAAGATATTAGACATGTTTCTTGTTTGTTTGTTTTTTTAAAAAAAACTAAACGCTAATGTAGGAGAATAAGAGAAAGTTTTTCCAAAAAAGAGAAAACATTGTGATTATCTTATTGGAATGTTGGATAATAAAGTCTGCTTTATCAATCATCAAGCACACTATAAAATTTCCATTTTAATAGGACTTGTACCTCAATTGAGGTAATAAAGTTTTAAAGTTTTTAAAGTGAAAGCCAGCCCCGCCCCTCTCCTGGAGTGGGCGGGGACAGCGGTTGCATAGGCAGCTTTCCTTGTGACAACACAGGTCCTTGATGACACGCTGCTGTCTGGCCACACCTCCTTTTCCTTTCATCTTTCTCATTGACCAATGGGCTTCAAGCATGAAGGCCACACCCCTATTCTGCATTCTAGTGCAGCCCTGGTTACGCCTCCTCTGGCTCAGTCACACAGCGACGTAGAGGTGACTGGAGGTATATACTTGTCCTCACCTGGATCATGCTGATGTGGCCCCAACCCCACCTCCCTACCCATCCCCACCTCCCTACCCATCCCCACCTCCCTACCCATCCCCACCTCCCTACCCATCCTATGATGTCCAAAGAAACCAGACAGAGCAAATTGGCCGAGGCCAAGGAACAGGTAAACGCACCAACACCCCAACCCAACCCGAGGCCCCCTCTGACAGCCGAACTGCTGCCAGAGTCTGTGCCACTCCTGAGGGACACCAGGCTGGGCCCCCCACCCCAGTGCCTCTGGGCTCCCCACACCAAAATCTTGTCAGCCAGCCCAACCCCCTCATAAGTCCTGCCCCTGCTCTGCCCGGCACACCAGGGTGACTTTGAGCAGGTGACTCCTGGGGCTTCCAACTCCATACTCCGCCCTTACCTCCTGCTACCCCAAACCCGACCTCCCTGGGCTCCTTGAGCTCACAGCTCCAAGGACCTGGGTGCCCCAGAACCTGCCCTCACCAGTTGCCACAGGGTGACTTTGGGGATGTGACTCCTGGAGCTCCTTGCTCCTTAATTGGCCCTCACCTCCTGCCGCCCCAAGCCTGACCTCCCGGGGCTCTTTGGGGTCACGTCTCCAAGGACCTGGCTCCCAATTTTGTGACCCCCTCCCCAGTCTCAAAGCGGCAACTTGGGCATTGCACTCATGTGTCCCCCCCAACCACTCCACCGAGGAGTAGAATGTAGTGATGTCACAGTCCCGCTACAAACTGTCATTACTACCACAAGACCGGCCTTTGGTCTTAGGACCCAGTCCCCTAAGTGTTCTTGCCCACTTCTGTTTCCTCTGGTTGCAGCACAGGTTTCCAGCTGGAAGGGGAATGGGGACTGTGGGACCTAGAAGAGAGAGGTTTCAGGCTGCCTGACTTCCTTACCACAGACCTTGACAGTGTGAAAAGCCTACACCTCCCCCAGGAGCTCAACACGTTGACAGTGTCTCTGGGTGGCAATGGGAGAACGGGTTTGGTTTGGTTTTCTCCCAGGCTTCTACTCTCCAGAGAGATTTTAACATTTTTTCTCAGTTCTGCACCTCAGATTTGAATTCTCCATTGTTCTGGGACCAGAGTGCCCCTCAGTCACTGGTTCTGGAGTGAGATCTGCTTATCTTCTGTGGAACAGATCTTGGGAAACTGAACTTAGCTTGAGTCTTCCTCATCTCATCTCAACCTGGGGTACTTTGAGTGCCACAGGATAAATATGGGGCATCTTTCTGAAGCATCAGTTTCCCTTGATTCTATTGAGAGACAAAACATTAATGTACTTAGGGATGAAAGTCACATAGATTTATAAGCGTATACAAGACTTCTCTCTGAAATGAGGCTTGGGTTGTCCTCTTTCTGTTAAATTCCCAGATTTAGCAGAAAGGCTGCCTTCTGCCATGAGGAGACATTGATGTAAAGGTTTGAGAGGTACTGGTGTACTTTTTAACACTAACAGACGTGTGAGGGTGAATAACCCTAAACCACATAGTGCACAGTTCCTGCCTACTTAATATTTGCTTTTCTACCTCTGCCTCTGGTTTTGGTCCCTGGCAGCTGCTGATTTAGGGCAAAATCCCAGAGCTCAGAGTCAGAAGACTGAGTTTAAGTTCCATTACTGCCTTTTTTTTCAGCCATGGTATCAATCTCTCTCAGTCACTAAGTGATTGTGACAACATTTCCTACAGTTGGTGGCATTAAATCAGATGGTCTATAAGAGTATTTAGTATAAACTGTAAAGCAGGATGTGACTGTAGGAGCTTGTAGTTCTCATGAGTATCACTGCTCTTCCTTTCCACAGTTGACAGACCATCATCCCCAGACCAACCCTAGTGTTGGTACAGCAGCAAGCGACACCAAAAAGAAGAAAATAAATAATGGCACTAACCCTGAGACAACCACTTCTGGTGGTTGCCACTCGCCTGAGGATGTGAGTCTTGGCTGGCCGGGCTCCTGGGGACAGAGGGCCCAAGGGGTGGTGGAGGGTAATTGTTAAGATTGTGGAAGAACTGCCAGGTACTGGCTAAGAATTCTGGGTTTGAATCCTACCCCTCCATCTGCTAGGGATATGATTTAGCGCAAATTGCTTGAGCTCTTTGGGCCTCTCTTTTCACATCCGTAAAATACGAGTGGTATTGTTTTCCTTACATTTGTGAAGTTTAAATGAGATTTGTCATTGTGTTTTTATGTTAATCCCTCGTCCAGGACCTGCTGTAAACTCTCCTTCTTGGGCTTGCGTTTCCTGAGGTAGAGTTAGAGAGTATCAGAGGTTTCTGTTAGCTCTGAGAGCCCGAGAGTTAAAGGCCCACTAGAATGGAAACCTCGGGGCCAAGGGCTCCTGTCTGCCTTTTCTGACCTCTATTCCCGCTGTGAAGAACCGTCCCTGGCCCGTATGTGCTCAACGTTTGCTGAGTGAATGCACCTTTCTAAATCACAAGCTGGCGGAAGGGTGGGCTTTTCTCGCACTCCACCTCTGAAGGTTTCTGTTACTGTCTTTTCAAGAGAATCTAGTTTCAGACTTTGAGTTCTGTGGCTGTGGGCAAAAACCAAAAAGACCCAAATCCTTCTTCTTTGGGAGTTGAGGAGAGTTGACCAGTTCATGTTCCCATTGGGTCTGAGAACTGTGCCTTTTAAATCCATTCCTGGCCCCTGCCTATCGCTTCCTGGCCTGGGGAATAGAGTCAAGGGGGCCACCCTCAGTCACCTTCCTTTGACTCTCCCCACAGAAACAATAGAACCGAGCTCAGCTGGAAGAAGTCGTGTGATTTCTTTGCTCACGACATGACCGCTGGGTTTGGGGGCACTCAGATGTAGAGGCCCCAGGCTCATCTCACCCACTCCCAGCCTGGGGAAGAAGGCTCACCCCCAAGATTCCACCCCATCCCCACAGGGTCCCTGATAAACTGGTCCCATGGGTGGGCCTGTTCTGGGGCAGTGGTGCCATTCTGGGGGCATGTCTCTTGCTGTGCCATCTCTGCCTCCCCCTAGCAAGAGCTCTGTTTTCCTCTTTCTATAGGAACAGAAGGCAAGCCACCAACATCAGGAAGCCCTAAGGAGGGAGCTAGAGGTGAGTGGAGGGTGTGAAGTTCCCTCCTGCCCTCTGGAGAATGTTTCTTTGCTTCTCTTTCAGCATTTGCTTGTCTTTTCTCCCAAAGGCCCAGGTTCAAACCATACGAATCCTTACATGTCAGAAAACTGAGCTTCAGATGGCACTTTACTACAGCCAGCATGCTGTCAAGCAGTTGGAAGGTGGGAATCTGGCACCCCATCATCCTTCAACCTGGCACTTTGACAGGCCTTTAGGGGGAGTCCTTTGGGCCACATCTGAATGTCTCTCATTCCAGGAGAGGCCAGGGATCTGATCAGCCGCCTGCATGATTCATGGAAGTTTGCAGGAGAGTTAGAGCAGGCTCTCTCTGCTGTCGCTACACAGAAGAAGAAGGCGGATAGGGTGAGTCCAAACACGGCCCCGTCCCTTGGGAGCCCAGCTTCGCAGATGGAGGAGTGAGCCTAAAGGTCCCTTCTGTAGGATGGAGTGTCCTGCCCAGAAGGCAGCATGGCCATTTCTTGCTGCTTTTGTGTGTGGTTGTTAGAGGCAGACTGGGGCTGAGTCGGCTGTTGTGGGTGAGTTGGGGAGCACTGTGAGGAGCGAGCACTGG
Source organism: Homo sapiens (assembly GCF_000001405.40). Taxonomy (NCBI): domain Eukaryota; kingdom Metazoa; phylum Chordata; class Mammalia; order Primates; family Hominidae; genus Homo; species Homo sapiens. The sequence goes on along the minus strand of NT_187660.1, from coordinate 601,582 downwards.
ACATAGATCTCAGAGGCCAAGTGCCCGCCCTGCCCATACTTGGCTGTGGCCTTGGCCAAGTCCTAAGTGGCGGTTAGGGTACTTGTACCATAAAGGTACAGAAGAGTATCTTGAGTATGTTATTATTTGTGTGGAGAGAGGGGGCAGGTGTATATGTGTGTGTGTGTACGTATTATGGTAACATACATAAAACACGTTTGTAAGGATTCATTAAAAAACTCAGGATAGAGGCACAGTGTTGGGGGGAGATATTTCCCTTCTGGACTTTCTGAGTTTTGGACTATGCGAACGTATCATCCTTTCAAAAATTCAACAAAGGATTAATTTCCTCCTTCTTAACTGTGCCCCTACCTCCAGCGGAAGAATGGGCTTAGAGAATCAGATATACCTGGGTGTTGAAATGCCAGCTCCAAGTGATCTTAGGCAGCACTTAACCTTTAATACCGCATGTTTTTCATCTACACAATAGAGGTAATAATGGTAACCGTCTCCTATGGAGGTTGTGAGGATTAAATGGGATTGTTAGCATAGTGCCTGGTGAAGCACCCAATAAAGGCTCCAACAGTGGTAGTAATAACAGTAATAACAATAACAATATTATCTGATCGCTCTGGGCCCCTGTTAGCCAGCCCTAAATTCAATCTCTTTCCCTGTCCCTTCCACATCCACTGAGTTCTTTGAAAAACAAATGAGGGCCAGGTGCTCTCGCTCACGCCTGTAATGCCAGCACTTTGGGAGGCTGAGGTGGGCGGATCACCCGCGGTCAGGAGTTCAAGACTAGACTGACCAACACGAAGAAACCCCGTCTCTACTAAAAATACAAAATTAGCCCGGTGTGGTGGCACATGCCTGTAATCCCAACTACTCGGGAAGCTGAGGCAGGAGAATTGCTTGAACCCCGGAGGTGTAGGTTGTGGTGAGCTGAGATTGTGCCATTGCACTCCAGTGAGGGCAACAAGAATGAAACTCTGCCAAAAAAAAAAAAAAAAGAAAGAAAGAAAGAAAGAAAAACAAATGAGACCATGGGCTTGGAAATGCCTTGAGAACACGTCAGGTGTGATTGAGAGTGAGGAAGTGTTACTGTGGAGTAGTCACTGTAGCAGTTGTTCCTGGTCGTCCAGCTACTGCTGTGCCTGCTCTATCCTGACTTAACCTTTCTCTATTTGCAGTACATTGAGGAGTTAACAAAGGAGAGGGACGCCCTGAGTCTGGAACTGTACAGGAACACGTAGGATGGGGGAAGGTGGAATGGGAGGTCTGGGGGCCCTTAGCATGGGTGGTGTGCTGGGAGGTGGGGGGTCCAGGTGAGTGTGGGGAGAGGCTCATACATGTTTTCATGTGTGCACACGGAAGCTCTAGTGCTGGCTGTGCCACTGACTCATGGGGTAGCCTCAGGCAACTCATGTCTTCTCTCTGGCCTGCCACCTGGGACTTTTAATTCCTGGGGTCCCTTCCAGCGCCACGGTTCTGTGGTTGTGGGGCGAGGGTAGGGGGTCAATCACCAAAGTGGTCTTTTATGTTCTTCATTCATTCCTTTCTCTACTGCCTCTGGCCATAGCATAACTGATGAGGAGCTGAAGGAGAAAAATGCCAAACTACAAGAAAAACTTCAACTTGTAGAATCTGAAAAGTCTGAGATCCAGCTCAACGTAAAGGAGCTAAAAAGGAAACTGGAGAGGGCCAAGCTCCTGCTGCCACAGGTGAGCAGCTGCAGCCCCGGGGGTTGTGGGAGACCCATCCAGCTGGGACCATGGTCTAGGGATCATGCAGGGTATGGGGAGGCTCCAGCCAAGAGCTGGAAAATTTGGGTCCTTGTTCTGGCCCCGCCATAGAATCCTCTAGAGTGTACTAAAAATGTACAAATTGGGGCCCTGCCTGGGGAATCAGAATCTCAAGAGTTAGGGCTTAAAAATATTTTTTTAAAGGATCATGGATGAAAACCATTATTTTACAGATTACATTTATTTATTTATTTATTTATTTATTTATTTATTTATTTGAGAAGTAGTCTCACTCTGTCACCCAGGCCAGAGTGCAGTGGCGCAATCTCGGCTCACTGCAAGCTCCACCCCCCGGCTTCACGCCATTCTCCTGCCTCAGCCTCCCAAGTAGCTGGGACTACAGGTGCCCACCACCACACCCAGCTAATTTTTTGTATTTTTAGTAGAGACGGGGTTTCACTGTGTTAACCAGGATGGTCTCGATCTCCTGACCTCGTGATCCGCCCACCTCGGCCTCCCAAAGTGCTGGGATTACAGGCGTGAGCCACCGCGCCCAGCCTATAGATTACATTTATGTGGCTAGCTCATGATTCTGCTTCCTTCTGAGGTTCAAAAAAACACTTTCACTATTCCAGCAGCAGCTGCAGGCGGAGGCTGACCACCTGGGTAAGGAGCTGCAGAGTGTGTCAGCAAAGCTCCAAGCCCAGGTGGAAGAGAACGAGTTGTGGAACCGCCTGAACCAGCAACAGGAGGAGAAGATGTGGAGGCAGGAGGAGAAGATACAGGAGCGGGAGGAGAAGATACAGGAGCAGGAGGAGAAGATACGGGAGCAGGAGGAGAAGATGCGGAGGCAGGAGGAGATGATGTGGGAGAAGGAGGAGAAGATGCGGAGGCAGGAGGAGATGATGTGGGAGAAGGAGGAGAAGATACGGGAGCTGGAAGAGAAGATGCACGAGCAGGAGAAGATACGGGAGCAGGAAGAGAAGAGGCAGGAGGAGGAGAAGATACGCGAGCAGGAGAAGAGGCAGGAGCAGGAGGCGAAGATGTGGAGGCAGGAGGAGAAGATACGGGAGCAGGAAGAGAAGATACGGGAGCAGGAGAAAAAGATGTGGAGGCAGGAGGAGAAGATTCACGAGCAGGAGAAGATACGGGAGGAGGAGAAGAGGCAGGAGCAGGAGGAGATGTGGAGGCAGGAGGAGAAGATAAGGGAGCAGGAGGAGATATGGAGGCAAAAGGAGAAGATGCACGAGCAGGAGGAGAAGATACGGAAGCAGGAGGAGAAGGTGTGGAGGCAGGAGGAGAAGATGCACGACCAGGAGGAGAAGATACGGGAGCAGGAGGAGAAGGTGTGGAGGCAGGAGGAGAAGATACGGGAGCAGGAGGAGAAGATGTGGAGGCAGGAGGAGAAGATACGGGAGCAGGAGGAGATGTGGAGGGAGGAAGAGAAGATGCATGAGCAGGAGAAGATATGGGAGGAGGAGAAGAGGCAGGAGCAGGAGGATAAGATGTGGAGGCAGGAGGAGAAGATACGGGAGCAGGAGGAGAAGGTGTGGAGGCAGGAGGAGAAGATACGGGAGCAGGAGGAAAAGAGGCAGGAGCAGGAGGAGAAGATGTGGAAGCAGGAGGAGAAGATAAGGGAGCAGGAGGAGAAGATACGGGAGCAGGAGAAGATACGGGAGCAGGAGGAGAAGATACGAGAGCAGGAGGAGATGATGCAGGAACAGGAAGAGAAGATGGGGGAGCAGGAAGAGAAGATGCAAGAACAGGAGAAGATGCGGAGGCAGGAGGAGAAGATAAGGGAGCAGGAGGAGAAGATACGGGAGCAGAAGGAGAAGATACGGGAGCAGGAGGAGAAGATATGGGAGCAGGAGGAGAAGATACGAGAGCAGGAGGAGATGATGCAGGAACAGGAAGAGAAGATGGGGGAGCAGGAGGAGAAGATGTGGGAGCAGGAAGAGGAGATGCAAGAACAGGAGGAGAAGATGCGGAGGCAGGAGGAGAAGATAAGGGAGCAGGAGAAGAAGATACGGGAGCAGGAGGAGAAGATACGAGAGCAGGAGGAGATGATGCAGGAACAGGAAGAGAAGATGGGGGAGCAGGAGGGGAAGATGTGTGAGCAGGAAGCGAAGATGCAAGAACAGGAGGAGAAGATGCGGAGGCAGGAGGAGAAGATAAGGGAGCAGGAGAAGAAGATACGGGAGCAGGAGGAGAAGATACGAGAGCAGGAGGAGATGATGCAGGAACAGGAAGAGAAGATGTGGGAGCAGGAGGAGAAGATGTGTGAGCAGGAAGAGAAGATGCAAGAACAGGAGGAGAAGATGCGGAGGCAGGAGGAGAAGATGCGGGAGCAGGAAGTGAGGCTGCGGCAGCAGGAGGAGAAGATGCAGGAACACTAGGTGAGGCTGCAGGAGCTGGAGGAGAGGCTGGGGAAGCTGGGGCAGAAGGCCGAGCTCTTGGGGGGAGCAGGCGGAGGTGTGTGCAAACCCTGGAGATCATACAGAACGACCTCACCACAACTTAGCAGATGGTGGTTGGCTCCCTCTGCTTTTCCACCAGTCTGTGGCCTACAGTTTAAATGGTGGGAAGAAGGGTGTGAGATTTGAGGCTGGGGAGGGAGGCATGGGCCTCTAGGCAAGGGAGGCAGTCATTTAGGCCTGGAGGAAGGGGCCAGGGCCAGGGGCCTGGGTAGGCGACAGAGCCCCGCAGTGCCCTCACTACCCTGTTTATGGGCCCAGAATCTGGAAGCCAGCCACTACCTACCCTGACGCCTATCCTGCAGGTGGAGCTGAAGAGCCAAGAGGCTGAGTCTGCAGCAGCAGCGAGACCATTACCTGGGTCACCTGCAGCAGTACGTGGCCGCCTATCAGCAGCTGGCCTCTGAGAAGGAGGCACTGCCCAGCTGCAGCAGCAGGAAGCTCAGGGCGAAGCGGTGGCCGAGATGGCCCACCGATAGTTGCAGGAGACCCGGTTGAGGGAGTTGATGAGGGCGGGGCCCCAAGGGGGATGATCTGGCAACCTCCGTGCCTTCTCACTCTCTTTCCTGGCCCCTTAGGAGCACCTGGAAGCTGCCATCTAATGAGCACATGACAAGAAGGCAAAGACAATAAACATGTAAAAGCCGGCAGCAAGGCCTGGAGAAGAGTAAGCCGCCATGTGACTGTTTAGAATATAGTCTGAGCACAAACCTGAAAAAAAAATTTTATTTATTTTAAATTGTGGCAAAATACTGGCCAGGCATGGTAGCTCACGCCTGTAATCCTAGCAATTTGGGAGGCCGAGGTAAATGGATGACCTGAGGTCAAGAGTTCAAGACCAGCCTGGCCAATACAAAAATTAGCCGGGCATGGTGGCGCATGCCTGTAATCCCAGCTACTTGGGAGGCTGAGGCAGGAGAATCGCTTGAACCTGGGAGGCAGAGGTTGCAGTGAGCTGAGATCGTGCCACTGCACTCAAGCCTGGGTGACAGAGCGAAACTCCGTCTCAAAAAAAAAAGTTTCTTCCTTACATGTATGTTTCTATTAGTTTTCTTCTTGGTCTTTCTCATTTAGTCTTGTGTTGTCTTTTGGCATTCATAGTAAACTTTTATCTGCCTCCAGAGAGTATTGACTTTGAGTTTATGGCACACAATTGGAGTAAGGGCAGATCGCCTTCATCTACTTCGGGACTAAGCTGGTTCAAAGCAGGTTTTAGGTTTTCTGATGGCTGGTCTATGTTTTATTCATTTGGACTCCCAGGGGTGGCCCTTCCAGGGTCCCCACCAAGGTCCCATCTCCCTCCTGGGACCCAAATTCTCATTAGGTCATTTCAGCCCTGTGAGAGTGCCAAACATTCAGCTAGGCTCTCCAGCCTCTTAACTACCACTTCATACTCAGTTTCTTAGCCTCTTAGCCCTCTACTGTTGACCAATCACCAAATGTGGGAAAGCACTACAGACTGTCAGGATCACCTCCTAGGCCTGGTCACTCAAGTCCTGACTGAGGTCTCCAATTACCTTCCAACAATTGTTTTTGATTGGGGGCGGGGCACATTTTTATCCAGTTTTTCTAACTGCTCTTGTGGGGAGGCGAATCTGTAACAAGCTCCTCTGCCTTTATTGAAAGTTGAAAACCTTCATCTGTCCTTTTTTTGTTGTTGTTGAGATGGAGTCTTGCGCTGTTGCCCAGGCTCTAGTGCAATGGCACGATCTCTGCTCACTGTAACCTCTGCCTCCTGGGTTCAAGCAATTCTCCTGCCTCAGCTTCCCGAGTAGCGTGTGCCACCATGCCTGGCTAATTTTTTTTTATACCTTTAATAGAGGCAGGATTTCACCATGTTTTCCAGGCTGGTCTCGAGCTCCTGACTCAGGTGATCTACCTGCCTCAGCCTCCCAAAGTGCTGGGATTACAAGTATGAGCCACTGCATCCGGCCCATCTGTCTTTTAAAACATGTTTTTAATTGGAGGTATAATTTCTATTAGTGAAATGCACAGGTCTGGTTTACATTTTGATGAGTTTTAACTCATTTAACATTACTATGGAACCCACCTCCTTTGAAGATACAGAGTATTTCTATCATCCAGAAAGTTCTCCTGTGCTTTCATGCTGTCCCGCACTCCCCCAGCAGCTGATGAACATGCTGAGGACATTGGTACTGGATTCTGGCCGCCCCAAAAGAGCCGCTTTGACCAGGCTTACCCAGCACTAAATCCCTGCCTGCTCTCTCAAAATTTCCATCTTTAAACTGGTTGTACCTATAACCCTCCCTCATCAAGTCAATAGATAAACAAACCCTGAAAAATAAACAACTCTTCCTGGCCCAGCAGCCCACAGCCTAATATTTACTGTATTCCCAGGCTTTCAGAAATGTAACTCGCCTGCCGGTTCACCCTCACTAGGGCGGCAGCTGCACGGGAGCAGCTGGGCTCACCCATTAAGCAAGAAGCCAATAGCTGGACAGTGACACTCAGACCCCAGGCTGGGCGAGCCTGGCTGAAAGCCCCCTTCTTTCCATCCGACTGTGGAGAAAGGGGGCGGAGCACACACAACTCTACTGCCCTCCACATCCTTCACCCGTGCTTCCTCCTGGGAGAGGGAGCCGCTCATTAATTTGGCCAAAGCCTTCTTGAGGGCTGTAGGTTTCACAGGCTGGGTGTGTGGGGGCCACCGTGCTAGAGACAGAGGCTGGTGTGTCAGAAGGTAGCCACCTGGCCAGAGGGGGGTCAACCCCCTTGGTGACCTCCTTCCCCCGGCTGGACACAGTGCCCTGCACTCTCTACATGTGACTGTTCCCCTCAGAGCTGCTTCCAGGGGAGGGGTTCTAATCCTGTGGGTGGGGACATTGTGTTACTTTACAGTGGGCCATGGCTCCCTCTGACATCTCCAACTCAGAGGCAGTAGAGAGAAGATGAGAAATTCCCTGCCCCTCCTCCCTCAGCACCCCCACCTCTGCACATGTCCACATGTGGAGACCCTGACAATGGGCCCTGGGAGTGCCGCCATCTGTGCCTGCTTTCCATGCCTGCAGCAGCCATGCCCACTCTCCAGACCCTCACCCGCCTGGGTCAGTAGACGCTTCACTGCCTGTGGTCCTGCGCCTACACCTGGGCCTCTGTACCCGTCAGTTCCCCCAGTCTGGTTCTTATTCCCTGCAAAGAGTAGGGAGCCTATAAGGTCACCTGTTGAGCAAGCTGGGGGAGAGAGTAGGGTGGGGCTGGGAGGATGAGGAGGAGAAGCTCATGGTCGTGCTGGAGACTCAGCTGAGCAGAGTCTATGCAGGCCCATTGGCTGCCTAGCCAGTGGTGATCTCGCTCCCACCCTCATTTCTTCTTTGTTAACAAAACCATGACCTCATTAAATACTGGACACCTATAAACCTCATGGACCCTCCTCCAGCCTCCCCACCGTGTACCGGTGAGTCTAAGTCAACTCTAGTCATTTCATTCCTCTGGACATTGACTGCTTAGGGCTTGGGCATGAGCTTCCTCTTCACCTGAGCCTGAGCCACAGGTACCCTCTGCACCTACCACGCTGATGCACTGGGCCAGGGAGAGCGCCGTCTGGATGGAGATGAGCTGTGAGGAGCTGGTGGCTGGGCGGATCAGGTTGTTGTAACAGGTTTTGTTCAGAAGGTCGTCCATCAGTTTCTGCTCGGCATGGGCCATGCGGCAGTCCCCTGGGTAAACACACAGACATGCTGGGCCCTTGTGCAGCTGTCTCCCACTGCAGCTGACAGCTATGAAGCAGGAGCTGAGAGGGCCAGGGAGCACAGACACCCTGAGAGCTGGCTGAAGCAGTGAAGGTGCTGGCCGGCCTGGCTTTCCCTGGGGACTTCAAATGACATTCACGACAGAGCTCAGCTACCTCCTCCCCATGCCATATCTCTTCCTCCTCCTCCTCCCTCCGTCAATGAACAGCATCCCACGCTCTACACATCTGATACAAAACTGGGTGTCTCTTCCTGACTCCTCCCTTGGTTCACCCAAGTGGCCACCAAGTCCTGTCTGTCCTCCCATCTCCACGGCTACAGCCATGTCCCTGCCTCCCCCGCCCTGCCCACCTTCTATTCTCTCCACCCACACTCTGCCCCTGCCATCCATGTGCCATACAGTGGCAGACTGATCTTTCTACAGCAAACTGGACGAGGGCCCTTCCCTACCCACAGCTCTCAGAGCTGGAGGTGGAGTTGAAGCTCATGTTTTGGCTTGGCATTCAGAGCTCTTTCCCCCTCAGCACTGGCTTATCCAGAGTGCTCACAGTGCAGGGCAGGAGCCTCGTGACTCAAATGTGGGTTTGGTGCAGAACTGGGTCTGAGGTGGTGCTTTCCCTGTGAAGAGACAGGGCCGACATGGGGGAATTTTCTGGGTTCAAAGTTAGACCTACAGAGTGCAAAGTTTCTCTGAGGCACCAAATGGAGGGGTCCAGCTAGCAGCTGGCTCCTGGTCTGGAGCTTCAAGGAGAGGTCTCAGCTCAGAGCCACATTCAATAGCCAGCTTACATGTGGCCTCCTGCAGGGAGCCCCTGGAGCTTCCACAGCCTCCGTTCTGCCCCTCTGCATACCCCAGATCTCCTGCTAAGTGGCGTTTGGGTCTTCATGTCATCTCCCTCCCATGTCTGGGAGTAAAGGTGAGGTGCAGGGACTTGCGCTTGTGTACTCTGGTGTCTTAAGGGAGAGTGTGTCAAGTAGAGTGGAGGCGGCTTGGAAAGAGGGAGACTCAGAGGAGAGTGAAGGACACATGACCAGGCGAGCCTGGGAGCAGGAAAAGAGAGTGAGCAGAGGCAACTGCTGGGTCAGGGGAGCGGATGGGAGGATCAGGGAATGCGGGGGGGCTGGAGAGGTAGGGGTGGGGATGTTGGCGAGGGGCTGCCTGGCTCGCCAGGCTCAGGAGTCAGTTACATCCTCCCACAAGGGCCAGCTCACCTGGTCGCCCCAAAGACCTCCCTCTGTGGGTGGGACCAGAGGGCCAAGAGCACGGATAACCCAATTGAGCAGGACTGAGGCGGACTCAGGTGGGTGCTGGGCCGGACTCCTGGCTGTGGGGAGCAGCCGCCACCCTGCCTATTGCATCCACTTTCCAACTCGCTGCCTATCTGAGCAGATGCGATATTGGGCACCTTGTGAAACATGCTCCTGGTGCACCTGCTGCCTGCTGCCCCTCCTGCAGAGTGCCCGGGCTCTCCAGAGGGGATTCCTATGGAGGCTTGGCCTAGATTCTGAGTCCTGCCTCTCATACCTGGGGCTGCTACCCCAGAGGCCAGCTGCTTGAGTACCCCGGAAGCCAGTCTGTAGCCCCAGGCTACAGCTGGGTCCATCCCACAGCCCTTCTCTAATGTACCTATTTGGACTGGCTGCTCATTTCATAGAGAGGGGTGTGTCTTGCCCCAGACCATCTGGCATGTCTAAGGCAGCTGTGGGGTCAGAATCTGCAGCTCCCAGCCCTCAGCCCAGCAATAGTAGGAAAGGCTGGACCCCACATCTCTGAAGTCCCACTGGGTGGGTGTGAGCGGGCTCCCGAGTACAGGGCTGCTCTGCAGGCTGTGGGGCTCATGCGCCAGCTCTGAGCCCACCTGATGTGCTCACGTTGCTCACCTTTGGGCCTGTCCTGCCTCTCAGGCATTCGGCTGACCCTGAGGGCCTCTCCCTCATCTTGACCACCAGCTACGGGCTCTGATTTAGAGGTTCCCAGAACCTTAGACCATTTGGCCGGCCCCCCATTTCTCACCTGAGGAAACTGAGACCAGAGAGGGATAGCAACTTTCTCAAGGACCCCCAGCAATTCAGAGGCAGAACCAGGTCTAGGAGCCTCTTCTCGATAGAGGTTCCCCCTGTCCCCTGAGCCTTCGTTAGTGCCTCATTAACTTCCCTGTAAGGAAACTGCCCCGCTGAGGCTGGAAATGGTGCTGTCCAGAGTGGTGTGTGCCAGTGACTGTGCTTGTGTTTGTACTTGTGAGTGTGTATGGGGGTGGGGATGAGGGGTGGGAATAAACGGCAGGGATGCCGGGGGCTGGATGCACTCCACCTCACCCCAAAAAGGGGCGCAGGAGAGCCCAGCCAAGCACAGCACATGCTTCGACTTTCCAATCTGCTGAATGCCTGTGAGGCCGGCTGGGCCCAGAAGACAAGGGACAGGCCTTTCCCCATAGATGGCAGGGGGGACCCAGGATGGGTGGAAGCTTCTGCCGCAGCTTTGGGGGTCACAACCCAGCCCATGGGCTGACACTTAAGCAGAAAAGCCACCTCTAGGGGTCAGTCATAATCTAGTGATTCTGATGAGGAGGGCCCCACCAACCTCTGTCCAGGGTCTTGTCTGGGAAAAACTGCTCCCTGGCAGAAAGAGGCTAATAATTTGAGAGGAAGCCATAGCTGAAACCCTAAGCTGTGTGAGTGTGTGTCCAGTTTGAGAAAGCATATCCGACTTAAACATTTGTATTGAAAAAATGGAAACATATTCCCCTTGTTTTGGAATACAAACTGCAGAAAGCAGCAGTTAACAGAATCTTATCGGAAAGGTCAGACTCTGCATCTGGAAAGGCACAGTGATTTTCAACTGCGGTGTGTGTCCTTAACTGAGGAAGGGAAGGTAAGATTTATGTTTAGTAAAAGGCAGCTATGAATTTACCTTTTATAAAGAGCTTGCTATATACTATTAGTGCTTTTCAGTCATGTCAGAATCAGCCAGATGCCTGTGGAAATGCAAATTCCCAGGCTTCATTCCCAGAGATTCTGGTCCTGTGAGCCTAGGGTGGGGCCCAGAAATCTCTATGGGGTGGTGCAGCCTGCCCCAGGACCACACCAAGAAACACTGCAACTGGCCCACACACATCCCAGTCCACAAATATGTAGGCAGGCATCTTATCTCCACAGAACAGATAGGGAAACTGAGGTCAGAGTGGGGAAAGAAACGTCATGGGGCCACCCAGCAAGTAGTAGCAGAGCCACGATACACCCACTGCCTGCAGACACCATCTCTGATGACAGCTCCACCTCCCCACAGGAATCTTGCCTACCCCCACCCCTACCTCCTGCTGCCCCTATGGTGGGTCTCTGTCCAAGGAAGATGTATCCTAGGTCCTCTAGGCTGACTGCGGCTCAGAGGAAACCTTGGCCCAGAGTGTAGGAGCTAGAGGGGTCCTTGGAATTCACGTGGGGAATTTGAGGCCCAAAGAAGGCAGTCCTCACATTTGAACTCTGTCTGGAGAAGGGCTAGGTCTTCTTCCTGAGTGGTAGTTTTGACTTCACCAGCCTGGCCCTCAGTCAAGCTGGCTGTCCAGGCCCGCCACACCTCGGGGTGGGTGACCAGAGGCGGTGGTGCCATAAAACACGTTTCCTGGGAGATCCACCCCCAAAGCTCAAAACATTCCAGGGCTGGTGATTTGGGCAAGCCCCCTTCCCTCTCAGCCCAGTTTCCCCATCTCTGCAACAGCCGTGCTGGTGGAGACTTCTGATACTGAGCTGCAGATTTTCTCCTGGGTGCCTACACAGCCCAGGTTGCCGGCTCCTCTGTGCCCACTCTTCAAGAAAGTCAGCTCTTAGGTAAGGAAGGTGCCTTGGCCCTATCAGGAGCAGGAGCCGGTGCACCCCCAGCTTCCCAGGCCAGTGGGGATGACCCAGGCTGCCTACAAAGCTGCTGCCCAGCCCAGAGACACCCGCCTGGGAGGGTGGCCCTGGCCCTTGCAGCGGCTCTGAGAAGAGTCGGCCCCCACTCCAAAACTGGCAGAGCCACCCATGCCTTCCCTCAGCCCAAAGAGGCTTTTAGGAAAATGAATCGTCTCAAGTTCAAACCCATGGGGTTGCTGAAAGACAAGACAGTGCAGGGTGAGCTGGTGCGAGGGAGCGCTGCTCGGTGCAGACTTTGCAGGGAGGGCACTTAGGAAAAAGGACTGGAGTCTGGGAGGGTTAACTAGCTTAGGGTTAAAGGGAGGGGATGGAGCTGGAGTGAGCTGGCCTCGTCCTCCCCCTTGGGCCTTCCAGCCTGGGCTCAGGTGATTCAAGGGAGCAAGCACCTCCCTCTCCCAGCCAGGGAGTTCTCGCCACATTCTGCAATCAGTACCATTCCCCTGGGGGCTGGGTGACAGCCCCCACCTCTGGACCTGGCTGGAACTGCTGTCTCAATTCTAGATCCAAAAGAATCTCTGGCAGCTTCTCCATCTCCCTCTCAGTCCAGCCTCACCTCTTCGCCCGTGGAGGAGCTCCAACAGCAAATCTGGCAACTGGAGGAACAAGGCAGGAAGGGCAGGGTCTGAGGAAGGAACCACCTTCAAAAGGCAGCTCTGCCACCTTCTCTCCAGGACTCTCAGGCTTGCTTTCCTATTGCTCCCTCGACATCCTTTTGCTATAATCTGCCATGTTGACGTATAGTCTTTAAAAGCAACAATGCTGTTGACGTGGAGCAGACTTCCCATTTGGGATGGTTTGGAGAAGTTAGGTTTGAGGGCATCCTCTCTTCTGCAAACTGCAGCAGTAATAGATGAGATATACAAAGTAAATAAAGGCTGGGTGCGGTGGTCGTGCCTGTAATCCCAGCACTCTGGGAGGCTGAGGCAGGAGGATCACTTGAAGCCAGGAGTTCGAGACCAGCCTGGCCAATATGGCGACACCCTGTCTCTACTAAAAATGTAAAAATTAGCTGGGCATAGTGGTGCACACCTGTAGTCCCAGCTACTCAGGAGGCTGAGGCAGGAGAATCACTTGAACCCGGGAGGCAGAGGCTGCAGTGAAATGAGATCCCGCCACTGCATTCCAGCCTGGGCGACAGAGTGAGACTCCATCTCAAAAAATAAAAATAAAAAATAAAGTAAATAAAAAAGACATGCCCAGGCTGAAAAATAAGTTAATTATCTCCATGAACGAAAAGCAGACAAGAAATGCAAAGTGGTTGGAGGCTGAAGAGCCTGGACCCTCCTGGGCTTTGGGAACCAAAGATGGTGGCAAGTCCTTTGGGATAAAGAGGGACAAAATGACTCCTAGCTAGAAGCTGGGAGCTTGGGTGTACCCCAGTACTTGAAAGGATGCTAGCTGGGCGCGGTGGCTAATGCCTGTAATACCAGCACTTTGGGAGGCCGAGGGAAAGTAACTCTTATGTCAGTGTGAAGCAAATCAGACAGGACAGGGGAACATGGAGGGGAGGAGAGCCAAACCAGGGCCTGGTTCCAGACCCACCACACCCGCCCCGTTGAGCCAGGAGCACAGGTGGCTCTCTGCACAACATCAAGAGCGAGGACATGCTTTCAGCTCCACTTTAACTCAGGTTCCTAATGTGACAGCAGGCTTGTCAATCCCACTTGCCCCCGTGTCTCACACCAGAAAACTACCAGCAGTGTGAGTAAGGACAGAAGCAGGAGACAGAGGAGCCAGGGTTGGGGAATCCCATAGCAACCCACAGGCCCTCATCACACACGGCAAGGATGCGCCTTCACTGGGCTCACCACCACCACTCGACATCACCTTCACTACATGATACCCTGCCTGGATAACACCACTGTAACACAAGAAACAGGTCTAGAATCTAGCATGTATGCTACACCTGAAGGAGCAAGAGACGGTAATACAATACAATGAAATTTTTAGTTTATTTAATATAAAATTTAGAGCCATAATCAAAATGTGTAATTCTGATGGGATTCACTACTTATAAAAACTTTGCAGCGCTCTATTTTCAAATGTAAATGGTATTCTGTGGCTCCTCGCCAGCAAGTAAATAACGATCTACTCTGAAATACGTTTCACGGCTTATTTTTGGCAAGCAGCGATTTCTCCAACTCACGTTTTCCAAGGGAAAAAAGGACATGAAATGTCTCCAAAAGTCTCTTACGATCTTTAGATAAACTACTGTTCAACAACTGCATCTGCCAAGTCAACACATCAAGAATCCTTCACTCACAAACACTTAAGGTGAGAAAACAGTGTCTACCCATGCGGGAGAGGGACACATGATCCATGCTTATGAAGACAGCCTGGATATCGGCTACTGGAAAGCTGCGAATGCATTTTTCTTTTTCTACTTTCCAAAATTTTTGTGAGGTGATACTTATTTCTATGTTTGTGTCTATTCTTTCTATTTTGTATTTTTTAGTAGGTACATCCTTACTATAAATCTGCTGTAGAACCAATGTCCCATACAGGACCCCACGTGCCACAGGAACCAAAAAGTCACACGCAGCGAAGACGAAGACACAGGAGACAACCTGTGTGGACAGCACAGAGCCACCTGCCCAGGACACCAATGGAGCCACAGGTGCAATTCAGAATGTTCTTAGTCGTATTAATAAACATGGCCAGGTGCGGTGGCTCACGCCGGTAATCCCAACACTTTGGGAGGCTGAGGTGGGCAGATTACCTGAGTTTGGGAGTTCAAGACCGTCCTGGCCAACATGGTGAAACCCCATCTCTACTAAAAATACAAAAATCAGCCAGGTATGGTGGCATGCTTCTGTTAGTCCCAGCCACTCAGGAGGTTGAGGCAGGAGAATCATTTGAACCCAGGAGGCAGAGGCTGCAGTGAGCTGAGATCGTGCTACTGCACTCCAGTCCAGGCAACAGAGTGAGGATCCATCTCCGGGTGGGGAAAAAAAATTGTTCTTAGTCACATTAACAAAAGTAAAAAAAAAAAAAAAACACACCAACAAGAAAAACAACAACACATAAAATTAATTGTACTAATGGCTGGTTGCAGTGGCTCATGCCTGTAATCCCAGCACTCTGGGAAGCCAAAGCGGGCAGATTACTTGAGGTCAGGAGTTCGAGACCAGCCTGGCCAACATGGTGAAACTCTGTCTCTACAAAAATACAAAAATCAGCCAGGCGTGGTGGTAGTCCCAGCTGCTCGGGAGTCTGTAGTCCTGTAGTCCCAGCTGCTCAGGAGGCTGAGGCAGGAGAATCACTTGAACCCAAGAGGCGGAGGTTGCAGTGAGCCAAGATTGCACCACTGCACTCCGGTCTGGTCAACAGAGTAAGATTCCATCTTAAAAAATAAAAATAATTTTAATAATGTATCATAGTTATTCCAACAGATCAAAAATATGACCATTTCAACATGAAATCAATCTAAGAAAAATTATTGAGATATTTTACATAGGTTATTTCATATTAAGTCCTCAAAAACCATCTGAGTAGCTTACATATGTAACACATTTCAATTTGGACCGTGAAATTTGCATTGAAAACATCTGATCTCCATTTAGACTCATAAAATACACAGTTGACAAAGTAGACTCCCAAGGCCAAGTGATTCTAAACATACTTAAGTGCTTTCTAATAACAGAATCAAATTTTCAAACCTGCATTTTAATGAATAAAAATTAAACAGATAAAATATTCAGTGTCTCAGCTATGACGGACAGACTTCAAGTGCTGATCAGCAAACGGTGTTGAGTGTAGCCAGATGGGCCAGCGCAGGCTACACAGCTGCAGCTCAAACAGCACAGCTGCAGGTCAAACAGGCCAGTCTCTCTGCGCACGGGAACAGTCTGGGCAAGCAGGAGACGGGGAAAACGGGCACTGCCCTCGTGAGAACAAAGGACCCACAACAGGAACCCTGCACTCACCCCCTGCCAAAGACCAACAGCCCCACGAAGCAGCCACTTCAGAAAAGGGAGAGGCATTCAAGAACTTAGAAAAGCACCTCTGGAAAATGCTCACTTTAAAACTTTGCATGTAACTGTACATTTTAATTACAAGGTTTTTAACATCCATTTTCTCATGTATTCTTAATTAACTCTGTGAAAGTAAACACAGCTTTTATTCTTACTCCTATAGTTACTGTGTTGGAAGTCCACCTATATGAACAAACTGTTGTAACTGAAATTTTCTGAGAACAAATCCCAAGCTCTTTCCATCGACACAAACTATATTGTTTAGTTCTCTTTATTTCCATTTGTTAAAGACCAGAATGTGTGAAATATGCATTATCAGATTAGAAAAACAAAACAAACATCAGAAAAAGGTTTTGCAAAATAGCATTTACTAAAATCTATGACAGAAACTAGCTCTAAAACTTCCTGTTTCAAAATTTCACTGTGTGTGCACTAAGTTAGTTTTGCTGGCTGTGGACAGCAGGCCCACCCCATGCCGCGGGCCCACCCCACGCCGCGGGCCCACCCCACGCCGCGGGCCCACCCCACGCCACGGGCCCACCCCACGCCACAGACCCACCATGGCCCCATGAACAGGCCAGCTGAGAGCTGCAGCCACTGCCCAGGGCTCCCTGGTCTGTACTCGGCTGCCTGACCCAAGCTGCCAGGGCTCTGCTTTCTCTATGTGTAGAAACAAAAACCAGGAGCATCAGTTGACGAAAAGCAGATTTTTATTGAACAGAGGTATAAATGTGTTTCATTTTCTAATAAATCTCTTTCACAAATCACCTTGCTGTTTCGCTCTTCTTGAATGATCATTTTTACACAACACTGTCTGACTGTTTTGGCTTCTGCCAAGGTTAGCGTCTGTTCACAGGCTGAGTCTGACTTCCTCCTCCCACCTCCTCCTAGTCTGGCCTTCCAAAATAATGCTCACCATTCTATCACATTGACTTCAGTTTTGAAAAGAAAAGTTATCTTACAAAGTAGTAGGTACAACTCTGTAATATGTAAAGTGAGGCAATGATAGAACCAGTTTTAAAAATAACCTTCCATGATGATTTTCATTCGCACCTACCTGCTTATTAGTAAGAATCTTTTTACATGTTTACTGCACGCCCCAATTTCTCTTCTGTGAAAAACTTCTGAGTATCATCACACCCTCCAACTTCTCCTCTCACCTATATTGAGAAGGGTCTGCTCTTTATCCTAACATCTATACTAGGTAATTTTCAGAATATTCCTTCAATCATCAAACAAATTTTTGAGACCCTTGCGCTAGATTTCACTATCTTAATATGAAAACCAATAATCACCTATTAAAATACAATACAGGCCGGGAACAGTGGCTAACACCTGTAATCCCAACATTTTGAGAGGCCAAGGCAGGTGGGTCACCTGACGTCAGGAATTTGAGACCAGCCTGACCAATATGGTAAAACCCCATCTCTACTAAAAATACACAAATCAGCCAGGTGTGGTTGCAGACGCCTGTAGTCCCAGCTACTCGGGAGGCTGAGGCAGGAGAATAGCTTGAACCCAGGAGGCGGGGGTTGCAGTGAGCCAAGATCGTGACACTGCACTCCAGCCTGGACGATAGAGCAAGACTCCATCTCAAAAAAAAAACAAAAAACAAAAAACACCATTAATAAGTAAATAAATAGGCCAGGCGTGGTGGCTAATGCCTGTAATCCCAACATTTTGGGAGGCCAAAGTGGATGGACCACCTGAGGTCGGGAGTTCAAGACCGGCCTGACCAACATGAAGAAACCCTGTCTCTAATAAAACTACAAAATTAGTGGGGCATGGTGGCGCATGCCTGTAATCCCAGCTGCTCGAGAGGCTGAGGCAGAGGAATTACTTGAACCTGGGAGGCGGAGGTTGCAGTGAGTCAAGATCGCACCACTGCACTCCGGCCTGGGCAACAAGAGCGAAACTCTGTCTCAAAAAAAAAAAAGTAAATAAATAAAACACAATACAATACAGCTAATATGATTTACCTAAGAAGCTGTTGTATGAGCTGAACCAGAGGCAAACACTGTTTGCCAGAAGACTCACAGATCCCCGTATTAATAAGGTCTTTATCCAATGGAGTCCTCCTTCTATGAAATGTTGAGGCATTTGCCTCCTGTTCATAAATTTCTTTTTCCTTCCGTGCTTCTTTTTTTGTATCCTGTAATTGACAAACAGAAATTGTTTACAAGTGATCTCATTACCAGGTGTGAAGGCACACAGGCTGGCTGAGCCCTGACCCCAGTGCCAAGCTATCCCAGCCTCTGTGGCTGCCACACCCATCCACCCACAGGCCCCCCACCTGCCCTGTTGGAAACCCCAACTCATTTGTGCAGTTTCAAACAGTGTCTTCTTTTTACAGATCCAAGGTCCAGGCTGCCTCTGCTGATGCTCTCCAGCCTCCTTCTGTGAAGTCCCTAAAATCCTTAACCCTGCTAATGGCTCACACAAAACCCAATGTGATCGGCTCCACACACGCAGCATCCAGCTGCTCTGTAAGGACAAGAAGGAGCTAGAATTCTCACACACAAAAGTCCTGGTTCAAATGCAAATGGCAAAGCCACTTTGGGAAACTATGAACACACACTTACCCCAGGACCTAACAAATTCCACTCCAAGTGTTTATCCAAAGGGAGAACATATGTTCACTAAAGTACTTGTTCACAGCACAATTGTGGCAGCTCTACACGGCCAAAAACCAGAAAGCCTGGGCGCGGTGGCTCACGCTTGTAATCCCAACACTTTGGGAGGCCAAGGTGGGGGGATCACTGGAGCCCAGGAGTTGAAGACCAGCCTTGCAACACAGTGAAACCTTGTCTCTACAAAAAAATCAAAAAACTAGCCGGGCATGGTGACATGTATGTGGTCCCTGCAACACAGGAGGCTGAGGTGGGAGGATCATTTGAGCCTAGGAGGACAAGGCTGCAGTGAGCCAACCTCAGGTCACTGTATACAGCCTGGGTGACAGAGCAAGACCCTGTCTCAAAAAAAAAAAAAAAAAAAGAAAACAAAAACCAAAAACAATTACATGTCCTTCAATAGGAGAATGAACTAACAAACAGTACTACACCTATAAAATGGAAAACTTCCCAATAATAAAAACGAAGTCGCAATACACACAACAGTGAGTGAATCTGAAAATCATTCTCCAAGGCAAAGCAGGAAAGAGTGCATACTATACAGTTATATTGCTGCGACACTCAGAGCAGGAAAAATGAATCTAATCTCAGGGCAGGGGAGTATCCTGGCTGCAAGTGCCAAGGAGCACAGGGATCTTTCCGGGTGACGGGAATGGTCTACATGAGGAACAGGTTACCTGTTAACTTCACTGAAACAGACAACATGCAGTATTTTATCACAAATCATCTCAATAATTTTTAAAATTAGCACATAAAAGAATTTTAATTTAAAAAAATACTTGGATATAAGTTTAGTGTTTTACTGTTTTCAGTTATTCTTCACATGTGTGAGTGTGGTATTTCCGATCTCAGCCCACCACCAGGTCACGTGTGCCTCCAAGGCCATACCTGGATCTCTGCAGTAATGGCTGCGTGTAAGGCTGACTCCAACCCTCCATCAGCCATCAAGCTGCCCACCAGAAGATCAATCACCAATCGATGACCTGGACTTATGTTCACTTCATTGCCTGAAACTGAAATAGAAAGTCTGTGCCAATTTGAGTGAAACGCCATCCCCTCCCAGCACCCTGACCCATGCCCTCTCCTGTTCCTTCCCCGAGCCCACCTCCACAGGACAGGAGAGCAGAGTGCCCGGGCCTGCTTCTCAGCGGTGGGCAACAGCATGGACCAGCCGCTCTGCAGCATGGCCTGGGAGGCCGACTGCACGGTGCTCAGCACGTCTGCGCTGCTTGCCAGGGTCACCACCTTCTGCTTCAGGCTGTTCAGGAAGACGCTGCCCAGACCTAAACCAAGGAATTCCAGGTCAACCTGGTGACTAATGGCAGCATGCAACTGAAAGGAGAAAAACAATTTTCACTTAGAACCCCTAAAAATGAGTGAATTTCAAAGTCTTATTAAACACTGAATAAAAGTCAATTTGAAGTATTATTTAAATAGACAAAATAACTTCTCAGTTTACGTATTTTTAAAAACTGGACTAAAAAAACTCTTACCCACAATAGTTGAAATATTTTCTAGAGGAATTTTTTTTAACCCCGCTATGAACATATATATGGAAAAGCTCAAGATGAGCAGAAGAGCTAAACAACTAGCAACAGCAACCTCCACCCCGCCCCAACAATCTGCACCAAACACAGAAATAATGGCTACAATGTAACCACAAAAGCTGCCACAGGCGGTGGCTCATGCCTGTCATCCCAGCACTTTGGGAGGCCGACGGGAAAGCTCACTTGAGATCAGGAGTTCAAGATCAGCCTGGCCAACATGATGAAACCCCATCTCTATAAAAAAATCAGCCGGGTGTGATGGTACACACCTGTAGTCCCAGCTACTTGGGAGGCTGAGGCAGGAGAATCACTGGAACCTGGCAGGCCAAGACTGTACCACTGCATTCCAGCCTGGGTGACAAAGTGACACCCTGTCTAAAAAAAAAAAAGAGCTGCTAAAAATTAGACTGCGGAGCTGAGAGTACACAGGGAAACTCCTCAAGTGCAAAACCAAAATTCACATGGGCACACACAGCA
Source organism: Homo sapiens (assembly GCF_000001405.40). NCBI lineage: Eukaryota > Metazoa > Chordata > Mammalia > Primates > Hominidae > Homo > Homo sapiens. The sequence continues at coordinate 581,140 of NT_187660.1, read as the reverse complement.
GGAGTCAAGAGGTTCCGGGCTCTGAAAGCAGAGCCAAGCCGCCAGGCTTCAGCACAACCTCCCACACGGGAATGCACACAAGGACCCACTGAACCCGAGCTTCCTGCAGAAGGCTGGGAGCCACTCAGGATCACCTGCCTGCCAGCCAACCGCAGCCAGGGGGCAACACACTGCCCGTCCCAGGCTCTGGGTAGCAAGAGGCCCCATGAGAAATCAGAGACCCGGCCTTGCCCTGTGAGTAGAAGTGAAATCAAAAGCACACCACTCATCTAGGTATAGATATCACAGGTCAGGAAATGACCACCGAAACTCACCTGGAGTCTGTGAAACCTACAGAACCCTCAGGACCCCGGAGAGGCAAATGCAAAACCATACGCTGGGACACCTCGACAGCCTAAGACATACGCAAGGCCACGCCCCACAGCACTGACCAGAACAGACACATCACCGCAAACCAGGAGGGGCAGCAAACACCTGGGGCGCAACCACGCAAACGCCAGGATGCCACAGGTATGGTGATAAATGAGTGCTACAGAGGACTAGAGGAGAAGCATGCTCCAGACCTCTGCTCAGTTCATTACTGCAACTAAACACTACACTCAGTTCTGTACATTCTAGAAGCAGGGCAAAAAGGGGAGGGGCTGGAAGAGGGACATGACGGGTTGTTACAAGAAACCACTGTAATAAAAGGGAAAAATTACTATGTCGAGAAAACCGTGGTTCTTGTCATTAAGTTAGAGGGTTTTATTACAAAGACAAAAGATGATGATCAAACACTTCAGCTTTAGTTTTGCTAGGGAGGAAGGCTTTTGTAGCTTTTATTGTGACCCTAACCACAGCCTTCATGGTGAGGAAAGGAAGGTATTGCTTTGGGAGCCGAGCTTACTGAGTAGATCAAGCTTGTTCAACCCACGGCCCGAGGGCAGCATGTGGCCCAGGGCAGCTTTGAATGTGGCCCAAAGTAAAATTTCTTAAAACATCATGAGATATTTTTGGGATTTTTTTTTTAAGCTCATCAGCTATCATAAGTGTATTTTATGTGTAGCCCAAGACAATTCTTCTTCCAGTGTGGCCCAGGGAAACCAAAAGACTGGACCCTCCTGGAGCAGGGTTTTCACAGGACAGAGGAGAGACAGGCCAGCACTGGTCTCTCAGCTGAGCTCTGTCTCTCTCCATCACCTGTGATCTCACCCAGTCATTTCTCCACACGCACCAACAGTAAAACAGTAAGAATACCAACAAACTAATGATTATAGCAAAAATAACACAATCCATATACACTCTTCCTGCATGCCGAGGCTGACTTCCAGGACAAACATAAAATAAACAGATCAAGTTTTTTAAGCCTTGCGTCCATTATTAGTGCATTACAATCTTACTTTAAAATACTTCCCCCAACAGGCTAAAACCTATGTCCTTCAGAATACATAAACCTTCTTACAAATCGCTAAGACACTTATAAAAGGAGCAAGAGGAAGGGAAATCACGAATACCTGAAGTCGGGGAAGATTCAACGTTGCCACGGCCACGCACTCTTTCTCCTGGGGCGGGGGCCAGTCCGCGGAGCCATCCATCCCCTCACTCACCTGCCGAAGCAGGAGATCCAGCTGCTCAAAAGTCACTGAGCAAATATCCACCCCAAAAGGGACATGGAGGCCAATGGACCACTCAGAACACGATGACCAAGCAATGCTCTAAGAGGAAACGCAACAATCGGAAATGAATCTCCAAATGCAGCTCTTGGTCTGTCGCACAGGAGTCACCAGCTTGTGTGATGGAGCTGCCTTATATTATTACCTATCATCCCTCTAACTGCCCAGTGGAAAAGCATTCATGGGTGTCTAGCTCACACACTATCAGCTTCCAATTCTCCCACCCATTTCACTAGCCCCATCTCACTTGGCCATACCTAAAAAAGTAAAAACATTTTAAAAAATCTTTTCACTCTCAAAATGATTAATGCACATTAATGGATGGCAGTGAGGCTCTCCATCCACTTGAAGTGGTATAATAGCAACTCTAACTAGACAATGAATTGTTAGACACATATAACACACACAATACCTTTCATAGTGAGAGAACAAGTAATCGGCAAAAATCTAGGAGAACTGTAGAACACCTTCAATAAACTGGATCTAATTTATAGAACACTTCACCCAACAACAGCAAAATACATATACTTTTTTTTTTTTTTTTTGAGACAGAGTCTCGCTCTGTCGCCCAGGCTAGAGTGCAGTGGCGGGATCTCAGCCCACTGCAAGCTCTGCCTCCTGGGTTCACGCCATTCTCCTACCTCAGCCTCCTGAGTAGCTGGGACTACAGGTGCTCACCACCACGCCTGGCTAATTATTATTATTTTTTTAATTTTTATTTTTAGTGGAGATGGGGTTTCACCATGTCAGCCAGGATGGTCTTGATCTCCTGACCTCGTGATCCACCTGCCTTGGCCTCCCAAAGTGCTGGGATTACAGGCGTGAGCCACCGTGCCCGGCCATACATACACTTTACATATACTTTTTTTAAATTTTATTTTTTTTGAGATGGAGTCTAGCTCTGTCGCCCAGGCTGGAGTGCAGTCGCACGATCTCAGTTCACTGCAAGCTCTGCTTCCCAGGCTCAAGCCAGTCTCCTGCCTCAGCCTCCCAAGTAGCTGGGACTACAGGCGCCCGCCATCATGCCCGGGTAATTTTTTTTGTATTTTTAGTAGAGACGGAGTTTCACCCTGTTAGCCAGGATGGTCTCGATCTCCTGACCTTGTGATCTGCCTGCCTTGGCCTCCCAAAGTGCTGGACCATACATATACTTTTTAAGCACATACAGACCATACATATACTTTTTACACATATATGTATACATATATGTATATACAGACCATACATATACAGACCATACATATACTTTTTAAGCACATACAGAATGTTCACTGAGAACATAACCTGACACATAAATCTTAACAAATTTAAAAGAAATGAAATCATATGCAGTTTGTTCTCCAATCACAATGGTATTAAACTAGAAATCATTAACAAAACAATCTGCAAACACTTCAAAATAAAACAACATACTTAATAATCCATGGGTCAGGCCGGGCGCACTGGCTCACGCGTGTAATCCCAACACTGTGGGAGGCCAAGTTGGGGGGATCACCTGAGGCCAGGAGTTGAAGATCAGCCTGGCCAACATGGAGAAACCCCATCTCTACTGAAAATACAAAACAATTAGCCGGGCATGGTGGCGGGTGCCCGTAGTCCCAGCTAATCAGGAGGCTGAGGCAGGAGAATCGCTTGAACCCAGGAGACAGAGGTTGCAGTGAGCCGAGATCATGTCATTGCACTCCAGCCTGGGCAACAACAGTGAAACTCCGTATTGAAGAAAAATAATAATAATAATAATCATCATCATCATCCATGGGTCAAAGAACAATTCTCAAAAGAAATTAGAAAATATTTTGAACATAAATGAAAATGCACCAAAATTTGTGGGTTTAATTAAAGCACTGCTTAGAGGAAAATTTATAGCATCAAATCATTATATATTACAAAAAAGATAGGTCTAAATCAGCAATCTAAGTTTCCACCTTAAGAAACCAGAAAAAGAGCAAAGTGAACGCAAAACAAGCCAAAGGAACAAATGCCAAGATAAAAGCAGAAACTAATGAGATTGAAAGCAAAAAAAGAAGGGAAAAATTAATGAAACTTAAAGATCATTCTTTGAAAAGATCAACAAAATTGAAAAACTCTAGGAAAACTGACAAAGAAAAAAACAGAAAAGATACAAATTATCAGTATCAGGAATGAATGAAGGGACATCACTGCAGGCCCCACAGACTTCAGACGGTTAGCAAGAGAACACTAAGGAAAACTTGACACTTAAAAATCAGACAACTTAGATGAAATAAAGCAATGTCCGAGTGCCACAAACCAGGAAAATCCTCCTAGAAACAAACAGGTTACCTGAATAGTTCTGTATCTGTTAAATAAATTGAATTTGTAAAAAATTTTTTTTTTTTTTTGAGCCGGAGTCTCACTCTGTCACCCAGGCTGGAGTGCATTGGTGCAATCTCAGCTCTCTGCAATCTCTGCCTCCTAGGTTCAAGTGATTCTCCTGCCTTAGCCTCCTGAGTAGCTGGGATTACAGGCGCACGCCACCAAGCTCGACTAATTTTTTGTATTTTTAGTAGAAACGGGGTTTCACCATGTTAGCCAGGCTGGTCTCAAACTCCTGACCTCAGGTGATCCACCTGCCTCAGCCTCCCAACGTGCTGGGATTATAGGCACGAGCCACCGTGCCCGGCGTAAAATCTTTTAGAAAGAAATCTCCAGGTTCAGATGGATTCAAAAACATTTAAAGAAGAAATAACACTAATTCTACACAATCCCTTAGAGAAAATGGAAAAGGAGGGAACACATGCCAATACTTTGTATAAGGTCAGCTTTCCCCTGACAGAAAGCCAGACGAGATAGTATAATACAAAGAAAGAAAACTGCAAACCAACATCCCTGATGAGCATCAACAGAAAAATCCTCAAAAACGTGTTAGCAAGTCAAATTTAGCAATATAGAAACAGAATAGGGCCGGGCGCAGTGGCTCACGCCTGTAATCATAGGAATATTGGGATGCCAAGGAGGGTGGATCACTTGAGGTCAGGAGTTGGAGACCAGGCTGGCCAACATGGTGAAACCCCATCTCTACTAAAAACAAACAACAAACAAACAAAATTAGCCAGGTGTGGTGGTGCACACCTCTAATCCCAGCTACTCAGGAAGCTGAGGCAGGAGAATTGCTTGAACCCAGGAGGCAGAGGTTGCAGAGAGCTGAGATTGCACCAATGCACTCCAGCCTGGGTGACAGAGTGAGATTCTGTCTCAAAAAAAAAAAAAAAAGAAAGAAAGAGAGTAGTAAATCGTGGCCAAGTGATGCCTATCCCAGTAACACAAGGCTTGGTCAGTATTTAAAAATCAGGCTGGTATAGTGTCTCACACCTGTAATCCCAGCACTTTGGGAGCTCACTGCAACCTCAAACTCTTAAGCTCAAGCAATCCTCCTGCCTCAGCCTCCTGAGTAGCTGAGACTACAGGTGCACACCAGCATGCCACGCTAATTTTTAATTTTTTTGTAGAGATGGGATCTCGCTGTGTTGCCCAAGCTGGTCTCTAACTCCTGGGCTCAAGTGACCCTCTCGCCTATGCCTCCCGAAGTGCTGGTGTGAGCTGTTGCACCCAGCCAAAATACGGCAGATTTGTAGTACCCCAGAAGGCTCCTTCCTGACCTACACTTTCCCACAAAGGAAACTACCCTTCTGACTTCAATCATCGTCAGTTCTGCCTTCCTGCGCTTCATCTAGGTGGGCTGGTACTGTGCACTGTCTCTCATACCTGGCTCCCTCTATTCACCCATGTCGTTGAGTGTTCCTACCACTTCATTTTTCTTTTTTGGCTGTGTAGTATTCCATGATGTGACTGTATCACCATTTATTCACTCTCCTGTTGATGGACATTTAGGTTGTTTTCATTTGGGGCTCTTATGAATAAAAATGGCAGTGAACATTCTTATATAAGTCTTTTTGTGGACATATGCACTCGTTTCTCTTGTGTACATGCTTAGGATGGAATTTCTGAAGGTAGGCATAGATATAGCTTTAGTAGAAGCTGCCAAACAGGTTTCCAATGTGCTTATACAATTTTATGCTACTGCCAGCTTGACAGTTCTTGTAGCTCTACATCTTTACCAATACTCTGTATAACACAGCATTTAACTTTAAATAGAGATAAAACGATGGTAAGATCCAAAGAAGTGTGCATGTTCCTGAAGAACATCCCGTAAAGGGCCTATTTTATTCATCTGTTTCGGGCACTGAAAACCACTGCATGGCTGGATGAGGAAGGAGGCCTGGTACAACTCCCAAGAAGGCATGTGTCCCTCGGGTGGGCTTTGTTTCCCAGAAACTCTGGGGAAGGGGTGGAGAGGCACCTTCTGGGCCAGCTGGTCTCCTCTGGCTTTTCTTGTACCCTAGGGCTCCCTCCAAAGAGACAGAGAACAGCCTGGCCGGGGAGCAGTATCTCCTACTGCGCTTGCTGTGAGCCAGCCACTCTGCCTTCTTTCAGGAATTACAAAATCCACAGGTCCCCGGCATTCTTATTTATGTATTTATTCATTTATGAGGCATGGTTTTCCTCAGCTCTGTTGGATGGGTCTCTGTGAAGGGAGCTTGGTGGGGGCGAGTGGCCGCTCCCTGGAGGAGGCAGGCCCCTGGTCAGGATCTTTGGGGCTCCAGGTCTCATAAGTGGGGGGCCAGGCTCCCTAGAGAAACCCTTCTTGGCTAGGGCTGGGGAGCCCACCAGAGTGACCCAATCAGTTCTCAGGGCCTGTGATGGGGCCAAGTGGTTTTGAGAAGCCAGTGTTCAGCTCCATCCTAAAGAGCACTCATGCACGTTGAGGAGGAGGGCCGGGGTGCACAGCTCTGACCTGAGTCAGACCCACCTCAGGACTTAGCCCAGCAGGAGGCCCAGAGTCACTGACCATAAAACGAGCAGATGCCTCCCCCGTGCTGATGGAGATGAGTCTTGGGCATCAACTCTAATAATTTCTAACTGCACCCAGAAATACTGATTCACACAGCAACTAGTGAATAATAGCCTTTTAGAGCTAAAAAAGCCTCATATATTATAAATTAACATATGCATTTTACACAAACTAGAGGCACCGTGGTGGGCCAGCAGCAGCCTGTTCAGGGGCCACAACAAGGGAGATTGGATTTCCTTAAGTGCAATGGGAGTTACTGGCAAGGCTTTAAGGTTTTAGCCACAGGAAAGATGAAAGTATTTTAGAGCAATGTGGGTGGATTCAAAGTGAGGTTTTGAACTAGATCAGTTTTTTTTTTTTTTTTTTTTAGACAGAGTCTGACTCTTATTGCCCAGGCTGGAGTGCAGTGGTGCTATCTTGGCTCACTGCAACCTCTGCCACCCAGGTTCAAGCAATTCTCCTGCCTCAGCCTCCTGAATAGCTGGGATTACAGGCACCTGCCACCAAGCCCGGCAAATTTTTGTATTTTTACGGGGTTTCACCATCTTGGCCAGGCAGTTCTTGAACTCCTGACCTCGTGATCCACCTGCCTTGGCATCCCAAAGTATTAATTTTTTTTTTTTTTTTTGAGACGAAGTCTTGCTGTGTCGCCCAGGCTGGAGTGCAGTGGCCCGATGTCGGCTCACTGCAAGCTCCGCCTCCCAGGTTCACGCCAGTCTCCTGACTCAGCCTCCCGAGTAGCTGGGACTACAGGCGCCCGCCACGATGCCCAGCTAATTTTTTGTATTTTTTTTAGTAGAGATGGGGTTTCACCGTGTTAGCCAGGGTGGTCTCAATCTCCTGACTTCCTGATCTGTCCGCCTTGGCCTCCCAAAGTGCTGGGATTACAGGGGTAAGCCACCACGCCCCTCCAAGTATTAAATTTTTTATTTAAAAAATCTCCCCTCTCCAAAGATCTCCCAGCATTTCTGCAGAGGTCTCTACCTAGGTAAGGAGAAGAAACTATTCTTGGCCGGGTACAGTGGCTCACGCCTGTAATACCAGCACTTTGGAAAGCCAAGGTTGGAGGATTCCTTGATCCCAGAAGTTCGAGACCAGCCTGGCCAACATGGTGAAACCCCATCTTTACCAAAAATACAAAAATTAGGTGGGTGTGGTGGAGTGTGCCTGTAGTCCCAGCTACTCAGGAGGCTGAGGTAGAAGGATCGCTTGGGCCTGGGAGGTCAAGGCTGCAGTGAACCAAGGTGGTGCCACTGCACTCCAGCCTGGGTAACAGAGTGAGATCCTGTCTCAAAAAAAAAAAATTATTTGTGAGGGTGAAATTTAAATACCTTTGTGCATAGCTATCAGTTATTCTTTGTTTTAATATTTAGTTTATTGTGAAATATAACACATATAGAAACATACATAAAACAACACACAGGGCCAGGCCCGGTGGGTCACGCCTTGTAATCCCAGCACTTTGGGAGGCCGAGGCGGGCGGATTACTTGAGGTGAGGAGTTTGAGACCAGCCTGGCCAACATGGTGAAACCCCATCTCTACTAAAAATACAAAAATTAGTCGGATGTGGTGGTGCATGCCTGTAATCCCAGCTACTTGGGAGGCTGAGGCAGGAGAATCGCTTGAACCTGGGAGGCAGAAGTTACAGTGAACCAAGATCGCGCTACTGCACTCCAGCCTGGGCAACGGAGTCAGACTGTGTCTAAAAAAAAAGAAAAAAAATATAGGCTGGGTGTGGTGGCTCACGCCTGTAATCCCAGCACTTTGGGAGGCCGAGGCGGGCAGATCCCTTGAGGTCAGGAGTTCGAGACCAGCCTGACCAACATGGAGAAACCCCATCCCTACTAAAAGTACAAAATTAGCCGGGCATGGTGTTGCATGACTGAAATCCCAGCTACTTTGGAGGCTGAGGCAGGAGAATCGCTTGAATCTGGGAGGTAGAGGTTGTTTTGAGCTGAGATCACGCCATTGTACTCCAGCCTGGGCAACAAGAGCGAAACTCCGTCTCAAACAAACAAAAAACAAAACAAAAACAAAAAACACAGTGTAACATGTTATTATAAAGTCACTGCTCAGGGACCAACTTGGCCGGTCCTGTGCCTCTAGAGGGAAGCTCCTTCCCACTGTTCTTTAGAGTTTTATATGTTAAGTACAGGAGTCAACAAACTAGGCCTATGCACCACATCTGGCACCCAGCCTTTATTTATTTTTTGAGATGGCGTCTCACTCTGTCACCCTGGCTGCAGTGTGGTAGCACAATCTCGGCTCACTGCAAACTCCACCTCCCAGATTCAAGCAATTCTCCTGCCTCAGCCTCCTGAGTAGCTGGGATTACAGGTGTGTGCCACCACACCCGGCTAATTTTTATATTTTTGGTAGAGACGGGGTTTCACCATGTTGGTCAGTCTGGTCTCGAACTCCTGACGTCAGGTGATCCGCCTGCGTTGCCCTCTCAAAGTGCTGGGATTACAGGCATGAGGCATGATGCCTGACCCAGCCTTTTTTAAAATGAAGGTTTCGGCTGGCGCGGTGGCTCACGTCTGTAGTCCCAGCATTTTGGGAGGCCAAGGCAGGTGGATCACCTGAGGTCAGTAGTTGGAGACCACCCTGGCCAACATGGTGAAACCCCGTCTGTACCAAAATACAAAAATTAGCTGGGCGTGATGGCAGGCACATGTAATGCCAGCTACTCGGGAGCCTGAGGCACGACAATCACTTGAACCCGGGAGGCGGAGGTTGCAGTGAGCCAAGATCACACGATTGCACTCCAGCCTGGGCAACGAGCGAAACTCCATCTCAAAATACAATAATAAAAAAAAGGATGTCCTTTTTTGTCTCTCAACCCCGTTTTTTATTTTTTTTTATTTTCAGACAGGGTCTCGCTCTGTTGCCCAGGGTGGAGTGCAGGGGCCCGATCTTAGCTCACTGCGGCCTCAACTTCCCCAGCTCACATGATCCTCCCACCTCAGCCTCCCAAATAGCTGGGACCACAGGTGGGTACCACCATGCCCGCCTAATTTTTGTATTTTTTGTAGAGATGGGATTATGCCATGTTGCTCAGGCTGATCTCGAACTTCTGGGCTCAAGTGTCTCTCTGCCTCCACCTCCCAAAGTGCTGGGATTGCAGGCCTGAGCTACCATGCCCAGCCCTGCTTTAATTTAAAGTGTATTACATTTGATATTAGTACAGCCCCTTCAGCTCTTTTTTGGTTACTATTTTAATTGTATCTTTGTATCCCTTTACTTTCAATCTGTTTCTGTATTTAAAATGTTTATCTTGTAGATAGCACATTGGTGGATCATATTTTGTTCTTCAATCCTTTCAGCCAGTCTGCTTTTCTTTCTTTCTTTTTGAGACAGAGTTTTCCTTTTGTCACCCAGGCTGGAGCGCTATGGTGCGATCTCAGCTCACTGCAACCTCTGCCTCCTGGGTTCAAGCGATTCTCCAGCCTCAGCCTCCTGAGTAGCTGGGATTACAGGTGCGTGCCACCAGGCCTGACTAATTTTTGTATTTTTAGTAGAGACAGGGGTTTCTTCATGTCGGTCAGGCTGGTCTTGAACTCCTCACCTCAGGTGATCCACCGCCTCAGCCTCCCAAAGTGCAGGCATTACACGCGTAAACCACTGCGCCCGGCCAAAGTGGTGGATTTTTTTTCTCAGAAAATCTATTCCATTCTTTTTCCAGAAACCAAATTTGTACAAGTTAACTAAAATAAATATTTATACTCTAATTTTTTTGTTCTGAGGTCTGAGTTTTTAGAATTTTATCTTTACATGTTTAGAAAAATTAGAAAATATAGATAGAACATAACCAAGAAAATAATAACAACTTTCCTTCTGTTCAAAGTTCATTACTATTAGCCGAGTGCAGTGACTCACACCTGTAATCCTAGCACTTTGGGAGACTGAGGCGGGCGGATCACTTGAGCCCAGGAGTTCGAGACCAGCCTGGGCAACATGGCAAAATCCCGTCTACAAAAACTACAAAAATTAGCCAGGTGTGGTTCCATGTGCCTGCAGTCCCAGCTAGTGGCAAGGCTGAGGTGGAGAACCACCTGAACCCGGTAAGTCAAGGCTGCAGTGGTGCAGCCTCTGTCCCCCAGGCTGGAGTGCAGTGGTGCAATGTCGGCTCACTGCAACCTCCGCCTCCCGGGTTCAAGCGATTCTCCTGCCTCGGCCTCCCGAGTAGCTGGGATTACAGTCACGTGCCACCACACCTGGCTAATCTTTGTATTTTCAGTAGAGAAGGGGTCTCATCATGTTGGCCAGGCTGGTTTTGAACTCCTGACCTCAGATGATCCACCTGCTCTGGCCTCCCAAAGTGCTGGGATTACAGGCCTGAGCCACCACGCCCGGCCGTTATTTTTCTTTCTTAGAGGCAGGATCTCACTCTGTCGCCCAGGCTGGAGTGCAGTGGCACGATCTAAGCTCACTGTAGCATTGATCTCCCAGGCTCAGGCGATTCTCCTGTCTCAGCCTCCCGAGCAGCTGGGATCACAGGTGTGTGCCACCACACCTGGCTAATTGTTAAATTTTTTTATTTTTATTTTTTAGAGATGGGGTCTTGCTATGTTGCCCAGTCTGGCAACATGGGATCCTCCAACTCCTGGCTTCGAGGGATCCTCCCGCTTCGGCCTCCCAAAGCGCTGAGAATTACATACGTGAGCCACCACGCCCGGCCTATATTGTTTTATAGTTCTTCAATTTTGTTTTGTGGTCGCTGGAGGTGTTTCCTTCTTCGATTCCCTGCACAGTGCTTCCACAGCTGCTCCATGGAATCTGCCCAAGACTTTTGCTGCGTTCAGTTGAACACACAGGAGGAAGCTCTTCAGGCCCCAGCCAGCCGACCGCACAAAGATGCGTTCTCATACCCAGGGGAGCTGGTCTCGCCACTCGACCCGCGCCCTGGATAGCTATAGTTAGTGTGAGCGCCACCACCCGCCGCGGCGTGATCAAGAGCGCTCCGGGCCAAGCAGTCTCCCGTGGGAGTGCGGGAGTGCGTGCGTGCGGCGGAAATCCCGCCTTCCGGCGCCCGCTGTTGGCCTTGGCCGCAGCCAGGGCGCTCCAAGTAGGAAGATAAGCGGGATTGCTGGAAGCGGGAGAGTCGGGAGGAGCGGCGAAGGGCTCCTCTTCCCCATTGGCTGCGCCCACGGAGCAGCCTCGTTGCGATTGGCCGTACGCGGGGGGCGGCAGTCCCGCGTCGGCCCGCCCCTCGGGCCGCGAGAGGCGCCGGGATCGCGGGCGCCGGCTGAGCCAGCGGCTCTTGGGAGGCTGCGTCCGCGCGCCGGCGAGGCGAGGCGGCCGGGCCCTGCGCGTCAGGTCCTGGCCTGGGGCACCTGGGCGGCCGGTGGCGGGGGCGGTACGGGCGCGGGGCTGGCGGGCGGCCGAGCCCGGGAGGCGGGCGTGGGCGCGGCGGCCGCACCGGGGCCTGCGCGGACCACCCGCGGGGCAGCCTCGGGCCTCTCTCCATCTCTTAAGTGGTGGTGGCTGTGGGTTTTTCTGCAGGCGATCCTTTTGAGTAATTTTTTGTTTCACGCACGCGCCCTGCTGTGGGGTAAAGCGGCAGATTCATGCTGCTGTCATTTGTCGTTAAAACGATGGGCTCCCTGTTATGTGTGTGTACTTCTTGGATTTGAGGGCAGGGGGATGACATTGTGACTTGGCTTCCTGTGACCGTCCATTCTCAAGGTCTCGTCAGCGTGGTGCAGAAACTCGGCACACCCTGCCTACCTTGGAAGGAGGCTTTCCCTTCCCCACCTCCCTCTCCCTCCATCTCTTCCCTCTTTCCCTCTCTCCCTTTCTCTCCCCTCCACCAGCTCTTCTCTCCCCCCTTTCTGTTCTCTCTCTCTTTTTTCTTTTCTGGCTTTCGGGAGTGTCTTTGTAAACTATTAAAAAGCGTTAGGTCTTCAGCGTATGTGTTTACTTGCAGGCCTGAGACCTGGGAGGAAGCTGGAGAAAAGATGCCCTCTGAATCTTTCTGTTTGGCTGCCCAGGCTCGCCTCGACTCCAAATGGTTGAAAACAGATATACAGGTGGGGTTTGACATGTCTTTTTCTTGGTGTGTTTCTGCTTCCATGTTTAAATTTCTCGTGTAAGGCTTTTTTTTAGGGTATGTAAGGGGAAGTCAGTTGTATCTTGCTGAATTAGAGGAGCAGGTTTATTTCCTGTAACTTAAAATGTAACAGTCTTTATGGCTGTTTTTGTAGATCGTGCGCGGCTGCCTTTTAATTAGTTTCTTGCAAGTGCACGAAACTTGAGATCTATTAATAGGCAAAATTTTTTTCCTATTTATTATTACTGGTTAAGAAATCTGCCACACTCCTAACCATATCATGGTGACTGTTGTTTGTTACTGATCGTTTTTGAGCTGTTGAGTTAACTGTGGAGGGGAAAATTGGAGAAGTAAGTTGCAGTAATTATGGCCTATAGAAACTCACTCATTTTATGAGGTCTTGTGTTTGTGTTTCTGGAGAGACAAGAGTTAGTTCAGTTGAGCTGTTTGTTTTGTCTTTGTAACTCCTTATTAAGAGGAGTGCTCAGATTTTCACATCAAGAATGTGAGGAAACAATGTTGGCCTTAGATCCTAATTTTTTGATTTAATGAGATAACTGCAAGCTTGTCAGGACATTATTAAATAAATAATAACTAATATTTCGATAGACAATTATTTACACCCAATCTACTTTTATTTGGAAATGGCTTGGAAAAACTACTTTTGGAACTCCTTATCAGCAGCAAAAAGAAGTGTTTGAAATATTTTGTGTGTGTCTGTATTTTCCTACTCCCTAAGGTTAACCATTTTAAGTATTAAGTAATGTGCCTTGACTGTTCATCAAAAGTCGTGTAGGCTGTTAAGCAGTAGTTGATCATGGATACTTACACTGAAGTGTTATTGCCCCTTCCTAATTTTTTTTTTCTTTTTAAACAGGTATTGAGTGTTGGTAGATATGAGAGTCCAGTGTTTAGAGCTGTGTTGCGTGGCCGGGCGCAGTGGCTCACGCCTGTAATCCCGGCAGTTTGGGAGGCCGAGGCGGGTGGATGCCCTGAGGTCAGGAGTTGGAGACCAGCCTGACCAACATGGTGAAACCCCGTCTCTACTAAAAATACAAAATTAGCCAGGCGTGGTGGTGTATGCCTGTAATCCCAGCCACTCGGGAGGCTGAGGCAGGAGAATCGCTTGAACCCGGGAGGTGGAGGTTGCAATGGGTCAAGATCATGCCATTGCACTCCAGCCTGGACAATGAGAGCAAAACTGTTTCAAAAAAAAAAAAGCTGTTGTGGATGATGGGATTGTTATTCATAGTGTAATGTTACATAAGACAGAGTACAGAGAATTGGGTCAAGAATTGGTGTAGTTACTCTTTGGGTTTGTTTCTCTTTAAACATTTCCTTTGATTTAGCTATAATGATCTGTTTTGTCATTTTAAGTGGATGGGAGAGGTGAGAGATGAGTACTTTCATATTTCTGAAATCCTGAGATTCAGGCAAAGTTTTAATAATTGTTTTATATTAGTGTTTATGTATTTTGAGAAACTTTTTGGAGTAAAGGACTTTACGTAATAAAGTGTTTTTCTTAATAATTGTAATTTAATAACTGCTAAACATGAGTTCTAGTGTCTTGATCTAAAACCAGTTTAATGCTGAATTGAGTTCCTATGATGGGTTGGGCAGATAAACATACAGTGAAGCACCATTTATATCTTAGAGGGCCTGTTGTTTTGATTTATTAAGTTTAATACACAGTACTTGGTCCTTGTTACACATTTCCAATATGATTAGAAAGTCTTTTTTTTTTTTTTTTTTTTTTTGAGACGGAGTCTTGCTCTGTCGCCCAGGCTGGCGTGCAGTGGCGCAATCTTGGCTCACTGCAACTTCCGCCTCCCGAATGCAAGTGATTCTCCCGCCTCAGCCTTCCGAGTAGCTGGGATTACAAGTGTGTGCCACCATGCATGCCCGACTAATTTTTGTATTTTTAGTAGAGATGGGGTTTCACTGTGTTGGCCTGGCTGGTCTCCTGACCTCAAAGCGATCTGCCTGCCTCGGCCTCCCAAATTGCTGGGATTACAGGCGTGAGCCACTGCACCTGGCCAAAAAAAAAGTCATCTAAATTCCTCCTAGGAGTAAGGGAAATGACTAGGTTTTGGATAGTGTGCACCAGAGGAAAAATGTGTTACAGGTCTAAGTAGCATGAAAAAAGTGATTGCTAAGCTTTGTTTTATGTTCCACCAGCATTGGTTGTTAAACACAAGGAATGAATGGTGGTGTTTTACCGTAAGGAATAAGACATGGTTTCCCTCTTTGGGGAGCTTCCCTGCAGACAGGAATTGCAGATGGAAGCCTTGTGCTCACAGGTTTTACCCTTATCTTGTTGAGGATGGCTCTCCCAGCTGGAGTGGGAAGCGCTTCACTGCTTGAGACTTTTGTATTGGAAACAGAATTGACACCTGGGTAATGAATAATACATGGGATAGGAAGATGTTTCTTAGCCATAGGATTTAACCGATCTGTTTTCCACAGCTGTTTTTGTTTGAAATGCCCTTAAAAGTTTTAGTAACTTTAGAAAGGAAGAGTTTTTGGAGTGTGAAAACTTATAATGCTTGTGTGTTATAGAGAGCACTTATTGACTTCTTTATCATAGACATTATTTGGATACGTCAGGCCTAGGGCCCTACATCCAGCAACCTCTAATGCAGGGCTCATTTTATGCCAGGCATATATATGTGGTTATTACATATAAACAGTTTAATTGTACAATACTTTTTTTTTTTTGAGATGGAGTCTGACTCTGTCTCCCAGGCTGGAGTGCAGTGGTGCCATCTTGGCTCACTGCAAGCCTCCTGGGTTCATGCCATTCTCCTGCCTCAGCCTCCCGAGTAGCTGGGACTACGGGTGTCCACCACCACGCCTGGCTAATTTTGTGTACTTTTAGTAGAGACAGGGCTCCACCATGTGGGCCAGGTTGGTTTTGAACTCCTGACCTCAAGTGATCCACCCGTCTCGGCCTCCGGAAGTGCTGGGATTATAGGCGTGAGCCACCGCGCCCGGCCTGTTCAACACTTTTCTGCTTGGTGTGTGGAGTGATTGAATCACCATGTTTTCCTTCACTGCTCTCGTAAAGAGTAATACGTTACAGAGCTAAGAGGTGTCAGTCACATCACTTTTTATTTTTACAGTGAAAGTACTTGTAATCTGATGTGATTGGTAGTTTTTTAGCAAACCAAAACGTCAGTTAAGCAAAGGAACTATAAAAAACAATATATGATACCTTAAAAGCTTTTTATTCTTAAAACACATGCCTGTTCGCCAGTTTTGTTGTAAGGTAAAGGCGCATGTCTTTGAGCATAAGTCCAGAATGGAGTTATCCTGCCCCTTCTTGCATAAGCTGCACTCAGATGAATTTCCTACAGTTTCTATTTTTGTGTTCTTTTTTAAGTGGCACATGAAATTAGATAGGCATGAAGCAATTTTTTAAAAAACTTTTTATTTTGAAATAATAATAGACTCTCAGGAAGTTGTAAAGAAACTAGAGAGGTCACTGTGTATTTGCGCATACTGCCCCAGTGGTTACATTTTATGTAATTATAATAGAGTATAAAAACCCAGAAATTGAAGTTGGTACAATGTGTGTGCGTAGTTCTGTGCCATTCTATCAAGGGTCTGTAAATGTAACTACTACTACAATTTCCTATGCAGAACTGTTTCATCACTACAAAGATGTCTCTCCTGCCTCTCTTCTGCCACCATCTCTAACTCCTGACAACCACTAATCTGTTCTCCATCTCTATAATTTTGTTACTGTGAGATTACCAAGTGATATGTGACCTTCGGAAATGATTTTCTTTACTCAGCATAATGCCCTCAGGTCCGTCAAGGTTTGTTGAGTATATCAGTAGCTAAACTGGGACCATTTATTTGTCTCTTCCTCTAATCATCAATTAAGAATGACTACGCATAAATGTAAGCTCTTAGAGTTAAGCTTATTGTATATAAATATTGTCACTTCGGCTGGGCGCGGTGGCTCACGCCTGTAATCACAGCACTTTGGGAGGCCGAGGAGGGCGGATCACTTGAGGTCAGGAGTTCAAAACCAGCCTGGCGCCCATGGTGAAACCCTGTCTCTACTAAAAATACAAAAGAGTCAGGCGTGGTAGTGTGCGCTTGTAATCCCAGCTACTTGGGAGGTTGAGGCAGGAGAAGTGCTTGAACCCAGGAGGTGGAGGTTGCAGTGAGCCGAGATCATGCCATTGCACTCCAGCCTGGCCAACACAGCAAGACTCCATCTCAAAAAAAAAAATTGTCACTTCATGCTTAGAAATATCAGTAGATGGCTACATGGCTGGGTGTGGTGGCTCAGCCTGTAATCCTAGCAGTTTGGGAGGCTGAGGTCAGGAGATCGAGGTCATCCTGGCCAACATGGTGAAACCCCATCTCTACTAAAAATACAAAAATTAGCTGGGTGTGGTGGCACGTGCCTGTAGTCCCAGCTACTCAGGAGGCTGAGGCAGGAGAATCGCTTGAACCCAGGAGGCGGAGGTTGTAGTGAGCCGAGATCGCGCCACTGCACTACAGCCTGGTGAGAGAGCGAGAATCCGTCTCAAAAAAAATAAAAACGATCAGTAGATAAAAAAAGTATAAACATGAGTATCTTGATAAATTCTGTTCTCAGGCTTTCAGGTTCATAATCCAGTTGATAGATGACATGTAGAAATAAAAGAATTTGTAAACATGGGAGTCTTCATTGACGTTTTTAGGACTGGATTCTAAGGGTGGTTTTTACCTCTAATATCCAAATACTGGTGCCTCAATAGAACAATTTTTGTTTTCAAAATTCCATGATAAAAAAGATGTAGTAACCCTGTATGTGACATTTTGTCAGGTTAATTGAGAGCATTTTGCAGCAAAAAAATTTTTTTTTGTAGAGGCAGGGTCTTTCTTTGTTGTCCGGGCTGGTCTAGAACACCTGCATTCAAGTGATCCTCCTGCCTTGGCCTCCCAAAGTGCTGTGATTACATGTATGAGCCACTGTGCCTGGCCTGGTGTTTTAAAGAACTAACTTTTAACTTTGGTTCTTGGAAAAGACTAGTAATACTAGTTATTAAAAAAAAAGGAAAAGGGTTTAGCCGTAGGACTTTGATGACAATTCCTTTTTTTTTTTTTTTTTTTTTTTTTGAGACAGAGTCTCACTCTGTTGCCCAGGTTGGAGTACAGTAGCAGTATCTCAGCTCACTGCAACCTCCACCTCCCAGGTTCAAGCCATTCTCATGCCTCAGCCTCCTAAGTGGCTGGAATTCCAAGTGTGCACCACCACACCCAGATAATTTTTTTTTTTTTTTAAACAGCGGAAGAGGTGATTTATTATATGGTTGTTACACTCGGCCACAAATAAACACAGAAATAGTCCAGAATGTCACAGGTCCAGGGCAGAGGACCAACATGGGCATTTTGTTTATGAGCAAGGTGGGTCTCAGAGGTGATCGGCGATCAGAGGGCGATGAAGTTCTAGATCCATTGAGACAAGCTCTAGACAGTAGCATGCAGTCCCACAACTTGTACCAGCATCCCCAGCGTCTGGCATTCCATGTTTCTGCTCCTGTGGCCTCCACAGTGCAACAAGCTAGCGGTTTACTTGGACCTCTGCCTCATCTTTCTTCTTTTGCGCTTCAGCCTGCGCATTCGCTTCTTCCTCCACTTGGCTCTCATGGCGCAGAGGTTTCCAAGAAAATGGCGCTAACGCCGAGAGCCAGATAATTTTTTATATTTTTAGTAGAGATGGGGTTTCACCATGTTGCCCAGGCTGGTCTTGAACTCCTGAGCTCGTGATCCACCTGCCTTGGCCTCCCAAAGTGCTGGGAGTACAAGCATGAACCGTGCCCGGCTGTTAATAGGATCTTTTAATTGCTTGACCCTATTAAAGGTAGTTATTTTAAAAGTGTGTTTATAAACCTTGTCCGACCCCATAGATTCCTTAGCCGCCTCTCTCTGTCCCTCTTGGTTGACTCATGCCTGTGAGCCGCCCTTCGGCTCCAGTCTCCGCTGTGATGTCACGCAAGAGAGTTGGAGTATGGCTTCCTGACTGCCTACCAAGGAGCCAGTGACACAGCCTGGAAGGTGTGGCGAGTGTGGGTGTGAATTCCCTGTGGTATGAACGTTCACCACTTTACAAGGAGAGATGAGGGAACTCAGTGTTTTTATTCCTCCCCTTTTTCTTTCCTCCTTGGACTATTTTATGGTGTAGTTTCTTCTTGCAGACCTTCTGGAAAAGCCACATGTGCCTAGTGAATGTGCTGGCTGAACAATTGGTTGTATTTGCAGCTCATTGAGAAGAGGTGGCAGTAACATAGGAGTCAGCACATTTTTTCTATAAAGCACCAGATAGTAAATGTTTATGTGGGCCGTACGTGCTCTTTTATAACAACTCACCTTGGCTATTGTCCTGCGAGAAGCTGCCAGATGTGTATGGCTATATTCCAGGAAAATTTGAATGTCAGATAATTTTCATGTGTTGACATATGATTTTTTTTTTTTTTTCCTGAGAGGGAGTCTTGCTCTGTTGCCCAGGCTGGAGTGCAGTGGCGCGATCTTGGCTCACTGCAACCTCCACCTCCTGGGTTTAAGCAATTCTCCTGCCTCAGACTCCGGAGTAGCTGGGATTACAGGCGTGTACCATCATTCCTGGCTAATTTTTTTTTTTGTATTTTTAGTAGAGACGGGGTTTCATCATGTTGGCCAGGCTGGTCTTGAACTCCTGACCTCATGATCCGCCCGCCTTGGCCTCCCAAAGTCTGAGATGACAGGTGTGAGCCACCGTGCTTGGCTGACATATGATTCTTTTGATTATGTTGCAACCATTGAAAAATATAAAATCACTTTTTAAATATATGTTTTTCTTTTTTTAGGAAATTAAAGGAAATAAGAATGGCTCCTACATAGGCAGAGTAGGCTAAAATCACACTTAGCTGACTGTGAAGTCATATACTGCATACCGTTGCTTCATTGATCTCCTTGTCTCACTTTCCCACTTCCCTCACCCCATTGTTCCGAGCTGACATCTGCTGAGCAGAGTGTTAACACTTTAGTTCATTCCTCAGGCTCTTCTTTCATGATAGAAGTCTTTATATTTCTGTTTTCAGGATCTACTCTTGGTCTGTTCTGTTGACTTCTATTTTTTTTTTCATTTTTCAATGATGTGGTCTTGTATCTTTGTCATTATTATATTTGCTTGACTTTCAGATATTGTATATGCAATATTGTAGCAATAAGTCGAGGCTCTGGGTAACAATAACTTCCCCCAGAGAGGATGTTCTAGGCAATCCCAGGTCACTGCAGTCCCTTTGGAAATTGAGAGAATGCGAAACTGGGCTGGTTTTCCGTAAAGGCTGGTCTACTTCTAACTCACCTGTATTTCTGGTGTGTGGCCCTTTGAGGTTCCAGCTCAGAGCATGGGGTCTGCCAGGCCTCTTTCTCCTGTGTGAGGGCCCTGGGAGTCTCTCAGAAGCTCCGTTTTGCTTCTCAGTCTCATCCCTGCTTGCTTAGGTTCTCTGGGCCTCTTTCTTCCTCTCGTGGGTCTCAGACTTTAGGAAGACCTCACTATCTTACTGCTTCTAGGATGTCTTCAAATCGACGTACTTAATGTTCCTGTCTGACCTTTCTAATTGTTCTAGGAACCTGTTCTTAACATTTTTTATATGTTGTCCTACGTTCAATAGATGTTTAGTATTTTTCTGTAGGTTTAAGAAAAAAAGCCATATACCTTTACTCATCTGCAAATATTTGAAGATTACTTTTCTGTCAAATTGTAAGGACATGAAAAAGAAACATTTTCTAACCTATACATTAATCAGATATTCATTTGTTATATTATTCAGTTTTGGATTTTATTGCCTGACTCTATAGTTCTGAAGTCACTTTAATAAATGCCTTAACGGGCTGGGTGCGGTGGCTCACGCCTGTAATCCCAGGCCGAGGCGGGTGGATCACAAGGTCAGGAGGTCGAGACCATCCAGGCTAACACGGTGAAACCCCGTCTCTACTAAAAATACACAAAAAATTAGCCGGGCGTGGTGGCGTGCGCCTGTAGTCCCAGCTACTCGGGAGGCTGAGGCAGGAGAATGGCATGAACCCGGGGAGCCAAGATGGCGCCACTGCACTCCAGCCTGGGCGACAGAGCAAGACTCTGTCTCAAAAAAAAAAAAAAAAAAAATGCCTTAACTGTTTGCTTGCCTAGTCCTGATTGGTATTAAAATATTGGTGGCCTATGTATGGGAGCGTGAAGGCTTGCCCTGGCTGCCGTGCTGCAGGTGTGGGTGCATGTTATGGTGTTGGTGGGAAGCGAATAAGCCTTGGAGTTGGGCCTCTTCCCAAATCCCACCTCTCACAGCCTCAGTGTTGTGTGGCCTTTGGTCAAGTCATTGGCCTTCTGAGCTTCAGTTTAGTAACTAACAAAAAGTGAGCCTGTTACTGCCTCTTTTGCTGGGGTCTTTTGACGATGAAAGTGCCTTTACTTGCCATGTCATTTCAGAGGTGTAAGATAGGAATGTGAGATTGGAAAAGATTGGAAAAGAGTTCTCAGCCCAAATAACCTAATTAGAAGCTTCTGGGATCTGAACCAAAAAAGTCAAAAGTTGAAAATCTACTGGGCACGTTTAGGTAAGTCAGCTACTAATAAAAAGCTAATTGGAGACAGTTGTAGAAATAAATACTCTCACTTTACAAATGGAAAGTCCCATTCATTTTTTTCTTTTTCTTTATTTTATTTTATTTTTTTTATGAATAGGGTCTCTGTCACCCAGGTTGGAATGCTGTGGTGTGATCAGAGCTTACTGTAACCTCAAACTCCTGGGTGCAGGTGACCGTCCTGCTGTAGCCTCCTGAGTAGCTGGGATTACAGGCACGTGCCATGCACTTGGGTAATTTTTACATTTCTGTAGAGACACGGTCTTACCATGTTGCCCAGGCTGATCTTGAACTCTTGGCCTCAAGCAGTTCTTCTGTCTTGGCCTCCCAAAGCTCTGGGATTACGGCGTGGGCCACCACGCCCTGCCTGTAGTCTCCATTCTTCTCAGTGCCACGGCTGTCTTCCAGTTGTTCCCAGGCTGCTGCTTCCTCAGTCAGGATCCTGTACTGTCTGTGATCTGGAGAGCTCTTCTCCTGGGCTTCACTTTTGCTTGTTCACAGTCTAACTCTCTGGAGACCTCCTCCAGTGAGGCTTGCTTTATTGCCTTAGTAATGTTCCACCTTTAAGGTGCCCAAATAGTTTTTTGAATGGTGCTTACCATTTATTTGGGTCATCAGTTCCTAGGAGGCTTCCACAGTGCATGTCCTTCCAGGAGTCCAGTGTCTACCTTCCAAAAAAGAATTCCTTGTCACTCAGAAAGACAAGGTCTGGCCTATCCTCTTCCTTCCCAGTGCTACCCAGGTAATAATCGAAAGGTGGTGGTAATTATTCTTGTTTCCATGTAAACTGGGCTTCCTCCTTGGCTTAGTCTTTAAATGTTCCATCTTTTGGCTTTTTTTTTTAAAAATGGTACCTCTGTAACACTAATGTTTCTCAATCTAGGCTGTACCGCAGAACACTGATGTGTGGAGCCCAGCCAGTCTGGGGCGATCTTAGAGTGCTTTCAGGTCTGGGCAGGGGTCTCCCCTCTCTGCTTGGGTGTTGGCATCTTCTCCAGGACATCACCTACAGTCCATTTGTTGACTACTCCCAGATTTGAGTCTCTAGCCCTGAACACTCTGCTAAGATCTGGATCTATATTTACTGAGGGTTGGTGGAGTGGGGAGGAGCTCCATGTTTATGTTCAGTAGTTAGTGCAAATCTTAGTGGTTAAAACGGAACTAATTCTCATTCCTCTTCTGTTCCCTCCCTTATTTTCCCTTTCACATTTGATTTAACTTACGTGATTTGAAATAGTTTCTTTTTTTGTTTTTTAAGTCAGGGTCTCACTCTGTTGCCCAGGCTGGAATGCAGTGGCACCGTCACGGCTCACTGCAGCCTTAACCTCCCCGGGCTCAGGTGATCCTCCCACCTCAGCCCCCTGAGTAGTGGGACTACAGGTGCGTACCACCACGCCTGGTTAATTTTTGTATTTTTTGTAGAGACCGAGTTTCACCGTGTTGCTTTGGCTGGTCTCGAACTCCTGGGCTCAAGCAGTCTGCCCACCTCGGCCTCCCAGACTGCTGGGATTACAAATGTGAGCCACCGTGCCCTGCCTGAAATAATCTTAAAGACTGTACTTCCCTGTGTTGACTTCTACTGTCATCCTTTCTTTTTTGGACCCTTGGTAATAGCCTTTTTTTTTTTTTTTTTTTTTTTTTTTTGAGATGCAGTCCCACTCTGTCACCCAGGCTGGAGTGCAGTGGTGCGATCTCCACTCACTGCAACGTCCGCCTCCCAGGTTCAAACAATTCCCTTGCCTCAGCCTCCCGAGTAGCTGGGACTATAGGTGCGTGCCACCTCACCTGGCTAATTTTTTGTATTTTTAGTAGAGATGGGGTTTCGCTGTGTTAGCCGGGATGGTCTTTATCTCCTGACTTCATGATCCACCCGCTTCGGCCTCCCAAAGTGCTGGGATTACAGGCGTCAGCCACCGTGCGTGGCCAGTAATAGCTTCTTAGTTCACCTTCTCTGTTTCTGTTTTCTGAAACACTTTAAGACACGGGTCAAATGTCGTATTCCCTTGAGTGCCTAAAGATAGTCTGAAACTCCTGGAGCACGGCCCACATGGAGCTGTGAGTTCTGACCGCTGTTAGCCTCTTATCATGTGCATTGTGGTAGGGTTTGGACTGAACCCCAGTGCATGTATTCACTGCCCTCCTCTGACTGAAGACTAGAAGAGTCAAACCTTTCCATTCACTAGTTAAACTTCAGGGGCCCTGAATGTTTTCGGCTCACTTTTTAATTTTATTTTTTATATTATTTTAATTTTTTAAATTTAAATTAAAATTTTTTTTTGATAGGGTCTTGCTCTATTGCCCAGGCTGGAGTACAGTGGAGTGATCTCAACTCACTGCAGCCTCTACCTCCTGGTCTCAAGCAGTTCTCCCACCTCAGCCTCCCAAGTAGCTGGGAGTACAGGCGCGCCACCACCTCTGGCTAATTTTTTGTATTTTTGGTAGAAATGTGGTTTTGCCATGTTGTTCAGGCTGGTCTTGTACTCCTGAGCTCAAACAATTCACCTGCCTTGGCCTCCCAAGTGCTGGGATTACAGGTGTGAGCCACCATGCTCAGCTTTCTGGCTAATTTTACAATTTTTTTGTAGAGACGGTCTTGCTATGTTGCCTAGATTGGTTTTAAACTCCTGGGCACAAGTGATTCTCTTGCCTCAGTCTTCCAAGGTGCTGGGATTAGAGATGTGAGTCACTCTACCTGGCTAGGGCTCACTTTTTGGAAGGAGTTTACCTCTCCCCCACCAGCTGATAATTTTTACCAAAAGTCGTATGTTTTGGTTCCAAGTATGTTTATGGCAGTTATCCTGTTAGTGATGTGAACAGAAAAAATAAGAGTGCTGAGAGAAAGCTGTTCCTTCTACAAAAACTGAAGGATGCTGGCTTGGTTTCTGTCGCTACAGAACAAGTTACCAAACACAAATTTGGCAGCTTGTAACAACAAGCATTTACACTCTCACAGTTTCTGTGGGTCAGGAGTCTGGCCATAGCTTAGTTCTATCCTCTACTTCAGGTGTCACAGGCTGTAGTCAAGGTGTTGGCTAGGGCACGCTGTCATCTGGAGCTCAGGTCCTCATTGGTAGAATTGAATCCATTGTGGTTGTGGGACTGAAACCCTGGGCTCTTGGAGGCTGCCCCTCCCCACAGGCAGTTCATTGGCTGCTTGCTTCTTCAAATTGAAGACCATCCCTTCAGGACGGTGCGGGGGGATGGAAAAAGGGAGAGGTAAATGGAAATCACAAAAGAGCATAGTGGTTATATCAGACCAAATAGATTTCAAGACCAAAACTATAAAAGGAGACCAAAAAAGTCATTATGTAATGATAAAGGGGCCAATTCAGCAAGAGGCTATAACTATTATAAATATATGTATATATGCACTCAACACTAGAGCACCCAGATACATAAAACAAATATTACAGCTAAAGAGAGAGATAGGCCTTAACACATTAATAGATGGAGGCTTCAACACTCCACTTTCAGCATTGGACAGATCAGATCATCCAGACAAAATTAACGAAGAAACATCAAACTTAATCTGCACTGTAGACCAAATGGATTTAGTAGATATTTCTAGAACATTTCATCTGATGGCTGCAGAATTTACATTGTTCTCTTTAGCACATGGATCGTCCTCAAGGTTAGACCGTATGTTAGGCCACAAAATAAGTCATTAAAAATTCAAACCTTGATACTAAAAGCAGACAAAGACACATCAAAGAAAGAATACTACAGGCCAATGTCTCTGATGAATATTGATGCAAATATCCTCAACAAAATACTAGCAAACCAAATTCAGCAATACGTTAGAAAGATCGTTCATTGTGACCAAGTGGGGTTTATCCCTGGGGTACAAGGATGGTTCAACATATGCAAATCAATTGATGTGATACATCATGTCAACAGAAGGATAAAAACCATGTGATTATTTCAATCGATGCTGAAAAGGCATTTGATAAAATTCAACATCCTTTCATGATAAAATCTCTTAAAACTGGTTATGGAAGAAACATACCTCAACATAATAAAAGCCGTATATGACAGACCCACAGCTAGTATCATACTGAATGGTGAAAAACTGAAAGTCTTTCCTCTAAGATCTGGAACATGACAAGGATGCTCAGTGTGGCCACTGTTATTCAACATAGTACTGGAAGTTCTTGCTAGAGCAATCAGACAAGAGAAAGAAATAAAAGGCCTCCACATTGGAAAGGAAGAAGTCAAATTATCCTTGTTTGCAGATGATATGATCTTATATTTGGAAAAACCTAAAGACTCCACAAGAAAATGATTAGAGCCGATAAATTCAATACAATTGCAGTATACGAAATCAACATACAAAAATCAGTAGCATTTCTGTGTGCCAACAGTAAACAATATGAAAAAGAAATTAGAAAAGTAATCCCATTTATAGTAGCCACACATGAAATTAAATACCTGGGAAGTAACCAAAGAAGATAATTACAAAGATCTCTGTAATGAAAACTCTAAAACGCTGATGAAAGACATTAAAGAAGACACAAAAGATGGAAAAATATTTCATCTTCATGGATTGGAAGAATCAATATTGTTAAAATGTCCATACTACCCAAAGCAATCTACCGATTCAGTGCAATCCCTAGCAAAATACCAATGACATTCTTCACAGAAACAGAAAAAAAAAAAATCCTAAAATTCATGTTGAACCACAAAAGACCCAGAATAGCCGAAGCTCTCATAATTGAAAAGAAACAAACTGGAGGAATCAGATTACCTGACTTCAAATTATACTACAGAGCTATAGTAACCAAAACAGCATAGTACTAGCATAAAACAGACACAGACCAACGGAACAGAATAGAGAATCCAGAAACAAATCCGCACATCTACGGTGAACTCATTTTCGACAAAGGTACCAAGAACATACACTGGGGAAAAGACAATCTCTTCAATAAATGGTGCTGGGAAAACTTGATATTCATATGCAGAAGAATGAAGCTAGATTCCTCTTTTGCCATATAAAAGTTAAAAAAATTATGTTAAGTATCTTCTCTGATCACATGGACTATAACTAAAAATTGATAACGAGGAATTTTGGAAACTCCACCAACACATGGGAATTAAACAATATGCTCCTGAATGACCAACAGGTCAGTGAAGAAATTAAGAGTGAAATTAAACAGTTTCTTGAAACAAATGGCAATGGCAACACAGCATACGAAATCTGTGGGATATAGTTAAAGCAGTACTAAGAGGAAAATCAAAAAAGTAGAAAAACTTCAAATAAATAACCTAATGATACATCTTAAAGAACTAGAAAAGAAGGAGCTAACCAAACCCATAATTTTAAGGACAGAAATAATAAAAATTAGAGCAGAAATAAAATGGAGTTGAAATGAAGAAAATAATACAAAAGATCAATGAAATGAAAAGTTGGTTTTTCTAAAAGATAAATTGACAAGCCTTCAGGCAGGCTAAGAGAAAAAGAAGACCCAAATCAGAGGTGAAAAAGTAGGCATTACAACTGATATTGCAGAAATTCAAAGGGTCATTAGAGACTATGAACAGCTATATGTCAATAAATTGGGAAACGTGGAAGAAATAGATAAGTTTGCAGGCCGGGCGTGGTGGCTCATGCCTGTAATCCCAGCACTTTGGGAGGCTGAGGCGGGTGGGTCACTTGAGGTCAGGAGTTCGAGACCAGTCTGGCCAACATGGTGAAACTCCAACTCTACTAAAAATACAAAAATTAACCAGGTGTGGTTTTGTGTGCCTGTAATTCCAGCCACTTGGAAGGCTGAGGCACGAGAATCACTTGAGCCTGGGAGGTGGAGGTTGCAGTGTGCTGAGATCATGTTACTGCACTCCAGCCTGGGTGACAGAGTGAGACTGTGTCTTCAAAAAAAGAAGGAAAAAGAAATGGATAATTTCACAGGCACATACAGCCTTCCAAGTTTGAACCATGAAGAAATCCAGAACCTGAACATACCAATAACAGGTAATGAGATTGAAACTGTAATAATAAAAAGTCTTCCAGCAAAGAAAAACCCCAGGACCTGGTGACTTCACTGCTGAATTTTACCAAACATTTAAAGAAGAACTGTTACCAATCCTAGTGAAACTATTCTGAAAAATAGAGGAGGAGGGAATACATCCAAACTTATTGTAGAAGGCCAATATTACCCTGATACCAAAACCAGACAAAGACATAATCAAAAAAACAAAACAGGCCAGTATCCCAGATGAACATTGATGCGGAAATACCCAACAAAATACCAGCAAACCGAATTCAACAACACATTAAAAACATCATTCATCATGACCAAAGTGGGGTTTATCCCAGGGATGCCAGGATGGTTCACCGTATCCAAATCAATCAGTTTGATACATCATATCAATAGAATGAAGGATAAAAAACCATATGATCATTTAAATTCATGCTGAAAAGGCATTTGATAAAATTCAACATCCTTTCATGATAAAAACCCCCAAAAAACTGGTTATAGAAGGAACACACCTCAACGCAATAAAAGCCATATACAGCTGACACACAGCTAGTATCATACTGAAAGGTGAAAAACTGAAAGCCTTTCCTCTAAGATCTGGAACAAGACACGGATGCCCACTGTCACCACTGTTATTCAATATAATAATGGACTAGTTTACAGTCCCACCAACAGTGTAAAAGTGTTCCTATTTCTCCACATCCTCTCCAGCACCTGTTGTTTCCTGACTTTTTAATGATTGCCATTCTAACTGGTGTGAGATGGTATCTCATAGTGGTTTTGATTTGCATTTCTCTGATGGCCAGTGATGATGAGCATTTTTCATGTATTTTTTGGCTGCATAAATGTCTTCTTTTGAGAAGTGTCTGTTCATGTCCTTCGCCCACTTTTTGATGGGGTTGTTTGTTTTTTTCTTGTAAATTTGTTTGAGTTCATTGTAGATTCTGCATATTAGCCCTTTGTCAGATGAGTAGGTTGCGAAAATTTTCTCCCATGTTGTAGGTTGCCTGTTCACTCTGATGGTAGTTTCTTTTGCTGTGCAGAAGCTCTTTAGTTTAATTAGATCCCATTTGTCAATTTTGGCTTTTGTTGCCATTGCTTTTGGTGTTTTGGACATGAAGTCCTTGCCCACGCCTATGTCCTGAATGGTAATGCCTAGGTTTTCTTCTAGGGTTTTTATGGTTTTAGGTCTAACGTTTAAATCTTTAATCCATCTTGAATTGATTTTTGTATAAGGTGTAAGGAAGGGATCCAGTTTCAGCTTTCTACATATGGCTAGCCAGTTTTCCCAGCACCATTTATTAAATAGGGAATCCTTTCCCCATTGCTTGTTTTTCTCAGGTTTGTCAAAGATCAGATAGTTGTAGGTATGCGGCGTTATTTCTGAGGGCTCTGTTCTGTTCCATTGATCTATATGTCTGTTTTGGTACTAGTTCAACCATTGTGGAAGTCAGTGTGGCGATTCCTCAGGGATCTAGAACTAGAAATACCATTTGACCCAGCCATCCCATTACTGGGTATATACCCAAATGACTATAAATCATGCTGCTATAAAGACACATGCACACGTATGTTTATTGCGGCATTATTCACAATAGCAAAGACTTGGAACCAACCCAAATGTCCAACAATGATAGACTGGATTAAGAAAATGTGGCACATATACACCATGGAATACTATGCAGCCATAAAAAATGATGAGTTCATGTCCTTTGTAGGGACATGGATGAAATTGGAAACCATCATTCTTAGTAAACTATCGCAAGAATAAAAAACCGAACACCGCATATTCTCACTCATAGGTGGGAATTGAACAATGAGATCACATGGTCACAGGAAGGGGAATATCACACTCTGGGGACTGTGGTGGGGTGGGGTGGGGGGAGGGGGGAGGGGTAGCATTGGGAGATATACCTAATGCTAGATGACGAGTTAGTGGGTGCAGCACACCAGCATGGCACATGTATACATATGTAACTAACCTGCGCAATGTGCACATGTACCCTAAAACTTAAAGTATAAAAAAAAAAAAAAAAAAAAAAATGGAAGCCCTTGCTAGAGGAGTCAGATAAGAGAGAGAAAGGCCGGGTGCAGTGGCTCACACCTGTAATCCCAGCACTTTGGGAGGCTGAGGTGAGTGGATCACTTGAGGTCAGGAGTTTGAAGCCTGGCCAACACGGTGATACCCTGTCTCTACTAAAAATATAAAAATTAGCTAGGCGTGGTGGCGGGTGTCTGTTGTCCCAGCTACTCGGGAGGCTGAGGCAGGGAAATCACTTGAACCCCGGAGGTGGAGATTGCAGTGAGCTGAGATTGTGCCGCTATATTCCAGCCTGGGCTACAGAGCAAGACTCCATCTCAGGAAAAAAAAAAAAAAAAGAAGAAATAAAGGGCATCCAAATTGGAAATGAAGATGCCAAGTTATTCTTGTTTGCAGATGATTGTTATATTTGGAAAAACCTGAAAACTCCACCAAAAAATGATTAGAACTGATAAATTCAGTAAAATTGCAGGATACTAAATTAACATACAAAAATCTGTAGCATTTCTCTGTTTTTTTTTTTTTTTTTTTTTTTTTTGAGATGGAGTCTCACTCTGTGGCCCAGGCTGGAAAGCAATGGCGCAATCTCGGCTCACTGCAACCTCTGCCTCCTGGGTTGAAGCGATCCTCCTGCCTTAGCTGCCTGAGTAGCTGGCATTACAGGCGCCTGCCACCAGGCCTGGCTAATTTTTGTATTTTTAGTAGAGACAGGGTTTCACCACATGGGCCAGGCTGGTCTTGAACTCCTGACCTCAGGTGATCCGCCTGCCTTGGCCTCCCAAAGTGCTGGGATTACAGGTATGAGCCACTGTGCCCGGCCAAATCAGTAGCATTTCTGTATGTCAACAGTGAACAATATGAAAAATCAAGAAAAATAATTCCATTTATAATAGCTACAAATAAAGTAAAATACGTAGGAATAAAACTAACCCAAGAAGTGAAAAGATCTCTACCACGAAAACTGTAAAACAGTGATGCAGAAAATTGAAGAAGACACACAAAAAAGGAAAAGATACTCCGTGTTCATGGATTGGAAGAATCAATATTGTTAAAATGTCTGTACTACCCAAAGCAATCTACAGGTTCAATGTAATCCCTATCAAAATACCAATGACATTCTTCACAGAAATAGAAAAAAAAAATCCTGAAATTTGTATGGAATCACAAAAGAGACAGAATAGCCAAAGCCATCCTGAGCAAAAAACAAAACTGGAGAAATTGCATTACCTGACTTAAAATTATACTACAGTCACTTCCTGGTCTTTTTTGGCTTAGATCAAGTGCAAAGTTTACTAGAAAGGTATACCAAAACAGCATGGTACTGGTATAAAAACAGACACCTAGACCAATGGAACAGAATAGAGAACCCAGAAACAGATCTATACATCTACAGTGAACTCACCTTTGACAGAGGTGCCCGGAGGATACGTGAGGGAAAGGATAGCCTCATTGATAAATGGTGCTGGGAAAATGGGACACCCATATGCAGAAAAATGAAACTAGACCGCTATCTCTCACCATATACGAAAATCACATCAAAATGGAGTAAAGACTTAAACCTAAGACTTCAGACTATGAAAGTGCTAAAAGAAAACATTGGGGAGACTCTCCAGGACATTGCACTGGGTAATGATTTCTTGAGTAATACTTCGTAAACACAGGCAACCAAAGCTAAAATGGACAAGTGGGATCACATTGAGTTAAAAAGCTGCACAGCAAAGGAAACAATCAACAAAATGAAGAGACAACCCACAGAATGGGAGAAAATATTTGCAAACTACCCATCTGACAAAGGATTAATAACCAGAATATATAATTAGCTTAAGCACCTCTATAAGAAAAAAATCTAATAATCCAATAAGAATGGGCAAAAGATTTGAATAGACATTTCTCAAAAGAAGATATACAAATGACAAACAGGCAGTACGAACAGGTGCTCAACATGGTTGGTCATCAGAGACATGCAAATCAAAACTATAATGAGATATTATCTCACCCTAATTAAAATGGCTTATATCCAAAAGACAAGAACAAATGCTGGCAAGAATATAGAGAAAAGGGAACCCTTGTGCACTGTTGGTGGGAATGTAAATTAGCACAGCCATTATGGAGATTAGCTTGGAGGTTCCTCAAAAAACTAAAAATAGGACTATCATATGATTCAGCAATCCCACTGGTAGGTATATACCCAGAGGAAAGAATATCAGTATGTTGAAGAAATATGTACACTCTCATGTTTATTGCAGCACTATTCTCAATAGCCAAGATTTGGAAGCAACCTAAGTGTTCCCAGCAGATGAATGGATGAAGAAAATGTGGTATATATACTCAACGGAGTACTATTCAACCATGAAAAAGAATGGGATACTGCCGTTTGCAACAACATGGATAGAACTGGAGGTCGTTACGTTAAGTCAGGAACAGAATGTCATGAGCCAGACCCAGAAAATCGAACTTTGCATGTTCTCACTTATTTGTAGGTGCTAAGCAAATGAAAGTAATTGAACTCATGGAGATAGAGTAGAATGATGGTTATCAGAGACTGGGAAGGATAAAGTGGGGGTGAAGTGCGGATGGTTAATGGGTATAAAAATGGAGTTAGATAGGGCTGGGCACAGTGGCTTACGCCTGTAATCCCAGCTCTTTGGGAGGCCAAGGCAGGTGGATCATGAGGTCAAGAGACCCAGACCATCCTGGCCAACACGGTGAAACCCCATCTCTACCAAAAATACAAAAATTAGCTGGGTGTGGTGGTGTGAGCCTGTAGTCCCAGCTACTCTGGAGGCTGAGGCAGGAGAAACCCTTGAACCCAAAAGGCAAAGGTTGCAGTGAGCTGAGATCGCACAACTGCACTCCAGCTTAGTGCCAGAACGAGATCCGTCTCAAAAAAAAAAAAAAAAAGTTAGATAGAATATATAACCCATATATATATATATATATATATATATATATATATATATATATACACACATACATACAACTAGTGTGTATCCACAGAAGTTTAAAAAAAAAAAAAGATGGGCAAACATCTGTGTCTCTTTTAATTAAAAATGGCTTTTTTTTTTTTGCCAGACAAGGGAGCTTCTGTCGCATACGCAGTTTTCAGAATGGATGCCTTCCCCCAGTGTCTGAAATGCTCCCTTTTCCTGTTCTGGGAAGCCTTTTCTGACTCACAAATGTTGACAAGCAAAGGCGTTTTTGATTTTGATGCTCACAGTTATTATAATTATTATAAATTTGGTCAGGAGTCCCTATCAGTCTTTGAACAGCTGCTTTTTTTTTTTGTTTGAGGTAAAGTCTTGCTCTGTCACCCAGGCTGGAGTGCAGTGGCATAGTCTTGGCCCACTGCAACCTTGGCCTCCTGGGTTCAGGCTATTCTCCTGCCTCAGCCTCCCAAGTAGCTGGGATTATGGGCGCCTGCCACCATGCCCAGCTAATTTTTGTATTTTTAGAAGAGATGGGGTTTCGGCATGTTGGCTAGGCTGGTCTCGAACTCCTGACCTCAAGTGATCTGCCCGCCTCAGCCTCCCAAAATGCTAGGATTATAGGCGTGAGCCACCGCACCTGGCCATGTTTGAGGAAACAGCTTTTTCTTTGAGGAAACAGGCTCATCTTTGTCTGCCCTGGCCCTTGAATCTACTTATTTTCCCTAGAGCCCTAGCGTCTTTTATTGGGAAATGGTTCTGAGAGACCAAAATCTGGGTGCCGCTGTCAGATTGCCTTTGATTCTAGTCCTTTAAAAAACAGAGTAAGCAAATATATTCAAAAATAAAGTTCATAGATTTCCAATTTAAGTTGTTTTTCAAAATTTCTTTGATTTTTTTTCCTCTTTTCCACTGAAAACCTTAATTTTTTTTTTTTTTTTTTTTTTTTTTTTTTGAGATGGAGTCTCGTTCTGTTTACCCAGGCTGGAGCGCAGTGACATAATCTCGGCTCACTGAAACCTCTGCCTCCTGGGTTCATGCTAGTCTTCTGCTTCAGCCTCCCGAGTGACTGGAATTACAGGCATGCACCAGCACACCCGGCTAATTTTTTATATTTTTAGTAGAGATGGGGTTTCACCATGTTGGCCAGGCTGGTCATGAACTCCTGACCTCAAGTGATTTACCTGCCTTGGCCTGCCAAATGCTGGGATTACGGGTGTGAGCCACCGTGGCCGGCCTAAAACCTTAATTTCTAAGAACATTTAATACTTTATCATAAACATGTTTTATTGTATTTACACTGCTTTATTGTGCAACATGAAGTAGTTCTAAAATTGTGAGAGTGTTATCAATACCGATAAATATTTTATTTTTCATTATAGTATATTATATTAATGATATGTAGTTCAAAAGTCCCTTGACATACTTTTCTTTGTATATGCATGGGTTAATTTGCTTGTTGCCAGTTGTAGGTTTCGCTTTTTTATGATTTAATTTTAATTTTTGAGGATGAAAGTCATGTATGTTTCAGAAGTAAAGACATCTAAAGTATACTCACAATGTTGTTGCTTTTTCTGGTCCTGCTGCCTTTGTCCATGTCCCCTCCCCATTTCCCCGTAGGTAGTCATTGGTACTTGCTTTTGGTTTATCTTTTCAGAGCACATGCACGTGTGTGTGTTTGTGTGTGTGTCTTTTTTTTCTTTTCTTTTCTTTTTTTTTTTTTTTTTAACACCGAGTCTCGCTCTTGTCACTCAGGCTGAGTGCAGTGGTGCGATCTCGGCTCACTGCAACCTCTGCCTCCTGGGTTCAAGCAATTCTCCTGCCTCAGCTTCGTGAGTAGCTGGGATTACAGGCGCCCGCCACCACGCCTGGCTAATTTTTTGTATTTTTAGTTGGGACGGGGTTTCACCGTGTTGGCCAGGCTGGTCTCAAATTCCTGATCCCCCGTGATGTGCCCCGCTCGGCCTCCCAAAGTGCTGGGATGACAAGCATGAGCCACCTCGCCCGACCACGTGTCATTTTTCTTGTATGTTACATAAGAGGTAGCATAGTATTTATACTATTATGCACCTTTTCATTTATATTTCTTGGATGACTTTCCTGAAATGTAAAATGATTAAATCACTAATTCAGTAAATCATTGATTTTATTACCAAATGATCGAATACATAAGGGGGATTGAGATTTTTTTCCCATATCATTCTTTAAAAATTGCAATGTGAGTGTGAGCACTCTGTAAGCTTATCTCGTTTATCATTGCCAGCTTGCATTCACAAGAGATGGGCTCTGTGGTCTGTGGAATGAAATGGTTAAAGATGGAGAAATTGTATACACTGGAACAGAATCAACCCAGAACGGAGAGCTCCCTCCTAGAAAAGGTAAGGGCCTTTAACTAGTGTTTTTTATTTGGTAAAGACCATTATAAAATGCATTTTATAGAAATTTTGTAATGTGCTATAGGAACAGGAGCTTTGAGCTTAACTCTTTGAAGTTTTGCTTTTTACTTTGGAGATTGTTGTCTAAAATGGTAGTTAATACAAGCTGCTCGGATTTTATTGTTTTACGTGAATTGAAGGCATTTTTATTGCAAAACCATCTTGCTGCATTTGTGGTGTTCTTTGGGGGTGTATTAAACACTTATTGGAAGCCTTTGGCCTGCAAGGAAATGCCATTGAACAATCTTATTTAGCTTTGTAGTTTTGCATGCTCAGTAAGACTATCATTATGTTGTTCATAACAGTGGCTGTGTTTCAGAGTCCCCATTGAGGTTTAAAAAAATGGCTGCTTGTATACACCCTAAACTTGTTGAATCTGAAAAGATCCTTGGTTGAGAACCATTGTTGAAGTTCGTTGGTCCCCCTGCTTGAGAGTCATCAACGTGGATAAAGCTACCACTTTAGAAAGTATTTATTCTAAGTTGAAATAGCTCAGTTGGGAGAGCATTAGTCTGAAGAAAGTATTTCTTCTTCTTCTTTTTTTTGGGGGGGAAGGAGTCTTGCTCTGTTGCTGAGGCTGGAGTACAGTGGCGCGATCTCAGCTCACTGCACGCTCCACCTCCCGGGTTCATGCCATTCTCCTGCCTCAGCCTCCCAAGTAGGTGGGACTACAGGCGCCCGCCACCACGCCCGGCTAATTTTTTGTATTTTTTAGTAGAGACAGGGTTTCACCGTGTTAGCCAGGATGGTCTCGAGCTCCTGACCTCGTGATCCGCCCGCCTCAGCCTCCCAAAGTGCTGGGATTATAGGCGTGAGCCACCGTGCCTGGCAAGTATTTCTTCTTCTTTTGTGGAATGAATGGGGATGGTGTCCACTTGAAAGTACATGGGGATCGGGCGTGGTGGATCATGCCTGTAATTCCAGCACTTTGGGAGGCTGAGGCGGGCAGATCATTTGAGGTTGGGAGTTTGAGACCAGCCTGGCCAACATGGTGAAACCCCGTCTCTACTAAAAAATACAAAAATTAGCCAGGCATAGTGGCGGGCGCCTGTAATCCCAGCTACTTGGGAGGGCACGGCAGGAGAATTGCTTGGAGCCGGGAGGTGGAGGTTGCAGTGAGCAGATATTGTGCTACTGCACTCCAGCCTGGGTGACAGAGTGAGACTCCATCTCAAAAAAAAAAAAAACAAAAAACACAAAACAAACCATGGGAAAAAGTATTAGTCTCCCTTTTCAGTTTCAGTGTCAAGCAGAGTTACCTGTGTTTTTATTTTAATTTATTTTTTATATTTGTTTGAAAATATTCACTCACACACACACACACACACACACACACACAATAACTGACAGACGTGTACAGTGAGTGGCTGCAGACCCACCTCCATGTTCTGCCACCGTATTTGGCTCCACATCCTGCTGTCTGTCCATCCACCGTTTGTCTCACCTAGCTCCTTAGACACTCATGTATGTAATTGATTCTAGTTCAACTTTGTTTTTGACTTTCAGGTAAAATTTATATATAATGAAATGTATCTATTTTGAGTTTACCATTTCACAAGTTTTGACAAATGTAACCCATGTAACCCACATCTTTATCATGACTCTTGCTCAGAAAGTTCTCTGGTGTCCTGCCCCTTCTTCCCAGAGGCAATAGTTGGCCTGATGTTTCTCCAGCATTTGACAAATTGCGCCTGTTCTAGAACTCCATACATGGAATCACGTAGTCGGGTTCTTCTGTGTCTGGCTTCTTTCACTCTGTTTAGTGCTTTTGATTTTCATGTTTTTTTTTTTAAACAACATAATGGGTTTATATTTAATATAGCACTTCTCATCAGGAGGTGTTACTCAGTTAATATAAAGTTTTTTTAACATTAAATCTCTTTTCCATGTCAATGTCTATAGTGTTTTTTTT
Organism: Homo sapiens; assembly: GCF_000001405.40. Classification (NCBI taxonomy): domain Eukaryota; kingdom Metazoa; phylum Chordata; class Mammalia; order Primates; family Hominidae; genus Homo; species Homo sapiens. The sequence goes on along the minus strand of NT_187660.1, from coordinate 544,656 downwards.
TTCTTTAACATTAAGTCTTTTCTCCATTTCAGTATTAGATACACTGAATACATTTTTCTAAGTGATTTTTTTTCTTTCCAGAGATAAAAGTTTCCCTTTTTGGCTGACTATTGGATATCTGAATTTGGGAGATGACAAAAGTCTAATAAAAATACAGAGAACAGACTCAGTGATTTAGGAGGCAGTGATTACGACTGAACAGTGGCGATTTCCTAGGATTCTGGGCAAAATCCATTTATGTACCAATTTGTTCCCATTTCATGGAATCAACTCAGAAAGTAAAACTCTCCTACTTAGTAATTCTTGGAAACTTTCAGACACCAAAGCTTACATTTAGTTTCAGTAGCACAAAGGTTTTCAGGGTGAGGTTTCATTCATTAGGCCCTTCAAAGTCACATCTGTTCATTTTTATCTTTCGTGCGTATGCCCGCAAGCAAGTACAAACACCTGTAATACTGAGAACCACACCTTTTAACGAGAGAGCAGTTGCATCACTGGCTTCCACTGCCTTGACAGCAGGCAGCACCAAAAGCAGTGACATAAGGACTAAGGACAATTGTGTTGAAACTGAGGTCATGATGTTGGGATTTTGAGGGCTGAATGTTCCAAGTAAGTGGTATATATAGAATTCTCTCTGACTTGAAATTTTCCCTTTCTGGACCTCTGGATGCTGAGGCTAAGAGTGTCCATATGACAGTGTCTTCCAAGACAGGAATCAGCAACCTTTTTTTTTTTTTTTTTTTATGTATCAGTAATTCATTCTGTATATTTTAAAAAGTTTTAACCTCTTCTTCCTAGCCCTCCAGTATTTGTTTATAAATTAAAATTTTTCCCAAAGTGTTTTCTGTGAAACAATAGTTCTAAAAGGTGCTCTAAGAAAAGCTAAGTACATGGCAAAATCCAAAGTATATGTTTTATTCATTACATTTGATGAATATTTTTTGTGTGTTTTTTCCTCTCGAGAGGGAGTCTTGTTCTGTCGCTCAGGCTGGAGTGTAGCGGCATGATTTTGGCTCACTGCAACCACTGCCTCCCCGGTTCAAGCAGTTCTCTGCCTCAGCCTCCTGAGTAGCTAGGATTACAGGCACCCTCCACCATGCCCAGCTAATTGTTGTATTTTTAATAAAGATGGAGTTTCACCATCTTGGTCAGGCTGGTCTTGAACTCCTGACCTCATGATCTGCCCACCTCGGCCTCCCAAAGTGTGGGGTTTACAGGTGTGAGCCACCATGCCCGGCCCACATTTGATGAATTTTTTTGTCCTTTGTTCTTTTAAAAATCATGATTGGAAAGCAGAGCATAATTGTTTTTTATGTAGATCCCAACTGATTCGGGGTGTTAGGGAGATAATTTTGACATTCAATAAATGTTTTTGTTTTCCATTATTAAGACTATGAATATTTTATTTTATTTTCTGAGACAGGGTCTCAGAATTTGTCAAATATGTAAAATTTATAGCCAGATGTAGGGTGGGGGTGGCCTACTTTCTGTAAAGGGCCAGATAGTAAATATTTTAAGGTCTCAGTGGACCCTATGGTCTCTGTCATAGCCATGGGACCTTGCAGCTGTAGTGCCAGAGTAGCCACAGACAGTACTATGTCAGCGGGCAGGGGACGTTCATTCTGTAAACTTTATTTATGGACACGAAAAGATGAAGTCCACAGAATGTTTGCAAGTCACAAAATACTGTTTTTCTTTTGATTATTTTTCAATTATTAAAAACTATAAAATACGGTGGCCGGGCGTGGTGGCTCACACCTGTAATCCCAGCACTTTTGGAGGCCGAGGCAGGCGGATCACCTGAGGTCAGGAGTTCGAGACCAGCCTGGCCAACATGGTGAAACCCCATCTCTACTAAAAACAAAAAATTAGCTGGGCATGGTGATGCACGCCTGTAATCCCAGCTCCTTGGGGGCTGAGGCACGAGAATCACTTGAACTTGGGAGAATCACTTGAACCTGGGAGGCAGAGGTTGTGGTGAGTCAAGACTCTGTCTCAAAAGAACAACAAAAGTAAAATACTTTCCCTGTTTTCAGACCATACACAAAGAGGCTGTGGGCTGGGTTTGTCCTGTGGGCTGTGGTTAGTGACCCCCCCACCGCCTCCCCCCCACTCCCCCCCCCCACACACATGTAGGACAGAGTCTGGCCTTTAGAAGCAGCACCTGTGTTCTCACCTGAGCTGTGTTCCTGGCTGGGTTCTATTCTGTATTCTGTGACCCAAGGTGTCTACCTTGGTAAACTGGAGGCTGTTTTAGTTTGCATTCCCACTGGCAATCTGTAACATTTCTCTTGGTCTGTGTCTTTGTTAGCACTTGGTGTTATCAGTGTTTTTTAGTTGAGCCATTCTAACAAGTCTAGTGGGATCTCATTGTGGTTTTAATTTGCAATTCTGTAATGGCTAACAATGCTGAATATCATGTTCTTTTTTGCCACTCTTGTATCCTCTGTGAGTTTCTGTTCAGATCTTTTGCACAGAAAAAGCTGTATCATGGAACCAGTAAAATAACCAAGGAGAGGTTGATTAAAGTTCTGTTTATAACCCTAGAAGATTCCTGCCCTAGGGATATGGGATGGCTGAACGTAGGACACTGACACTGGACAGATGAAATAGCAGTTTATTAGTCACGCATGCTCACAGCCCTGGGGGTGGGGGACACCGCATGCCACACGGGGGCTGCACTTGGGAACAGAGTGAACCACGAGGGGCTGTGGGAGGCACATTTTGTAGTAAGAACAGGGTGAAGTGACCTTGCTTCCCATGGGAAGATGTGACTGGCTTGTTTGAATAACTCTGGGCCGGCAGGGATGAGCAGGCTGGGGTCGGGTTTCCGCGATAAGGAGGTTGTTTGGCTTTGGGATCTTATCCGTGAGAGCAGAGCTCAGGGGAGACCTTGTGGTTAGGCTATTTGAGGCCTTCTTGATTTTACCAATGTCAAGGCAGCACGTAATATTTAGTCTTAATTTCAGGCCACACGAGAAATTCTTCTGTATCTACTTTCCGTGGCACTTTTCAAAAGGTTTTGTCCTTAGTGTTTAGCAGTTGATTATGATGTGCCTCGTCATGGCTTCCTTTGGATTTATCTTGTGTGGGCTTTGTGCAGATTCTTCAGTCTGCCTGGGTTTATGTCATTTGCTGAACCTAGGAAGTTTTCAGCCATTAGTTCTTTGGATATTTTTTTCAGCATTCACCTTTTCTCTCCTGTTATTAACCTGTGGGGTCTGTGCTAATTCTAGGTAGTTAGTTTCAGAATTGAATTGCACTGTGGGACACACAGCTGGATGTCGCAGAGAACTGGAGAATTACTTGGTGCAAAAGTCCATGCATTTGGTGTCAGAAATGTTGTAAACAGAGGAACTGTTTCCTTCGAGATTTTTAGATAGTCATTATTTGTAATCTGGATGGGATATCGTGTCTTTCACCGATTGAGATACATTTTTCTAATTATGTTGTTAGACATTTAGTCACAGCCTTCTGTGATGGAACGTGTTTACACTTCAAGGTTAAGGTTAGTTCTCTCTTCTCTTCGCTTACTGTGTAAGGAGTTTTATGACAGTTGTTTTTGACTGAAACTTGACATTGTCAGTGGCCTAAAGTGATTTTTCTCAGCTTTTCCTTTGTTTCCCAGTGCTCTTGAATTATGCTATCAGTCACAGTGCCTCTGCATAGCAGTGCTTCCCAGTTGGCAGTGGAGTAGGGCCTTGTAAAGAGTTAAAAGATTTTTGAATCATACTCCTGTTCTACACCCTCCCTTTTCCCATGGATACACAAGCATTGGGACTCACTGGATAAAAGCAATTGGTGTGAAATTGAAGTAGGTAAATATCAAAGACTTAAGTTTCTCAGTTGAGAAATGTACTAGGAAGTAGATGGAATATCACTTTGGAAGACATGCTTTAAATAATTTGTTATATTGGTTTCTTTTTTTTTTTTTTTTTTGAGACAGAGTCTCGCTCTGTCACCCAGGCTGGAGTGCAGTGGTGTGATCTCAGCTCACTGCAAGCTCTGCCTCCCGGGTTCACGCCATTCTCCTGCCTCAGCCTCCTGAGTAGCTGGGACTACAGGCGCCCGCCACCACGGCTGGCTAATTTTTTGTATTTTTAGTAGAGATGGGGTTTCACCGTGTTAGCCAGGATGGTCTCGATCTCCTGACCTTGTGATCCACCCGCCATGGCTTCCCAAAGTGCTGGGATTACAGGCGTGAGCCACCACGCCTGGCCGATATATTGGTTTCTTTATGAAAATTATACTGGGTCTGTTACAGGTATGATTGATGTATTTTATTTTTACGTTGTCCAACATTCAGTTAATGATGTGTGTTGTAACTTTTCGGGGAGGGACATTTGCAGAGACTAATGGTATGGCATTCTGAAAAGCGGTGACAGATTAAAAAATTTTTAATTCTGCAGATGATAGTGTCGAACCAAGTGGAACAAAGAAAGAAGATCTGAATGACAAAGAGAAAAAAGATGAAGAAGAAACTCCTGCACCTATATATAGGGCCAAGTCAATTCTGGACAGCTGGGTATGGGGCAAGCAACCAGGTAATCTTGTGAATTTTGGCACTTTGGAAAGGTTGATCTGACGCTCCCTTTCTAAATAACTTGGATGGATTCTTAGTATTTTTTTGGTAACAATTTTAAAAAAAGTAAATAAAAAATTTAAATATTGTGGTAAAATATACATACCATAAAACTTACCGTTTTAACCATTTTTATGTGTAGAGTTCATTGGCATGAAGTATATTCACATTGTTGCCCAGCCATCACGCTTGACTAATTAGAGACAGAATCTCACTGTGTTGCCCAGGCTGGTCTTATACTCCTGGCTTCAAGGGATCTCCCTGCCTCACACTCCTGAGTTGCTGAGATTTCAGATGTGAGCCATCGCACCTGGCACTACGTGTAACTGTTTGAGGAAGCAGTAAACTGTTTTCCACAGTGGCTACATTGTTTTATATTCTTGCAGCGGTATACTAAGGTTCCCATTTCTCCACACCCTCACCAACACTTTTTGTTTTCTGATGATAGCCATCCTAATTTGTGTGAGTAGGTACAGCATCTCATTGTTTTGATTTGCATTTCCCTGTTGAGTAGTCATGCTGAGCATCTTTTTACATGCTTATTGACCATTTGTATACATTCACTGGAGAAATGTCTATTCAAATACTTTGCCTGGTTTTTTTTTTTTTTTTTTTTTTGGAGATGGAGTTTGGCTCTTGTTGCCCAGGCTGGAGTGCAGTGGTGCAATCTTGGCTCATTGCAATCTCCACCTCCCAGGTTCAAGTGATTCTCCTGCCTCATCCTCCCGAGTAGCTGGGATTACAGGTGTCCGCCACCATGCCTGGCTAATTTTTTGTATTTTTAGTAGAGACGAAGTTTCACTATGTTAGCCAGGCTGGTCTTGAACTCCTGACCTCAGGTGATCCACCCACCTTGGCCTCCTAAAGTGCTAGTATTACAGGCATGAGCCACTGCACCTGGCCCTTTTGCCTCTTTTTTTTTTTTTTTTTTTTTTTTTCCTTTGAGACGGAGTCTTGTTCTGTCGCCCAGGCTGGAGTACAGTGGCGTGATCTTGGCTCACTGCAACCTCCGCTTCCCGGGTTCATGCCATTCTCCTGCCTCAGCCTTCCGAGTAGCTGGGACTACAGGCGTGCACCACCACACCCGGCTAATTCCATTTTTTAATTGAGGTTTTTGTTTTGGGTTATAGGAGTTCTTTATCATGGATGGACTTTCATAATCTCTTCCCTTTATCCAGCCCAGTAAAACCCATACATTTATTCTTTGCTTACTTTTTTTTGTGTAATTCAATTTTTTAAATGTCTAATGCATTTTCATTCCAATTAAAAATATACATAGAATATTTCTTATAAAAATGTATAGATTATAAAAGCAGAAATTTCACCTGACTGCCCACCCCAGTTTCAGCTTTCCTCTAAGAGTTAGCCACTATTATCCCTTCGGTGTGGATATTCAGGGTTTTTTTTCCTTGCATGGACATACATATGTAAATGTACATATATAAAAATAATTTGTGACGCCTGCCATGGTATCTCACGCCTGTAATCCCAGCACTTTGGGATGCTGAGGTGAGAGAATTGCTTGAGGCCAGCAGTTTGCGGCTGCAGTGATCTATGATTGTGCCTCTACACTCCAGCCTGGGTGACAGGGTCTCTGTTTCTTAAAAAAAAATTCGTATTTGGGGTTAATAGTAGTACCTACCTCGTAGGTTATTATAGGATCAGCACAGTAGGCCAGACAAAGTGCGTATGCTATTATCTTGCATGTAGTAAGTACCAGCATGTACTACCTGTTATCCAGAAATGTGCTGAAATGTGCCTTGTATTTTCTCTCTTTCCGTTTGGATCAGTCTTCCCAGAAGTTATCAATTTGAGTTTTTTCAAAGAACCAGTTGTTGGTTTTATTGATTTTGTTTTCTTTTTCATTGATTTCTGCTTTACTCTTTATTATTTCCTTTTTTCTGCTGGCTTTGGGTTCCATTTGCTCTTCTGTCTTTCCTAGTTTCTTAAGGCAAAGGCTTAGATCATTGACTTTAGATTTTTTGTCTTTTCTAACAAGTGTTCAAAACTATAATATAAATTTCCCTCTAAGCATTGTTTAGCCACATTTCACAAATTTGGAAATGTTTATTCATTTTCATCTTCATTCAGTTGAAAATATTTTCTAATTTCCCTTTTAATTTCTTCTTTTACCCGCTTATTATTTGGAAATTGTTATTTCATTTCCAAGTATTTGGGGATTTTCAAATATCTCCTGTTAATTTCTAAATTAGTTGTAGTCAGAGAACATATTCTGTGATTTCAATGTTGAGGCTTGTCTGAAGCCCCAGAATATGGTGTATTCTGTGGAATGTTTCATGCACACATAATAAGAATGTGGCTGTGTGTGGTGGCTCATGCCTGTAATCCCAACACTTTGGGAGGCTGAGGTGGGTGGATTACTTGAGGTCAGGAGTTTGAGACCAGCCTGGCCAACATGGTGAAACCCTGTCTCTATGAAACATACAAAAATTAGCTGGGTGTGGTGGTGGGTGCCTGTAATCTTGATTGCACCCCTGCACTTTAGTCTGGGTGACAAAGCGAGACTACATCTCAAAAAAAAAAAGTGTGTTTTGCTGCTCTGTAAAGCTTAATGAGATCAAGTTGATAGTGTTCAGGTATCCTTGACTTGAAATAATTTTCTGCCTACTTGTTCTATTCACTGTTAGGAGAGGAGTTGAACTAACACACAAGGTTGGCTTACTGCATTAGTTTGACATGAATCTCAGAGATCTTACCCGTACCTGAGTATTTAGTAACTTTAAAGATACAAGTTATATCCTCACTTGTGTGCTCAGGCAAAGTGGGGAGAGATGTGGGAGAGTCTGTGCAACTCCTGCAGGTCCGTCCTCTTTGAACCCCGCCTGAGAGATGAGACCTCTCACTGAGGTGTGTTGTCCTCTCACTGAGGTGTGTGGTCCTCTCACTTAGGTGTGTAATCCTCTCACTGAGGTGTGTAGTCCTCTCACTGAGGTGTGTCTTCCTCTCAGATGTGTCGTCCTTTCACTGCGGCGTGTCATCCTCTCACTGAGGTGTGTCGTCCTCTCACTGCACAAGGAGCATTAAGGATGTGCAGTGTTTCCCTTTTGTAGTCAGATAGTTTATACACCTTAGGGAACGTTTTCCAGGGAGCCATGTCCCGTAAGTCCATGGATTTTAGGTATGTTTACCAAACACAATCCTAAACTAACCACATCTTGCTAAAAACATTTCATAGATAAGGACACTTCTCTTAGCGAATACCAGTCATTTATTTATAGAGAAGCCAGTCTCAGCGTTCTGGGGAGATCAGCTCCAGCGACTGGCTTTATTTCCCAGGAGTATCTCCATCGTGCTGGGGAGGCATGAAGAGCAGTTTCACTGCTTAGTTCCTCTTTCTTCTGAGGAGGATTGAAATCTCTCATGCTAATTATGGATTATTTTCTCTCAGCTCTGCAGGTTTTGCTTCATGTATTTGAGAATGTTATAGGGTGCATGCACTTTTAGGATTTTTACGCCATATTCATAAATTTGACCCCCTTAATCTCCGGTGACATTCTTTGTTGTGAAGTCACCTTGGTCTGACTACTCTCCTTTCTTCTGATTTGGTGTTTGCGTGGTGTGTTTGCCAGGTTTAGCTTTTTTCACTTTCAAACTTTGTGTATGTGTAAAGTGCATTTCTTTCAGGTATCATATAATTAGGTCTTGCTTCTTTATTCACCCTGGCAACCTCTGTTTTTTATTTGGAATCTTTAGACTACTTGGGTTTAAATCTATCATCTCTGGCGTTTTCAGTTACATCTTTCACTTGTCACTGCCCACTCTCAAATGGTATTACACTGCCTGAGCTGCGGGGCAGTGCTCTGACTGTAGCTTCCTGCTTCTGACATGTTCTTGGTTGGCAGTGTTGCTGTGTCATGTCCAAGTGAAACATGGTATAAACCCCACAATATGATGTTTTTGTTTTTGCTTTAAATAGGCAATTACATTTTTTCCCCTCAAATTTGAAAAGAGAAAAAAAAGTCTTTTTTTTTTTTTTTTGAGATGGAGTTTTGCTGTTGTTGCCCAGACTGGAGTGTAATGGCACAATCTCAGCTCACTGCAACCTCCCCCACGTGGGTTCAAGCGAGTCTCCTGCCTCAGCCTCCCTAGTAGCTGGGATTACAGGCAGGCACCACCGTGCCTGGCTAATGTTTTTGTATTTTTAGTAGAGACAGGGTTTCACTGTGTTTGCCAGGCTCGCCTTGAACTCCTGACCTTAGGTGATCCACGTGCCTCAGCCACCCTTAAGTGCTGGGATTATAGGATTATAGGTGTGAGCCACCACACCTGGCCTCTTTTTTTTTTTTTTTTTGAGTCGGAGTTTTGGTCTTGTTGCCCAGGCTGCCAGGATGGAGTGCAATGGCATGATCTTGGCTCACTGCAGCCTCTGCCTCCTGGGTTCAAACGATTCTGGCTCAGCCTCCGGAGTAGCTGGGATTACAGGCATACGCCACCACACCTGGCTAATTTTGTATTTTTGAGTAGAGACATGGTTTCGTCATGTTGGTCAGGCTGGTTTCGAACTCCTGACCTCAGGTGATCCACCCACCTCGGCCTCCCAAAGAGCCACCATGGCTGGCCAGAAAAAAGTTTTTTATGTTAACTTACATTTTACCATTATGGGCCCTTAAGGTTTTGTTTCTGTCCCAGCTGCCTTGTGTTATCGTTTTCCTTCAGTTTGAAGATCTCCCTTTACCGTTTCTAGATCTTCTGACAGAGAAGTTTTTCAGTCTGTCTGGGTATCAATTTTGGCTTTATCTCTGACTCTACACAAATCACTTTGTCTCACCTTGGGCCTCTCATGTATAAAGTAGGAATAAGTGGCTGGGAGCAGTGGCTCACGCCTAATCCCAGCACTTTGGGAGGCTGAGGTGGGTGGATCATGATGTCAGGAGATCGAGACCATGCTGGCTAACACGGTGAAACAGCGTCTCTACTAAAGATACAAAAAAATTAGCTGGGCGTGGTGGTGGGCACCTGTAGTCCCAGCTACTCGGGAAGCTCAGGCAGGAGAATGGCGTGAACCCAGGAGGCGGAGCTTGCAGTAAGCCAAGATTGCACCACCACTCTAGCCTGGGTGACAGGGTGAGACTCCATCTCAAAACAAAAAAAAAAAAAAAAAAAGAGGAATAAGTATAATATAATGTAAATAATTAAAATTATATATAAAATAAGTGAAAGTACTTAGAGAGTTGCTGTGCAACTGACATGAAGTAATGCATTTGAAGCTCCTAAGTCAGTGCCTGGCACAAATGTTTGATAAAGATTTGTTGTGATTTTAAAAATCTGTTGTTTTGCCTTTCTCCTTGTTTCCCCTCACCTAGGTATCAAAGTACCTACAGTTATGGGTGGGTAACTAGACCCGAAATACACCTTTCTTGCTCAGATTAAAGCCCAGCTTATTGACTCAGGGTGGCTTTAATGAAGAGGGTTTACTTGGAAGCTCTGCTTGCTCACAGGTACAGAGCTTTCGCAGAACCGACTCTCTACCTGGCAGCCTTGAAGGGGCTTGGATTCAAAGCATATTCTTGAGCCACTCCATCTTTAATCAAACTGCAGGTGGAATTTGTAGCTGTTAGAATAGCTCCTATTCCTTTCATTTCTTTTTCTGTTTTTTTGCTCTTCCATCTCAGCCTAAAAAGAAAAACACATTAATTTGAGCCATAGGAATTTAGAATTTGTTTTTTCTTTTGCTTAGATATGTTTGACTAAAGCTTCCTTTTTCACAGGTTTATTTTTTTCCAACGTTTTATTATGAAAAAAATTATACAGAAAAGTTGAAAGAATTTTACAGCGCGCACCCACATATTCACCACCTGAGACTGTGCCGCTGGCATTATCCCACGTGCTTTATCACCGCTCTCTCCACTTTTTTGTCCCTCTATTCATCCATCAGTCCCTCACATTTTTTTTGCAATGTTTCCAAGGAGACCTCTGGACACTTGCTTCTCAACATTGCAGCGTGTAGGCCCTCAGCAGGAGTTCAGAAGTGCACATTTCACAGTGAACCTTCTGAGAGTGTTGACAGATCACAGCTTTTCTTTTTGTCTAATGAAAAGGGCTTGCTGGCCATTGGGTGTTGTAATCTTTTAGGGGAGTAAACTCTTAGTAACTATCTAAATCATTCTTAATGATTCTCTCTGCCGTGTAAATAGGTCTGGGAGGACCCTTTCTGACATTGTTTTTGGCATAGGTTTTAGCTTAAGGTGTTGTAAATGCTGTTTATCAAGATGATGAAGTTCCCGTTTGTTGCTATTTTCTGAGAATTTTTATCATTCATGAGTATTGAATTTTGTCATTTGCTTTTTCTAAATCAATTGATATGTAATTATGTGATTTTTGTTCTTTAGCCTATTAATAGGGTGGGTTACATTGATTTTTGACTGTTGAACCCACTTTACATTCCTGGAATGAAACTACTTGGCAATGATGTGGAATTCTTTTTATATATTGTTTAATTCTACTTGCTAATAATTCGCTGTATATTTTTGTGTCTCTGTATATATATTGTTCTGTACTTTGTACTGTCTTTAGGTACAGTACCTAATATTAGCTTCTTAAAATGTTAATATTAGCTTCTAATATTAGCTTCTTAATATTAGCTTCTATTAGCTTCTAATATTAGCTTCTTAATATTAGCTTCTAATATTAGCTTCTTAATAGTAGCTTCTTAAAATGAATTGGGAAGTTTTTCCTCTTCTAGTTTCCAGAAGAGATTGTTTTGAGTCCGTGTTAATTCTTTTTTAATGTTTGATGGAATTATCCAGTGAGTTCATTTGGGTCTGGTAATTTCTTTTTTTTCGGATTCTTTGAATTATGAATTCAGTTTTCTTGATAGTGGTAGGGCTATTCAAATGATCTATTTTATATTTGGTGAGTTGTGGTAATTTGTATTATTTGAGGAATAAGTCCATTTTGCCCAAGTTGTCAAAGTTACATGTGTAGAGTTGTTCCTAGTAATTCCTAATTATCTTTTTTGGTATCTTTAGAGTCCGTTTCATCACTAATGTTGGTAATTTATGTCTTTTTTTTTTTTTTTTGTCAGTCATGCTTAGAGAGGTTTGTCAGTTTTATTGATCTTATCAAAGAACCAGCTTTTTGCTTTACTGTTTATTGGTTTTCTGTTTTCACTTTGTTTCTACTCTTTCCTTAATTATTTCTTCTTTTCTGCTTACTTTTGGGTTGATTTTGCTATTTTTTTTTTCTTTTAGGTTGTCGAGGCGGGCACTTATATTATTGATTTGTTTCCAAGTTTCTAATATATCATTTATTTAGTGCTGTAAATTTCTCATCACCCACTGTAGCTCTTTCCCATGCATTTTGATGTATTGTACTTGCATTTTCTCTCAGTTCAGAATATATTTTAAAATTTCCCTTGAGACTTCCTCTTTGATCCATGGATTATTTAGAAGTTTATTGTTTAGTTTCTGAGAGTTAGGCAATTTTCCTGTAATTGTTCTCTTGTTGACTTCTAATTTGTTTCCATTGTTTGAGGGAACATATGCTGTGTGATTTTAATTTCAAAAAATTTGTTAGGTTTGTTTTATGCCTCAGAATATGTTCTAACTTAGTATTTGTTTTGTGGATGCTTGAACAGATTATGTATTCTGCTGTTATTGGCTGGAGTGTTCTGTAAATTTTGATTGGATCCAGTTGATTGATGGTGATGTTGAATTCTATATCTTGGCAGCTTTTCTGTCTTCTAATTTTATCAGCTGTAGAGAGAGACTTTGAGGTCTCCAACTATAAAAGTATAAATGTCTTTTTCTCCTTTCAGTTCTATTCATTGTTTCTTTGTTTGTTTGGTATATGCACGTTTTGAATTGCTGCGTCTTAATGGTGGATTGACCAAGTTCTCATTTTGTAATGTTGCCATCTGTTCCTGGTAATTATCTTTTTTTTTTTTTTTTTTTTTTTTTTTTTTTCCGAGACGGAGTTTCGCTCCTTTTGCCCAGGCAGGAGTGAAGTGGCACGATCTCAGCTCACTGCAACCTCCAACCCCACCGGGTTCAAGTGATTCTCCTGCCTCAGCCTCCTGAGTAGCTGGGATTATAGGCATCTGCCATCACACCTAGCTACTTTTTGTATTTTTAGTAGAGATGGGGTTTTGCCATGTTGGCCAGGCTGGTCTCAGACTCCTGAGATCCACCCACCTTGGCCTCCCAAAGTGCTAGGATTACAGGCGTGAGCCACTGTGCCCGGCCTTCCTGGTAATTATCTTTGCTCTGAAGTTTACTTTATTTGATATAAATGTAGCCAACTTCTGCTGTCCTTTCAGTAATGTTTGCATGATCTTTTTTTTTTTCTATACTTCTATTTTCAGTTTGCCTGTTTGAAGTCACTTTCTTATGGACAACATATAGTTGGATCATGTTCTCTAGTCTGCTCTCCTGGTGTCTTTTAATTGATGCATTTAGACTGTTTACATTTAATTTAATGTCATTATTAGTAAACTGAGGCTTAACACTGCCATTTTGTTTTGTATTTTCTATTTCTTCTGTTTTTCATTTTTTCGGTTTGGTTCTTCCTGGCTCTCTGTGGTTTACTTGACCATTTTTAGCATTCTATTTTATCTGTAGTGTTTTAGAGTGTATCTTTTTGTATAGCTTCTTTAGTGGCTTTTCTAGGTAATATGTTACATACAGATTGAGCATCTCTAAACCCAAAATCCAAAATCTGAAATGCCCCAAAATTTGAAACTTTTTGGCACTCCAGCATGATGCCCCCAAATTGAAAATTCCATTCATAAGTACTTAGCACGAACTTTGTTTCATGCACAAAATTATTAAGCATGCTGTATAAAATTACCTTCAGGCTCTGTGTATAAGTTATATATAAAACATAAATGAATGTATTTAGACTTGGGTCCTATCCCCAAAATATCTCATTATTTATATGCAGATATTCCTAAATCTGATACAAATCTGAAATTTGGAACACTTGTGCTCCTGAGCATTTTATAAGGGACACTCAACCTGTGTATATATGAACACTTATCAGATTGTACCTGGTGTTGTCATTTACCAGCTTCAGGGATATAGAAACTACCTCCCTTGACGTTCCTTTATGTTCTCCTGTTCATAACATACTTGCCTTAAATATTTCATTTACTTACATTGATAACCACATATGACAATGTTATAATTTTTGGTTGAACCTTCAGACGTAATTTAGCAAAGTCAAGAGGTGAGGGAAAAGTCTATTGTATTTATGCGTTGGTGTGCTTGTCATCTCCTCCTTCCAGAAGTTCCAGGGTTTTCTTTGATGGTTGCCATTCTGCTTAGAGAACTTCCATTAGCCTTTCTTTTGGTGTGGGTCTTCTGGTGACAAATTCTGTTTCACTTCCTCTGAGAATGTTTTGCTTTCCTTTTCATTCCTGAAGGACATTTTTGCTGGATATAAGAATTCTGGGTTAATGGTTCTTTTCATTGTTTAAAAAATATTTTGTACTTTCAGCTGGGCTCCATGGTTTCTGATGAGAAATTCGCTGTCATTTGACTTGTTAATGCACGATAGTTAAGGCAGTTTTTGTTTAGTGGCTTTTGAAATGTTTTGTCTTTTGTTTTTTGGAGTTTGATTATTGTATGTCTTAGTTTGGATTTCTTTGGGTTCATCCTGTTTAGGGTTTGCTTACCTAAGATCTGTAGATTTATGTCTCTTGCCAAATTTGGGAACTTTTAAGCCATCACTTCGTAGAGTACAGTTTCAACCCCACCTTCTTTCTCCTGTCCCTTCGTGAGTTCAGTGACTGGAGTTGTTATAGTCCCATAGGTCCCCAAGACTGGTTTTTTTTTTTTTTTTTTTTTTTTTTGCTGGGACATTTCTTTCTCTCTTCCCTTCCCATCCCGTCCCATCCAGTCCCGTCCCGTCCCATCCCTTCCTGTCCCTTCCCATCCCTTCCCGTCCCTTCCCATCTTCGGAGTCTCTCCCTGTTTCCCAGGCTGGAGTGCAATGGACGTTCTCGGCTCACTGCAACCGCCGCCTCCCTAGTTCGAATGATTCTTCTGTCTCAGCCTCTCGAGTAGCTGGGATTATAGGTGCCCGCCACCATGCCCAGCTCAGTTTTGTATTTTTAATAGAGATGAGGTTTCACCATGTTGGCCAGGCTGGTCTCAAACTCCTGACCTTGTGATCCGCCTGCCTCGGCCTCCGAAAGTGCTGGGATTACAGCTGTGAGCCACCGTGCCCTGCCTTGGGGGCATGTATTTCTTCTGTGTTATTCACATTGGATAACTTCTATCTTCTATGTCACTGATTCTTTGCCCTTTTTCCTCCATTCTACTGCTGTGTCCATTCACTGAGCTTTTTATTTTGGTTATTGTATTTTTCAGTTCTAAACTTTCTATTTGGTTTCTTTTTTTTGTCTTCCTTTTCTTGTCTTAGGCTTTCTATTTTTTCATTTATTTCACATGTGTTTGTAATTGCTTGTTGAAGCCTTTTTATCGTGACCGTTTTTAATTATTTGCCACATTATTCCAACATCTTTCATCGTGGTATTTCTATAACTGTTTAAAATTTGGTTTTAGATCTTCCTGGTTCTTGGTATCATGAGTGACTTTCTCAATAGAACATGTTGTTAGGCGACTCTAGGTCTTACTTAAATCTTCTGTGTAAGTGGTTAAATCTTTCTGTGACCCTGCTCTGGCAGGGATAGGGCGTGCTTCACCTCATCGCTGGCAGCTGGAGACGAAGTCCAGGCTTCCCACTTTGCCTAGAGGCCCCTGGTTACTGTGAGGCAGGGGTAGGAGTTCTGACTCCCCAGTGGTGTCCATGGTTTGTGTATTTTCTCACCCACTGTTTCAGAGTGTACATGACTGATGGACTGGGCAGTCAGGATTGCGACGGAATAAGCAGGAGGGTGTCAGGGAGAAGGGCACGTGGGTGCTCAAGGGCAGAGCTGCCCTCTTGGAGCTTTGGGGTTGTTTCTGGGCTCTGCAGCCAAGCAGAAGGGAGATGTATTATTTAAAAGCGGCAAATGCAGTGACTCTTCAGGAAGGGCTTAGCCCTTGAAGTGCTGGGCCAGCTCCTTGCCTGAAGGGTGGCTCGGTGGGGATGCCCTGAGAAGGGCAGGGGCACTGCTTTACCTTTCAGTCTTTCACTTCTCCATCTTGAGCCCAGTGTGCAATTCAGTATTCTTCATGTCGTTTTAAATAACTATTAGCTCTTAGCTGCAAAGCTCCAGGTCTCACATCCTACTGCTGGTGCTGGGCACAGTGTGCGCCACCCTGTGCCTTTCCAGGGAGTGGTGAGATGTTTCTCTCTACTGCCTTCTAAGGCCCTCCTGTCCCGTGGAGAGCATATCCAGGTAGTGGGTAGCCAGAAAACTGATGTCTTCTGCACAAGGGGAGGCAGCCAGTAGGGGTGTTGCTATTACCTGTGAGGATCCAGGGCTGCGAGGCTGGTGGCTGCTGGCCTCCAGGCTAGTAAGCAGCAGAGAGGCAAGCACAAAAGAGACCAGCTCTCACCTCGCCACTGGGAGCTGTGCTGTTAGAGGGGATTGGTGGGAGGTAACTTACAATTCCCTTATAATGATCTGTGCTCTGAGGCAGACACATGCTTAATTGAAAGACCAGAATCCTTTGAATTATTTTCAGTCCTGTGATTGCCTTCTAGCTACTTACAAAACACTTGTTAGTATGGAAATTTTCAAAGATACATAGAAGAAGAGAGAATAATATAATGAAATATCACTTACTCACTAGTTAGAATGTGTATTCTAACTTGTTACTTTATCTTCCTCTAAAATATGTCCATAAATGTGCTTCATGAGTCATGCATGCTGGGTAATTTTATCAAGACATCGTTTTTATATTGAATTTGGTTTTGTAACATGAAAATAATGGCTAGTGTTTTTCTCTGTTTAGGAGATGTGCTGCTGATAAATATTGACTAATATTGACTTCAAAGTTCTGTGTTAGTAACTTTTTTTTTTGGGAGACAGAGTCTCACTCTGTCACCCAGGCTGGAGTGCAGTGACAAAATCTCAGCTCACTGCAACCTCCTCCTCCTGGGTTCAGGCAATTCTCGTGCCTCAGCCTCCTGAGTAGCTGGAATTCCAGGCGTGCGTCACCACACTCGGCTAATTTTTGTATTTTTTTTTTAGTAGAGAAGGGGTTTCACCATGTTGGCCAGGCTGGTCTCGAACTCCTGACCTCAAGTGATCCACCTGCCTTGGCCTCCCAAAGTGCTGGGATTCCAGGTGTGAGCCACTGTGCCCGGCCAACTTCTTTTGTATGATGTTTCCATAGAGAGAGGCAGTGTGCCATGGTGGCTCAAGAGTCTCTGTCATGTGCCGCACTCCTCTGTGTGGCCTCGGACAAGTTGCTTAACCACTTGGTGCCTCAGTTTCTTCATCCATAAAATGGATGGACAGCACTGCTTGACAGTGCTGGGTGTGAGGGTTGCCTGAGCTCATGTGTGTAAAGTGGTTAAAACCATTATTGCCACATATCATGCCTTCGAGTACTACCTGTCGTCATCATCCATTTTCTCAACATTGCAACAAACTGTGGCCACATTGTCCACAGGTGAGATGTTTTCTTGTCTTATTTTCTAGATGTGAATGAACTGAAGGAGTGTCTTTCTGTGCTGGTTAAAGAGCAGCAGGCCCTGGCCGTCCAGTCAGCCACCACCACCCTCTCAGCCCTGCGACTCAAGCAGAGGCTGGTGATCTTGGAGCGCTATTTCATTGCCTTGAATAGAACCGTTTTTCAGGAGAATGTCAAAGTTAAGTGGAAAAGCAGCGGTATTTCTCTGCCTCCTGTGGACAAAAAAAGGTAACAATAAAGCGAAGAAAGAATCCTGATGCCAGTTAAATATAAAATTCAGACTGTTTTGTTTCAGAAAGTTTAAGGTTTTCAATATAGGCTGTCTTCACCTTCTGAAATTTATTCTTGCTTTCCCTTTTTGTATGTTTTGTATAATCTGGAGAATGGATTTGCCAATTTGCTCATGTAGTAATAGACCATGCTGTGTAATCTGTGCCATTATTTTATTTTATTCAATAAAATTTTTCTTTTCTTTTTTTTGGAGAGACAATGTCTTGCTCTGTCACCCAGGCTGGGGTGCAGTGGTGTAATCATAGCTCATTGTAACCTTGAACTCCAGGGCTCTAGTGATCCTCCCGCCTCAGCCACCTGAGTAGCTGGGACTACAGGCACATGCCACCATGCCTGGCTAAATAAAAACAATTTGTGTGTGTGTGTGTGTGTGTGTGTGTGTGTGTGTGGAGATGGGGTCTTGCTCCTGGCCTCAAGTAATCTTCCTGCTTCAGCCTCTCAGAGTACTGGGATTACAGGCATGAGACACTGCGCCTGGCTCTGTGTCATTATTGTAAAGACATTTTTCTGTCAGTAACTGTGGAAGCCAGCCACAGCTTTAGATCAGCTCAAGTATAAATTGGAAAATGAGTTCTGAACGTTGTATACGTTTTATTTTGTTTTGCTGCTGGGTAGGAGATAGATTGTAATGTTTAATGCCCAACTAGTTTAGATGCTTCATGTTTTTCCTTCCTAATGTGATTTTCTTATTCTTTTATTACAAGAGTTGCTTTTGGGCTGGGTGTGGTGGCTCACGCCTGTAATCCCAGCACTTTGGGAGGCCTGAGGTGGGCGGATCACCTCAGGTCGGGAGTTGGAGATCTGACCAACATGGAGAAACCCCATCTCTACTAAAAATAAAAAAATTAGCCGGGGCTTGGTGGCTCATGCCTGTAATCCCAGCTACTTGGGAGACTGAGGCAGGAGAATTGCTTGATCCCGGGAGGTGGAGGTTGCGGTGAGCGGAGATTGTGCCAGCCTGGGCAACAAGAATGAAATTCTGTCTCAAAAAGAAGCAAAAAAAAGAGATGCTTTTGGGCATATGAGTTTTAATTTGTTGATGCCTGTTAATGTATCACAGATTTCCACTATTTGCTAACAGCCACTAGAATGTTTAAGGCTTATGTAAATTTGTACTTTTCCAAAATGAAGCTATCAGACTTTTGTCCTCAGAAGGTTAAACTACAAGACTGCCAGATGAAACTTATATTTTGTGTTAGGAGTGCTGGCTTTATTTGACTGTGATAGTGACTTTGACTCCCTGGAGAGAGCACATAGAAGGTACGGGAGGCAGAAAGAAACAAGAGCAAAACCCTGATCGTCTTGCTCCCCAGAGACAGGAGCGGTACTTGTAGCTTGTTTCCTTGTTTTCTTATGTTTTAATTTTTGTGTTTGTTTTCCTTTTTTGTTTCCTTATGTTTAAATATAGTTGAAATCACATTACAGTTGGCTCTCTGTGTCTGTGGGTTTCACATCCACAGATTCAACCAACTATGGATCGAAAATATTGGAAGAAAAGCAATAAAAAACAACACAACAATAAAAAAATACAAAGAAAAAACAATACAATATAACATCTAATTCCAGAGCATTTACCTTGTATTGGGTGTTATAGTAATCTAGAGATGATTTTTTTTTGTTTGTTTGTTTTGACATGGGGGTCTCACTGTTGCCCAGGGCAGTGGGGCCATCATGGCTTCCTGCAGCTTTGACCTCCTGGGCTCAAGTGATTCTCCCACCTCAGCCTCCCAAGTAGCTGGGACTGCAGGCGTGTGCCACAATGCCTAGCTAATTTTTGTATTTTTTGTAGAGCTGAGGTCTCACTGTGTTGCCCAGGCTGGCCTCGAGTGATCTGCCTGCCTTGGCCTCCCAAAGTGCTGGGATTACAAGCATGAGCCACCATACCTGGCCAATTTTTTTTTTTTTTTAATTTGTATAGATTGGGTTTTGCCATGTTGCCCGGGCTGGTCTTGAACCCCTGGGCTCAAGCAACCCTCTCGCCTTGACCTCCCAAAGGGTTGGGATTATAGGTGTGAGCCACTGTGCCTGGCTGAGATGATTTAAATTATACTGGAGGATGTGCACAGGTTATATGCAAATACTACACCATTTTATATCAGGGACTTGAGCATCCTAGGGTTTTGGTATGGAGCCAGGGTGGGGCAAGCCTGGTACCAATCCCCTACAGATACCAAGGGACGACTGTACATGTTGTATTTTTGAAAATAGTTTTAGGGTAAATTAAACCAAGAGACAGATGAGATTCCTACCCATTTGGTAATAGGAGTGCCATGGTTCTTTCTTCCTTCCTAACCGGCTGTGATGGTCATGAATCAGTGTTATGTACGGGTCGGCGGTAGGTGCTAAGATTGTCCAAGCACTGTTGTGTGTTTGTCGAATCAAACTGAATTCCCTCAGCTGCAGAAATGGCTGAGAGCCCAGCTGATTTTTCTCTGCTGTTTCCTTTGTGATGACTTAGGGTTGGTGAATTAATTGGAATGTATCTTTCATTAAGTGGAAGAATTCCTAAAATTTTAAAAAAGCCCCTTTTTTTTTTTTTTTTAGATAATTGTGGATTCACATACAGTTGTAAGAACCAGTATAGAGATTCCTTGTACTGTTCGTCCCGTTGCCCTCAATGGCAGTTGCAAACTGTGACACAGTCATCACAACGAGGGTGTTAATTTTGATAGCCTGCCTATCTTATTCAGATTTTCCCAGTTTTACATGCTCTCAATTGTGTGTGTATTTCTTTGCAATTTTTTCAGGTGTGGATTTTCTGAGACCACCACTGCAATTGGTACATGGACAAGGGCCCTTTATACCCACATTCACGTCTTCTCTCCCCACCTTAACTGCTGGCAACCACTCATCTGTTCTGTGTGCCTATTATGTGATTTTTTGACATTGGCTTTTAAATTTTTTATTATTGTTATTATTATAATTTTTGGAGACAGGGTCTCACCCTGATGCCCACAAGCTGGAGTGCAGTGATATAATCATAGCTCACTGCAGCCTCAAACTCCTGGACTCAAGCAGTCACCTCATTTCAGCTTCCTGAGTAGCTGGGACTACAGATGCATGACACCACACCCAGCTCATTTTGTATTTGTAGAGACTGGGGTCTTGTTGTGTTTCCCAGGCTTGTCTGGAACTCCTGGCCTCAAGCAATATTGACTTTTTTCACTCAGCACAATCCCCTTAACATTTTCCCAAAGGGGTCATTGCATGTATCATTATTTTATTATGGCTGAGTAGTTTTTTTTTGTTTTTGTTTTTGTTTTTTTTTTGAGACAGAGTCTCGCTTTGTCGCCCAGGCCAGGCTGGAATGCAGTGGTGCGATCTTGGCTTACTGCAACCTCTGCCTCCCAGGTTCAAGCAATTCTGCCTCAGCCTCCCATATAGCTGGGACTATAGGCATGCACCACCACACCCGGCTAATTTTTGTATTTTTAGTAGAGATGGGGTTTTGCCATGTTGGCCAAGCTGGTCTCAAACTCCTGACCTAAAGTGACTGGCCCACCTCCTCTGACCACACTTGGCCCATGTGCTTTCTCTTGTAAGGACTGTGTGTCCTGTTACATGTCTGTGTCTTGTCATGTTCGTATTTCTCATTTAGGAGCAAAGATTTCCATCTTCCAGGTACCCAGTGCCCTTCTCAGAGGTTCTTGTGTTTCCTCTCTGAGCTCCCGGTGCATTATTCAGGCACTTGTGGATAAGCGTGTACTGTTGCCCCTGGCCAGCCGTGTTCTTCATTGCCATTTTTATTACATATTGTATCTTGGGGAGATCCTTCTATAACAACCCTCTTTTTTTTTTTTTTTTTTTTTTTTGTTTTTTGAGATGGAGTCTTGCTCTGCCTCCCAGGCTGGAGTGCAGAGGTGCGATCTTGGCTCACTGCAACCTTTGTCTCCCAGGTTTAAGTGATTGTCCTGCCTCAGCCTCCGAGTAGCTGGGACTACAGGCACCCGTCACCACACCTGGCTAATTTTTGTATTTTTAGTGGAGACAGGGTTTCGTCATATTGGCCAGGCTGGTCTTGAACTCTGTATCACCTGTTTTTATAGGATTTCCCCTGATCATGAAAGCAAATTTTAGTAAATTTGGAGAATATAGTTTATAGTAGCAATACTGTAATATTAGAAACATGATATAGTATAAAGTATAACATACAATTACTTGCTGTGCATGATTGAGTTGAGATTATATATGCATTTTTATTTTATTTTATTTTATTTTTTTTGAGATGGAGTCTTGCTCTGTCTCGCAGGCTGGAGTGCAGTGGCGCGATCTTGGCTCACTGCAAGCTGCACCCCCCAGGTTCACACCATTCTCCTGCCTCAGCCTCCCCTATATATGCATTTTTGTATTCTAGCCTTTTCTCTCTTGTACAGGATGATTTTTATGGTGTACCATATGCATAACCTTTTAGAACATGCAGAATGAAACTGTGACTTGTGAAATTAACATACACAAGTAGTGAAAAGCTTAAATAGACACAGGAGGGTGATGAGCACCACCGTCAGAAGAGGGCAATGCCCCATAGGGTGGGTCAAGCACGCAGGGCTTCACCCGCGGCCAGGAGCAGACCTCGAGTGGAGGACGCCGGAGCTGGGGCGAGCCAGGCTACCCTCTGCGGCTCTGCTGCTCTTCTTCCAGCTCTTCTCCGGCCTGGTCTCCCATGTGGGGTTTATTCTCCCTCCGTTTATGTATTTATCTCCTTATCGTCTGCTTCCTCCCAGTAGAATCTCACTTTGGGAGGTCATTTCTTGAGCATTTTCCCAAGACATTTAAAATTCCTTATACATTTCTTTGATTCTTAAAGAGAAAACTTTTCCTTTACAAAAGACATTTGATGAAAGTTGTTAAACAACAAAACGAAAAATCCACTTGTGATCCTGTCACTTGAAGAAAACCATTGGTCGGATTTTGGTACACACCCTTTCATAGTATTGATTTTATGTAGTATCTGCACCCTCTGCTGCTGACTGGTTGTATGTTCCGTGTGTGTCGTCTGCAGTTCCCGGCCTGCGGGCAAAGGTGTGGAGGGGCTCGCCAGAGTGGGATCCCGAGCGGCGCTGTCTTTTGCCTTTGCCTTCCTGCGCAGGGCCTGGCGATCAGGTACGGTCCCTGGTGTGGCGCGTTGTTCTGCTTCCCTAATACATCAACAGACTGGGTTTCGAACTCGGTTCAGCCACCATGTGCCCTTTGGCTGATCCCATGTGCTCTCTGTGCCTCAGTTTCCTTGCTTGTGAGATGAGAGGCTGCAGAGGCTGTTTGGCTTTTCACATCTGTGCTTTAAAGAAAAAAAAGAGAGTGTATGCACCCCCACCCCCACGTCAACCACTACCATGGAACACCTGAGTACAGACTTAATTCTAGAAGGACAAGAAGTTAGTGTATTGCTCATGTGACAGCCGTGAAACACAGAATTGACTGGAGCAGCTGCGCTAGATTTTGGCCTGTTGAGTGAGGGATTGGAAAGGTGACAGTGGCGTCATCTCTCGCTGAGGGGTGGGAAGCCCAGCGGGAGAGTGAGGGGAGTGGGGGGGCTCCTCTGACGCGTGTGTGCGCCCAGGCGAGGATGCGGACCTCTGCAGTGAGCTGTTGCAGGAGTCCCTGGACGCCCTGCGAGCACTTCCCGAGGCCTCGCTCTTTGACGAGAGCACCGTGTCCTCTGTGTGGCTGGAGGTGGTGGAGAGAGCGACCAGGTTCCTCAGGTCCGTCGTGACGGGGTGAGTTCTTTCCTTTCTTGCCTTCTGCACGCAGACAGCTGGCCTGCTTGAGGCTGGTTCTTACCACCCTTGCTTTAGAGCTAAGAAGCCTAGTAGGTTGGTTTTTCACCTGTTTTCAGCGGGCTGTCAGTGCTGTGATTCCGGGTCTGGGTTCTCAGCTTTTCAGGCGATTTGATTTATGATACTCTGACTAGACCCAGGAAGCTGTGATACTAAATGAGACGGATGAGAGAGAATGCTTAGAGATTTGGCCATCAGTCATTCGTAGAGGTTTGAGTGCTTACACTGTGTGTCTCTCTGTGATGATTAGGAGCTGCTGTTCTGAGTGCGGAGTGGTGCTTGGTTTGAAGTCTTATAGATAATGTGGGAGTAAACAACTACTCAAGATCAAATTCTTTAGTCCTGTAGCTGATCTTTTTAGTGTAAAAAATTTTGAATAGGAATCATTTGTGTGTAAGAAAAACATGAACTCTGGTCTTGGGTGCTATGCATTTTTGTTAAGGTTTTTAAATTTAAAGAAAATATAAAATTCAACAGGAAGGACAGATGCAGAGGGAAAGTGAGGCCACTCCTCACTCTCCTTGCAGAGGTCAGCACTGTGCCTTCTTGCAGCCAGCAGGAGGCCTTTGGCGTTTGCGTCCCCGGCTCTGAGTCCACTTCCTGAGCCGGCTGGTGAAGGCATCACCACAGAGTTTTAACGCTGGAGGCCCTGAGCATAGGCTTGGAGTTGATTTCACAAATTCAGCTGTAATATTGATACCATAAGATCCTTTCTCTGCAGTCTTAGGATAGAATTTTAGAAAATTTATTATTGAGTAACATAGAAAAGTTAAAAATATTTCATTGATCAGAGATAGAAATTAGTGTTGACATTTTGCCTCCAGATTCTAAGGTGGTTTTAGAAATTGGTTCTTTAATTCTGTAGATAAATGCTGATACTGGTATAGTCTTATACGTCATTGAAACTGGAAAAGATAGCTAGATATTCTTCTACTTATGTTTTTGATAATGAGATAAATTATTTTATGCTTCATATACATGGAGTATGTCATCTACTGTAATATAGTATCTGAGTGAACACTTTAAATAAAATATAGTTGTGTAAGCTAATTGTACACTTATAATCTCTGAATAAATTTGAGTAGCAAGTATCAGAAACTTGATCCTAAATATTAAAAATACATCCTTCCTTTGGAGGGAGCGTGTAGTAAATGTGTTAGTGTGATTGTAAGCATGCTGTCTTTCTGGAGGTTGCTTTGTTCCTGCATCCACTGCTTTCATTTCAGGGATGTTCACGGAACGCCAGCCACCAAAGGGCCAGGAAGCATCCCCCTGCAGGACCAGCACTTGGCCCTGGCCATCCTGCTGGAGCTGGCTGTGCAGAGAGGCACGCTGAGGTGAGGGCTGCCGCAGACGGGAACGCTTTGGGGAAGCGCCTGTGTATGGAAATACCTGTTGCATTGTGTGTGTTTCACTGAATCGTTTGTGACCGCAGCAGATGTGGTACTCTGTACGGAGAACCATGTCCCAGGGCTCTCTCTCTTTACCTTTTCTTCACTTCCTGTTTTATGCTCAGTGTTCTAGCCTGGGAACTGTTCTTTTTTTTTTTCTTTCAGTTTTCTTCATTTATTTATTTTTATTCCATGAATTTAAGATCCTAGAACTTTCATGTAAATGTGCTCTTTGAGCTTCTTAACTGGTCTTTCTTATGAGCAGAAGGCGATGTCTTGTGCTAAAGTCTTGGTGTCAATTCAGTGATTTAATTACCACGGCTTTAGTTTAGTTTCCTTTCAAATCCCAAGTATTTGTTCACTTCTATCCAGCTATTTGCTTTTATTTTTGATCAACTGTGAAGAAAAGAAGTTAATCTGTTTTTACTAGAATAAATATCTTTTCTCCTTTAGCCAAATGTTGTCTGCCATCCTGTTGTTGCTTCAGCTGTGGGACAGCGGGGCACAGGAGACTGACAATGAGCGTTCCGCCCAGGGCACCAGCGCCCCACTTTTGCCCTTGCTGCAAAGGTTCCAGAGCATCATTTGCAGGAAGGATGCACCCCACTCCGAGGGCGACATGCACGTGAGTGTCATGATGGAACTTTGTGTTTAGGTGGCACTCGAGTCTAGTTACTTTTAAAGCAAGACTAGCATGCATGTCAACGGCAGTGTTTTTCTCTGGCGTGTGTGTGTTTGGTGGTAATAGCAGCGAGTCAGATGAGACAGGTGTGGGAGGTCACTTGTTTGTGGAGAAGACTCGGATCAGTGAGCACTGACTTCCTTGTCAGCACAAAACCAAGCTTGAAACATTCACTTTTAAATAAATACCAGAAAAGAACAACGAAAATAGCGGCCTGCTTTGTTGGTCCTTCCTATGTACTGGGCTCTGTGCAGGGCACGTCACCTGAGCTGTCACTCTGTTTGGTACCAGCTCCCGCCTTAACAGGTGTGGACAACAAGCTGAGGGAGGAGCAGGCGTGCGGGGCCCTGGGCCTAAACCTCCAGGACTGCTGGTCTTTACATGTCAAGTACAAGTTGGATTTTGCCAGTCTTTTTGGGAAAGTCTTAGGCATTCCAATATCGTGCTTTGGTTTAATTTTTCTATTATTGGCAGTCTTTTTTTTTTCCTTAGATGGAGTCTTGCTCTGTCGCCCAGGCTGGAGTGCAGTGGCGTGATCTCGGCTCACTGCAAGCTGGGCCTCCTGGGTTCACACCATTGTCCTGCCTCAGCCTCCCGAGTAGCTGGGACTACAGGCGCCCACCACCAAGCCCAGCTAATATATTTGTATTTTTAGTAAAGATGGGGTTTCACCATGTTACCCAGGATGGTCTCGATCTCTCGACCTTGTGATCCGCCTGCGCCTGCCTGGCCCTCCCAAAGTGCTGGGATTACAGGCGTGAGCCACCATGCCCAGCCTATTATTTGGCAGTCTTTAAACTAATGATAATAGGGCTCTTCTGCCTTTAGAAGAATTAGAACTATGATTTAATTTGCAAATGAAAGTAGGTGTTCTCCAGAGTGGGCAACGTTTAGATTAAAATAAAGGTTTTGGTTTTAGATTTCAAGGCCAGCTTGAGATGCTGTGCTGGGTTCCCACAGAGGTGGTTCTGCCTTTCTCCAGGGGTCCTAGGCCTGTAGGGTGGTTTGGTCATGTTAGTAATCTGTGTGGATCCATCTTACCTGTGGTATCATAAATGTATACATGCGCAGTCAATGTTGTGTATGCGTGTACAGCAAATTTAGACATTTACACAGTCAGTTTATATGCTGCATAAATATATAGATGTATAGTATAACTGTATCATTGACATTGTCATTTGATGGGTCAAATGAGTCAATACCAAAATATAAAGCGTGGATAAAGGTTAATTGTGTTAACTTTAATTTTTCCCACCATTTCTGAATTTTTGTTTACTTTTCCTTTCTAGCTTTTGTCTGGCCCTCTGAGCCCCAATGAGAGTTTCCTGAGGTACCTCACCCTTCCACAAGACAACGAGCTTGCCATTGATCTGCGACAAACGGCGGTTGTTGTCATGGCCCATTTAGACCGTCTGGCTACGCCCTGTATGCCTCCGCTGTGTAGCTCTCCGACATCTCATAAGGTGTGTGTGCAAGAACCGTGTTCTCCATGTGTTTTGTAGCTAGTACCACTTGTAGGTTCTCATCCTGGGCCCGTGTGGAGACTTGCTTTTTCTGGTATTGGTAGGGGGAGCTGGCCTGTGGTTTTTAAACGCGTTTGCAGTTGAAGGTGTTATCCGTGTTGAGAGTGAGTGATGAGCAAGCTGAGGCGCACAGGCCTGGCGACCCAACCTGGGGGCCCGGGTTCCAGGTTCAGGTGGCACAGCCCCAGAGAGCTCCCCTTTATCCACAGCCCCAGGCCCTCCCACCTTCTGCAGGGGGTTCCACAGCCTTCTTCATACTCTGAACGCGGACTGTCTTAGTATGTAATGCTGGTGATAGTAGTGACAGTATAATTATATGTTATATATTATATATTATATATCTATATTACATGTCTGTCTGTCTGTCTATCTATCTATCTATCTATCTATAAATAAATAAAAAGAGTGGGTTCTATCTATCTATCTATCTATAAATAAATAAAAAGAGTGGGTTCTCCAGCCTGGCCAACTTGGAGAAACCCTGTCTCAACTTAAAAATACAAAAATTAGCTGGGCATGGTGGCATATGCCTGTAATCCCAGCTACTTGGGAGGCTGAGGCAGGAGAATCACTTGAACCCGGGAGGCGGAGGTTGCAGTGAGCCAAGATCGCGCCATTGCACTGCAGCCTGGGCAACAAGCGTGAAACCCCATCTCAACAAACAACAACAACAAAAACAAACACAAATAGTGCTGCAAGGCCTGACCTGGAACATGTGTCCTCCATGTGTGCACGTGTGTGTGCCCGTGCACATGCACAGGTGGGGATGCACCTAGTGTGGGCTGGTTGTCACCAGATTGCTCCCGTACAAGTTGATTTCTCTCACCACCAACATGGATGCTGGTCTCCCAGCCTTGTGTGTGGGCTTTTGGGATTTTGCCTGCTAAAGCACAAAATGGTGACCCTGATATAGTTTGAGCATTTAAAAATATATTAGTATTTAAGGGCCATTTATAGTACTTTTTAATGGGCTCTGTTAAAATGAAATGCAATGGAAATGGAAAAATAACCTGTTCAGTTGCTTCATCTTACCTGTTAAATGAGGTAATACAGGCTGGTATGAGCTATTTTGATGTTTTGAATCAGCATATTTTCTCTTTATTTGCTTTGTTTTTATTTTGTAGTAGCTCAGTGTTACTCCCAGCCTTTTTTTATTGTTGTTGTTGTTAAAGGAAATGTTTACTTTCTTATCTTACAGGGATCATTGCAAGAGGTCATAGGTTGGGGGTTAATAGGATGGAAATACTATGCCAATGTGATTGGTCCAATCCAGTGCGAAGGCCTGGCCAACCTGGGAGTCACACAGATTGCCTGTGCAGAGAAGCGTTTCCTGATTCTGTCACGCAATGGCCGCGTGTACACACAGGCCTATAATAGTGACACGCTGGTGAGTGTTCTGGGCACTGTGCCTGCAGTGTTCCCTTGCGGGGCAGGGTCTGTCCTACAGATGCACAAGCTCTGGTGTTTCTTTAAGGCGTTTGATTTCTGAAGATTGACAAGGTTCTGTTTATTGTATATTATGTTTAATGATCTCAGTTGTAATATTGTCAAGATTTGGGTTGTGAAGATTAGGAAGTCCTTACAGTGAAACTCATTGCTAATCGTGAGATTCCCGTTTGTAAACTCATTTCCACGTGTAAACTCATTTGACGTTGGGGCCAGACAGGTGACAGGTGAGGGAGTTGGGCCTCGTGGGGATAGTGGCAAATTGGGACGTGGCATGTTTTCATTAAAGCGAGGTGTTCCTCCCTGTCGGCTGCGTGTCTCTGTGGCATGGGGCTAGCCTGCCCTGCCCCTGCATCGGCTCTGGTCTTGCTGCAGAGCACTTGGAGGCTGCCCGCTGTTCTGTTGCTGCTGGGTGGGAAGGGCTGGAGAGCCGGCCCCGTAGTTCCCAGAGACTTATGCCCCACTTGGAGTTACAGCAGGCTTTGCTTGGGGATACATGATAACGGAGAGCTGAGCTGGTTTCATTTTCCTTGGACTGATGACTACTTTTCTTCGTATTTTTCCTTCTTTAGGCCCCACAGCTGGTCCAAGGCCTTGCCTCCAGAAACATTGTAAAAATTGCTGCCCATTCTGATGGTCACCACTACCTAGCCTTGGCTGCTACTGGAGAGGTGTACTCCTGGGGCTGTGGGGACGGCGGACGGCTGGGCCATGGGGACACTGTGTATGTATCGCTTATTCCTGTAGGGGACACACTCTCCTTTTATGTTGCCATATCCTAAACAGGATGGAGCGCAGAAGTGTGTCCAGGTGTTTTCCAATTGCCCTGACATGTAGCGCTGGGATGGAGCAGGACACTACGATATGCCTCCTCCTTGGTGATGGCTTAGGAGCTCTGCCCATGTGTGGAGGGCAACGGGAATTGGCCTTTCTGTTCTTCTTGACCCCGTGCAGCCTTGGCCAGCCTTCTGTCTACTCAAACTGCATCCCCACTGTGGAGTTTGCCAAAACAAATCCCACACCACTGTTCCTTCATTCACAAACAGTTCACCCTGTCTCTCATAGATAAGGTTGTCACCCTTTTCTTGAACCATATATTATTTTTACAGGAACAAAAGTCAGCAGTTTCTTCCTAATATTATCCTACTCAGTGGAACCTTTTATTGTGAAAGAACAAATGAAACAGAAAGTTGTTATAAATGCCAGGTTGTAAAAATTGGGAGGTCTGCCAGCCCCATGGAGTGATGGGAACCCTCTTGTACTTTGCTGTTGTGCATGGAACTTTGGCATTAGGTTTAAATGAGGGATGTATGTACACACCAACCCAGCAAGCCCATTTCTTGTGGGCTGGAGCCCTGAGCAGGGAGAGGGCAGTGCAGAGCTTGAAATGAGTGAAGTCATGACTGCACTTGTGTCCCTTGAGAGGAGCCTGGGGGGCATGGCCCATGCACACCACAGGGTGGAGTTGAGGGCATCATTGCCGACAGCATCCGCTGGGAAGATCCCAAACTGGGAGAAAAGCAGAGTAATGCGTATCGTGTGGTACATGTATGCCAAGCTCAGAACAGCCCAACCCTGACAGTGTTGTAAGGGATTCAGACAAATCTAAGACGAGTGAAAAAGAAAAGATTGATCTCCATGGAATTTATAGCTGTTACTCTCACACTGGATTGTAAAGGCTGGGATTGACATGGGGTACACGGGACTTGAAAGGCATCGAGGTACAGGACAGGGTGGTATGTCTGCTTACTTCCTTTATGGTATTTATAACTGACTTTCTATAAAATATTTCATAGTAAAACAATTCTCAGTGGAGAGTAAGTGCTGGGATGAGTAACTTACGCCTTATTCTAGGACTTCAAGGAAGGAAGAGAGATGAGTGCAGATGGCAGAAGCTGGAGATAACCTTTTGGGGAAATTGAAACTTAAGCTGAATAAGGGATAGTTTGTACTGGAGTAGAGTCATTGGGCTGTCCCTGTGAGCACCTGTGCCACTGTGTGTATTTTGCAAACTAGTAGGTCACAAAGTGAGTAAAGGAGAGGCCTGGCTTCTGTAGATTTTCAAGAAAATGTCATCCATCATAGGAACATATTCTGGATCCTAAGAATAGGGTATTTTGCTAACTTTGAAATTTCTTCAACTAGTAAGACTTCTCTACCCTAATCCCCACTGCCTCATACTTTTCATTTGTAAAGTATAGATTGCAGAGTGCTGGCTTCATTCCATCCACATTCATTTAACAAATACATATAAATGTCGGTCAGCTTTATGAGGCTTCCATACAACCAGATGACTGAGTTTCAGATGTAGAGTTGGATGGGTTTTGACAAGTGCACGCAGTTGGGTCACCACCATCAAGACATGGGGCGCTCCCATCGCTTCCAGGGCCCTCTTTGTACCCTTTGAGTTGATGCCCCCTTCCTACCTCCAGTTCCTGACAACCTCTGATCTGCCCTCTGTTGTTATTATTTTGTCTTTTCCATAATTTAATATAACAAAGCCATACAGTGTATGGTATTTTGTTTCTGGCATCTTTGACTTAGCAGATGTCTTGAGATCCAGCCATGTTGGGTTGGGTGTATGGGTAATTCATTCCTTCTGTTGCAGATGGACCATGGTTTTGGGACATTGTGAATAAAGCTGCAGTGGACTTTACAAGTCTCTTTTTTTTTGAGATGGAGTTTTGTTCTTGTTACCCAAGGTGGAGTGCAATGGGGCGATCTCACCTCACTGCAACCTCCTCCTCCCAGGTTCAAGCGATTCTCCTGCCTCAGCCTCCCAAGTAGCTGGGATTACAGACACCCTCCACTATGCCCACCTAATTTTGTATTTTTAGTAGAGACGGGATTTCACCATGTTAGCCAGGCTGGTCTCGAACTCGTGACCTCAGGTGATCTGCCCACCTCGGCCTCCCAAAGTGGTGGGATTACAGGTGTGAGCCACCGCGCCTAGCCTATTGTACAATTCTTTAACAAACACTATTTTTATATTTCTACTGGGTACCATGTTTGGCATCGGGTTCCAACTGAACAAAAAGTCATGGAGGTGTTAGGTGTTGGAATTCTCTCTTCCTTCTTTCACAAGGTACCTGGAAGGTGAAACTGGCCTGATGCTATGCTGGTCTAAATTTGGATAGTGAATTTCCTTTGTTAACATTAATAAGAAATAACACCAAGAAGAAGGGCATTCATGTTTGTTCCCTTTCTCCCCAAGGCCTTTGGAGGAGCCTAAGGTGATCTCCGCCTTCTCTGGAAAGCAGGCCGGGAAGCACGTGGTGCACATCGCTTGCGGGAGCACTTACAGTGCGGCCATCACTGCCGAGGGGGAGCTGTACACCTGGGGCCGCGGGAACTACGGCCGGCTGGGCCATGGTACGTCTGCTCTGCATGAGTGGGAGCATGCAGCAGGAGGTGGCCTCTTACAGGACTTAGTAACCGCCGTCCTATCTGTTTGAAGGCTCCAGTGAGGACGAGGCCATTCCGATGCTGGTAGCCGGGCTTAAAGGACTGAAGGTCATCGATGTGGCGTGTGGGAGTGGGGATGCTCAAACCCTGGCTGTCACTGAGAACGGTACGTAGAGCTCTCGCCACCCTGGACAGGCCCACGAGGACACGCATGGCAGCTTCCCTGGAGGAAGTGAGATGAGTACAGTGGGCCTCACGAGGCCACCCACCCTGTCGCCCAGTGGGTGTGGGGCTCAGTGGCATTGGGGAAGAGGCCCGGGTGGTTACTGGGCTTGTTTGCCTGAGGCCTCTCAGCTGGTTAGCAGCTGCCGCCGTTCCTGTGTGGGCATTTTATTTTTTAAGAATGAGAGTTGAAATGGGATGATTGACACTCTGAATTGTCTCTGGTTAGTATTATTACATTTCTTAACGTTCGGCCACTCTTGATTCCCTGTGGTAATTCCTGCTAAGTCTTTCTGTGTTCTGTAGTCTGATGCTACGGTATCTGCTTGCTTTGAATTTTGGTTTTATGTTTGTGTTCCTAAGTGAGATCATCCTTTTTTCAAGGGTACCTGATGAGGTTTGATGGTTAAAGTCATGTTAATATTTTAGAAATGACTCGTCTTTCAGTATTGTGGTGGTCTGTCCTTGGCATCTTGTGTGTCTCTGGCGTTGTGGAGTCTTTCCGTTATAATCAGCAGGGGTACCTGTCAGCTTGCTTTCTCTCCTGCAGAAGTTGAATGGCAGATTGGTAATTGAGTGACTTTTGGGCATTTCTTAGGTGAAAGATGAAAAATCATTTTAGATACTTCCCTGTATGTCGGTCCTGCTGCCATTGACGGGACAGACCTTGTCAGAGCCGTGTTGTTTCTGCTTTTGTGAGTCCTAGAGCAAAGATGGCCTCATCTGAAAGGCTCCTGCTGTCAAGGAGCTTTCAGTTTGACATCTCGTCATTTTAAAATATCTATTATTGAGTGAGTTGCAGACCTTAAAATATTTCCCGGTTAAAAGTTTTGTAAGGTCTAAGCTGTGTTAGGAGATTAGCCTTGCATTCTTTATGTGTAGTTGCTACTTTAGTTAAAGTTTGCGATGATATGTTGAGTAAACTGCCTTGAGTAGGGCTGCAGACATTGTCTTCCTCACACTGGTGTTTCTTTGGTGCAGATCTTGTAGGGAAGTGTCCCTGCTGTGCTGCTATATATTTTCTGAGGCGACTGTTACAGTAGAAGTATCCTACCCTGCAGTCTGGCCTTGGGGGACAGTGGGAAATAGCCAGGTGGGCTATGTGAACAGCATAATTTTCAGCACAGCATATGGAAATGCATGCTCCGATCTCTGTGTTCAGGTCTGCTGTGCCGCTTTCATTGACCATGTAATAGTGCGTCATCTCCAGTTTCCATTTTGCTTGGGGTTGGCCTGTTTTTGCAGGTAGAGTTGTATTGGCATGCAGGCATGCCACTCATTTACGTACTGTCTGTGGCTGCTTTCCTGTGACAGTGGCACAGCTGGGTAGTTGGGACAGAAAGCCCACAGAGGCTAAAAATATTTACCATCTGATCGTTGAGGAAAATATTTGCCTATCTTTAGTTATTATAAAATAGAGTGTGGGAACTTGTGGAGCAATCTGATATCTTCTCTGGTTTCTTTTTCCTGATCTTTTACAGTTTTCACCTTTACGTAATTTCACTTTTTTTTGTTTTTGTTTGTTTTTTTTTTTTTTTTTTGTAAGACAAAGTTTTGCTCTGTCACCCAGGCTGGTGTGCAGTGGTGCAATCTCGGCTCGCCGCAAACTCCACCTCCCGGGGTCAAGCAATTCTCATGCCTCAGCTGGATTATAGATATTCACCACCATGCCTGGCTAATTTCTGTATTTTTAGTACAGACAGGGTTTTGCCATGTTGCCCAGGCTGGTCTCGAACTCCTGGGCTCAAGTGATCCGCCCGCCTTGGCCTCCCAAAGTTCTGGGATTACAGGTGTGAGCTACCATGCCCAGCCTAACAATTCTGTTTTTTAGCAATTCACTTTAAGTTTTTGCAAAGTTTTCAGCTTAGTTTTCACCATAAAAATAAAAATATTTACTTTTGCAATTGCATTTTATCCCTTTATGTAATATTTAATCAACTTACATAATTATGCTGATATGCAGTTGGGAACACATACAGTGGTACAGTTGACCACCGGTCAGCATGGTGGCAACAGAAGCAGGCAGGCAAACGGGAGGGTGGTCCGCAAGCATCTGCAATGTGCCAGGCCCCAGTTACTGTGTGTTATGGAGGCAGTGGGCCTTTGGTTCTGTGAAGCAGTTAACATTGAGCCCAGGCTAGTAAGAGTCAGGACTTTGTTTTTCATGGAATGAAAACAAAAAGAAAACTCAGCTTTCCCTTTCTTTATTGCTTCTATGTCAACCTCAAGTGTCACCTAGATTTCGTTTGCTCAGTAGCCACCCTTGTAGTGTTAACTATGTACCTGAGTGGTCTAGATTAGTGTGCGTTTTTCATTATATTATTTGCAGTCATTTAAAATTTTTCGTTAAAATGCAGAGTTGTTGTTATTTAAATGCATTTGTATTTTTTAGGGCAAGTGTGGTCTTGGGGAGATGGTGACTATGGGAAATTGGGCAGAGGTGGTAGTGATGGCTGCAAAACCCCAAAGCTGATTGAAAAGCTTCAAGACTTGGATGTGGTCAAAGTCCGCTGTGGAAGTCAGTTTTCCATTGCTTTGACGAAAGATGGCCAAGTTTATTCATGGGGAAAAGGTGACAACCAGAGACTTGGACATGGAACAGAGGAACATGTTCGTTATCCAAAACTCTTAGAAGGCTTGCAAGGTGAGTGCAAATGTAAACTTTTAAAACCCTTCAGGACAGTTTCTTTAGTAATGTTTTAAAGTTAGCAGGTTTTATGTTCTTAACCTGACATTCCATGAGTTAGCAGGTTTTATGTTCTTAACCTGACATTCCATGAATGGACTGTCATTAGAAACTTTTACTGCCTGCTTGGTATAGGTATTGATACTAATTGGAAAGTGGGTGTCTATTACAAAATGACTGAAATGTAATTTAAACCTGTTGAGTTGACTTTCTGTGGCAGGCACCCATTAATCACTCAGCAGGCTGGACTCAGTAAGGGTTCCCTCTGTGTGGTGAGGTCACCTGTACTTGTACTGCAGGCACACTGAGACCATGAGTGTGCATTGTGCTGTGGAGCCACATTGGGAGGTGGGATTGGGTCCACTTGGGACACCCTCAT
Organism: Homo sapiens; assembly: GCF_000001405.40. NCBI lineage: Eukaryota > Metazoa > Chordata > Mammalia > Primates > Hominidae > Homo > Homo sapiens. The sequence continues at coordinate 509,727 of NT_187660.1, read as the reverse complement.
GTGAACTCATCCTTGGTGGGTGATTCCTGCTTGCTCAGTTGCAAAGGTGTCCAGCATGCATTGTAGTTGGAGGCAAGAGATGGAAGCCAAGGTATGTAGATAAGAGTGCCGGCGCCTTCAGTGTGGGCTGCCGGTGCAGGCAGAGAGGATGGGAGTCTCTGCAAGAAGACCCTGAGATTCTTCTGTGGTGTTCTTACTAGGGATGTTATGCTGCAGGAAGTTGGGGTGGGGGCCATCAAAACTATGATGTTGGAGGGATCTTTCTAAGGTAAAACAGGACTTTTCCGTACCACCTGGCCTAGTGGTTGGGAGATAGTCTTCATCCTAATCGAGAACTGTTGAAGGGCAGACAAATTGACAAGAAAGTAGGAAGAAGGGAAAAGGCAGTGTGAGAGGTACATCAGATGGACTCTTTAGGGTTCTCTTCTCTCAGGGGTGGGCAGCCTTTTTCTTAAAGGACCAGATTGTATTTGAAGTAGGTGGACCTGGCAGTGTTCCAACACCAGTGTCTTCACAGAAGCAGGCCTTGGGCTGCGTTGTGTGTGGGGGCTGTAGTTCGTTGGGTCCTGGTACTACATACATTCTTTGTGTGTTTGGTTCTTTACCAAGTGGGTTTGGAAGTGGGACTTTTAAGTGAGACTTGCCAGTTCCCTTCTCCATTAGTTTTATTTTAAAGCAGGTTAATATTTTGATGACTGAGAGTTTTGTGCGCCCATATGGTGTTTATTGTTTTCTAAGCTTCTGAGATAAGTTGCAGAGTAAGAAGTTTACTCTGTGTCATTGAATGGTATTTGAATTTCATTTGCCTTCTTGTTTATATTCCCCTCCATTAGTATAGGAAAGCTACGACAATCATTAGTATAGAAATCATTTACTTTGAGGGTATTTAAATTACTGTTGAGAAACACCTTTTTTGTTGCTGATGTTAACTTATGGTAAGTTCCTAGGATAGAATTTTTCCCCTTACTGCAGTGTGGTTTTTCAGCTGAATTATTTTATATACTGACATTTCTGCGAAACACCCTTTGTGTTGGCCATGTTAGATTTACCAGGAAGGAAAAATAGAATATTTTGCTAAGTGTTTAAATAGAAACAATGTTTTAAATATCAGTTATATCTAACTGAGAGAACAATAGATTTCTTCTTAGGAAACCTTCCTCACTGAAGAGTGTGCTATGCATTGTTAAATCTCGGATGGGAGAATATGATCTAATAGTTAATTAAAAGCACCTTGTTTCTTTCTGACTGAAAATCTGAATGAGGAGGAGAAAAAAAAACAGATCCTTTTTGTATCCTAGTATTATGATCTTTGTAGACTGTGGGTCCTAACGAATTGTAGCTGACAAAATACAGCAGTTTTAATAACACACCCAAAGCAAATGAATTGTGCTTAATATTAAAGCAAAGCAGATTATCCTCAAGAAGTTAATGTTAAAAGCTGTCTGACCTGAATGGCCTAGGAAATATCTTTCTTGCAGCGGAAGTCATAGGCTTGAAGCTGCATCTGCATCCCTCTTCCCTTGTAGGGAAGAAGGTGATTGATGTGGCTGCAGGCTCCACCCACTGCCTGGCTCTGACTGAGGACAGCGAGGTCCACAGCTGGGGGAGCAACGACCAGTGCCAGCACTTTGACACCTTGCGCGTGACCAAGCCAGAACCTGCAGCATTGCCAGGACTGGACACCAAACACATAGTGGGAATTGCCTGTGGGCCTGCCCAGGTACTGAATATAGAGCTTGATTTGGTATTTTGGAGGATTTTGGTTTCCAGTTGTTCATTACCAGTATGTAGAAAATACCACTGAGTTTTGTTTGTTGTTCTTGTGTCCTGCAGTTGTGCTAAACTCATTTATTATGAGCTTCACTGTAGTTTCCTTGGGTTTTCTTCATGGACAATTAAATGCTATCTGTATAGAGGGGCAGTTTCATTTCTTCCTTTCCAGTCTGCTCGCCTTTTATGTCTTTTCCCGGCCTGATTGCCCTGGCCAGGACTTGCAGTGTGAAGCTGAATAGGAGAGGTGACAGTGGGCACCCTGCCTTGATCCTGACTGTAGGGGAAGGCAGTTCAGTCTTTCACCATCAACTGTGATGTTAGCTGTGGGTATTTATGTAGATGCCTTATTATCAGATTAAGGGAGTGTCTTTAATTCCCCGTTTTAGAAGCTTCTAAAAAATCCTGACTGGATGTTAAAATTTGTTAAATGCTTTTAATCTTCTCAAATGAAATGGTCATGCAGTTTTCCTTCTTTAGTGTGTTAGTATGGTGTATTACATGATGCTTTTTACTTTTCTTTTTCTTAAACATTTTTTTTTTTTCTTTTTTGGAGATACGGTTTCACTATGTTGCCCAGGCTGGTCTCGAACTCCTGAGCTCTAGCGATCTGCCTGCCTTGGCCTCCCAAAGTGCTGGGATTACAGGTGTGAGGCACTGCACCAGCCTGATTTTTAAATACTGATCAAGCCTTGTGTTACTTGGATAGGCATCACTTGGCCACAATTTACTACTCTTTTTTTTTTTTTTTTTTTTTGCCAGATGGAGTCTCACTCTGTCACCCAGACTGGAGTGCATTGGTGCAATCTCAGCTCTCTGCAACCTGTGCCTCCTGGGTTCACGCAATTCTCCTGCGTCAGCCTCCTGAGTAGCTGGGATTATAGGTGTGCACTACCATGCCTGGCTAATTTTTGTATTTTTTTTTTTTCTTTTTAGTGGAGATGGGGTTTCACCATGTTGGCCAGCCTGGTCTCCAACTCCTGACCTCAAGTGATCCATCCTCCTTGGCATCCCAAAGTGCTGGGATTACAGGTGTGAGCCACTGTGCCTGGCCCTATTCTGTTTCTGTATTGCAAAATTTGACTTGCTAACAGGTTGTTGAGGATTTTTCTGTTGATGCTCATTAGAGATGTTGGTTTGTGGTTTTCTTTCTTTGTGTTATACTATCTTGTCTGACTTTCTATCAGGGGAAAGCTGACCTTATACAAAATATTGGCATGTGTTCCGTCCTTTTTCATTTTCTATAAGGGATTGTGTAGAATTAGTGTTATTTCTTCTTTAAATGTTTTTGAATCCCATCTGAGTCTGGAGATTGCTTTCTAAAAGATTTTACGCCAGACACAGTGGCTCACGCCTGTAATCCCAGCACGTTGGGAGGCCGAGATGGGTGGATCACCTGAGGTCAGGAGTTTGAGACCAGCCTGGCTAACATGGTGAAACCTGTTTCTACTAAAAATACAAAAATTTCGTCGAGCTTGGTGATGTGCGCCTGTAATCCCAGCTACTCAGGAGGCTAAGGCAGGAGAATCGCTTGAATCTGGGAGGCAGAAATTGCAGTGAGCCGGGATGGCGCCATTGCACTCCAGCTTGGGCAACAAGAGCGAAACTCCGTCTCAAAAAAACAAAAACAAACAAAAAAAAGATTTTGCAACTTCAATTTCTTTAACAGATATAGAAGTATTCAGGTGACCTGTTTGTTTCTAGGAGGATTTTCCTGATTTTTGGCCCTCAGATGTGCTTTACTTCATCTACGTTGTCTGATTTTTACGTGTCAAGTTTTCCTTAGTATTCTCTTGCTGTCTGAAGTCTGTGGGGCCTGCGGTGATGTCCCTTCATTCATTCTTGATTCTGATAATTTGTATCTTTTCTGTTTTTTTCTTTGTCAGTTTTCCTAGAGTTTTTCAATTTTGTTGATCTTTTCAAAGAACAATCTTTTCGTTTCATTAATTTTTCCCTTTTGTTTTGCTTTCAATCTCATTGATTTCTGCTTTTGTCTTGTCATTTGTCCCTTTGGCTTGTTTTGCGTTCACTTTGTTCTTTTTCTAGTTTCTTAAGGCGGAAACTTAGATTGCTGATTTAGACCTATCTTTTTTTTGTAATAGATAATGATTTGATGCTATAAATTTTCCTGTTTAGCAGTGCTTTAATTAAACCTACAAATTTTGGCGCATTTTCATGTATGTTCAAAATATTTTATAATTTCTCTTGAGAATTGTTTTTTTGACCCATGGATGATTATTATTATTATTATTTTGAGATGGAGTTTTGGTCTTATTGCCCAGGCCGGAGTGCAATGACATGATCTCAGCTCACGGCAACCTCTGTCTCCCGGGTTCAAGCAATTCTCCTGCCTCAGCTTCCTGATTAGCTGGGACTACCGGCATGCACCAGCATGCTTGGCTAATTTTTTTGTATTTTCAGTAGAGATGGGGTTTCTCCATGTTGGCCAGGTTGTCTTGAAATCCTGACCTCAGGTGATCCCCGCCGCCTTGGCCTCCCAAAGTGTTTGGATTACAGGCGTGAGCCACTGCGCCCGGCCTGACCCATGGATTATTAAGTATGTTGTTTAATTTTGAAGTGTTTGTAGATTGTTCTGTTCATGATTTCTAGTTTAATACCATTGTGATTGGAGAACAAACTGTATATGATTTCATTTCTTTTAAATTTGTTAAGATTTGTTTTATGTCTCAGGATATGTTCTCTCTTAGTGAACATTCTGTATGTGCTTAAAAAGTATATGTATGGCCAGGTGCGGTGGCTCACGCTTGTAATTCCAGCACTTTGGGAGGCTGAGGCGGGCAGATCATGAGGTCAGGTGATGGAGACCATCCTGACTAACACCATGAAACCCTGTCTCTACTGAAAATACAAAAAAAAAATTAGCCAGGCTTGGTGGCGGGCACCTGTAGTCCCAGCTACTTGGGAGGCTGAGGCTCCAGTCTGGGTGACAGAGTGAGACTCTGTCTCAAAAAAAAAAAAAAGTATATGTATTTTGTTGTTGTTGGGTGAAATGTTCTATAAATTAGATCCAGTTTATTCATAGTGTTCCACCGTTCTCTTAGATCCTTGCCGATTACTTGTTATTTCACTGTGAAAGGTTGTGTGTGTGTCATATGCATCTAACAATTCGTTGTCTAGTTAGAGTTGCTATTATACCACTTCAAGTGGATGGAGATCCTCACTGCCATCCATTAATGTCATTAATCGTTTTGAGAGTGAAAAGATTGTTAAAAATGCTTTTACTTTTTTAGGTATGGCCAAATGAGATGGGCTAGTGAAATGGGTGGGAAAATCGGAAGCTGATAGTGTGTGAGCTAGACATCCATGAATGCCTTTGGACTGGGCAGTTCGAGGGATGATAGGTAATAGTATAAGGCAGCTCCATCACACACGCTGGTGACTCCTGTGGAGCAGACCAGCAGCTGCATTTGGAGATTCATTTTAGATTGTTGCGTTTCCTCTTAGAGCTTTGCTTGGTCATCATGTTCTGAGTGGTCCATTGGCCTCCGTGTCCCTTTTGTGGTGGACATCTGCTCAATGACTTTTGAGCAGCTGGATCTCCTGCTTCGGCAGGTGAGTGAGGGGATGGATGGCTCCGCGGACTGGCCCCCGCCCCAGGAGAAAGAGTGTGTGGCCGTGGCAACGCTGAATCTTCTACGACTTCAGGTATTCATGATTTCCCTTCTTCTTCCTCCTTTTGTAAGTGTCTTAGGGATTTGTAAGAAGGTTTATGTATTTTGAAGGGCATGGGTTTTAGCCTGTTCGGTGAAATATTTTAAAGTAAGATTGTAATGCACTAATAATGGACGCGAGTCTTAAAAAACATGATCTGGGCTGGGCGCGGTGGCTCACGCCTGTAATCCCAGCACTTTTGGGAGGCCTGGGCGGGTGGATCACGAGGTCAGGAGATCGAGACCATCCCGGCTAACATGGTGAAACCCCGTCTCTACTAAAAATACAAAAAATTAGCCAGTTGTGGTGGCGGGCGCCTGTAGTTCCAGCTACTCGGGAGGCTGAGTCAGGAAAATGGCATGAACTGGGGAGGCAGAGCTTGCAGTGAGCCGAGATTGCACCTGTGGCAGCTTTTTTGGTTGAGTTGTAGCTGTTATTTCTGTGTTTGGTGCAGATTGTTGGCGCGGGGTGGAGGTTGCTGTTGCTAGTTGTTTAGCTCTTCTGCTGATCTTGAGCTTTCCATAAACATGTTCATAGTGGGGTTAAAAAGATTCCTCTAGCAAATACCTCAACTATTGTGGGTAAGAGTTTTTTTAGTCCAGTTTTTAAAAATACATAAACTGAGAAATTGTCTATTTAAATAATACTTGAAATTGACTTTTATTCAGTGTTTAATAAGACTTTGAAATTCACTCATTTTTAGGGGTTCTAAGTGAAAATTGTTTTTCTCCTTTCAGTTGCATGCTGCCATTAGTCACCAGGTTGACCCGGAATTCCTTGGTTTAGGTCTGGGCAGCATCCTCCTGAACAGCCTGAAGCAGACGGTGGTGACCCTGGCCAGCAGTGCGGGCGTGCTGAGCACCGTGCAGTCGGCCGCCCAGGCCGTGCTGCAGAGTGGCTGGTCCGTGCTGCTGCCCACCGCGGAGGAGCGGGCCCGGGCACTCTCTGCTCTCCTGCCCTGCGCAGGTGGGCCTGGGGAAGGAACAGGAGAGGGCATGGGTCAGGGTGTTGGGAGGGAATGGCGTTTCACTCAAATTGGCACACACTTTCTATTTCAGTTTCAGGCAATGAAGTGAACATAAGTCCAGGTCGTCGATTCATGATTGATCTTCTGGTGGGCAGCTTGATGGCTGATGGAGGGTTGGAGTCAGCCTTACACGCAGCCATTACTGCAGAGATCCAGGTATGGCTTTGGAGGCACACGTGACCTGGTGGTGCACTGAGATCAGAAATACCACACTCACACACGTGAAGAATAACTGAAAACAGTAAAACTCTAAACTTTTATCATATCCAAGTATTTTTTAAATTAAAATTCTTTTATGTGCCAATTTACAAAATTATTGAGATATGATTTAATTGTGATAAAATACTGCATGTTGTCTGTTTCAGTGAAGTTAACAGGTAACCTGTTCCTCATGTAGACCATTCCCGTTACCCGGAAAGATCCCTGTGCCCTTGGCACTTGCAGCCAGGATACTCCCCTGCCCTGAGATTAGATTCATTTTTCCTGCTCTGAGTGTCGCAGCAATATAACTATATAGTATGCACTCTTTCTTGCTTTGCCTTGGAGAATGATTTTCAGATTCACTCACTGTTGTGTGTATTGTGACTTCTTTTTTATTATTGGGAAGTATTCCATTTTATAGGTGTAGTACTGTTTGTTCATTCTCCTATTGAAGGACGTTTAATTGCTTTTGGTTTTTGTTTTCTTTTTTTTTGAGACAGCGTCTTGCTCTGTCACCGAGGCTGGATGCAGTGACCTGATGTTGGCTCACTGCAGCCTTGTCCTCCTAGGCTCAAATGATCCTGCCACCTCAGCCTCCTGTTTTGCAGGGACCACAGACATGTCACCATGCCCGGCTAGTTTTGTGATTTTTTTGTAGAGACAAGGTGTTACTATGTTGCACAGGCTGGTCTCGAACTCCTGGGCTCCAGTGATCCCCCCACCTTGTCCTCCCAAAGTGTTGGGATTACAAGCATGAGCGACCACGCCCAGGCTTTCTGGTTTTTGGCCATGTAGAGCTGCCACGGTTGTGCTGTGTACAAGTACTTTAGTGAACATATGTTCTCCTTTTGGGTAAACACTTGGAGTGGAATTTGTTAGGTCCTGGGGCAGGTGCGTGTTCATAGTTTCCCCAAGTGGCTTTGCCATTTACATTTGAACAAGTATGTGAGAATTCCAGCTTCTTCTTGTCCTTACAAAGCAGCTGGATGTTGCATGTGTGGGGCACATCACATTGGGTTTTGTGAGAGCCAGTAGCAGGGTTAAGGATTTTAGGGACTTCACAGAAGGATGCTGGAGAGCATCAGCAGAGGCAGCCTGGACCTTGATTCTGTAAAAAGAAGACACTGTTTGAAACTGCACAACTGAGTTAGGGTTTCCAACAAGGCAGATGGGGGCCTGTGGGTAGGTGTGTGCATTAGCCACAGAGGCTGGGATAGCTTGGCACTGGGGTTAGGGCTCAGCCAGCCTGTGTGTCTTCACACCTGGTAATGAGATCACTTGTAAACAATTTCTTTTTATGAATTACAGGATATTGAAGCCAAAAAAGAAGCACAGAAGGAAAAAGAAATTGATGAACAGGAAGCGAATGCCTCAACATTTCATAGAAGCAGGACTCCACTGGATAAAGACCTTATTAATACGGGGATCTGTGAGTCTTCTGGCAAACAGTGTTTGCCTCTGGTTCAGCTCATACAACAGCTTCTTAGGTAAATCGTAGTAGCTGTATTGTATTATATGTTATTTATTTACTTTTTTTTGTGTGTGTGACAGAGTTCGCTCTTGTTGCCCAGGCCGGAGTGCTATGGCGCCATCTTGGCTCACTGCAAGCTCCGCCTCCCAGGTTCAAGTGATTCTCTTGCCTCAGCCTCTCACACAGCTGGGATTACAGGTGTGTGCCACCACACCCGACTAATCTTGTAGTTTTAGTAGAGACGGGGTTTCTTCATGGTGGTCAGGCTTGTCTTGAACTCCTGACCTCAGGTGATCCGCCCGCCTTGGCCTCCCAAAGTGTTGGGATTACAGGCATCACCCACCACTCCCGGTCTATTTATGTACTTATTATTTTTTTTTAATATTTATTTTTTAAGACGGAATCTCGCTCTATTGCCCAGGCTGGAGTGCAGTGTCATGATCTTGGCTCACTGCAACCTCTGCCTCCTGGGTTCTAGCAATTCTCCTGCCTCAGCCTCCCAAGTAGCTGGGACTACAGGCGTCCGCAACCACACCTGGCTGATTTTTGTATTTTTAGTAGAGACGGGGTTTCAAAATATTGGTCAGGCTGGTCTCAAACTCCTGACCTCAGGTGATCTACCCGCCTTGGCCTCTGAAAGTGTTGGGATTTCAGGCGTAAGCCACTGTTCCCGGCCTGTATTGTATTTTAGTAGGTGATTATTGGTTTTCATATTAAGATAGTGAAATCTAGCACAAGGATCTCAAAAATTTGTTTGGTGGTTGAAGGAATATTCTGAAAATTACCTAGTATAGATGTTAGAATAAAGAGCAGACCCTTTTCAATATAGGTGAGAGGAGAAGTTGGAGGGTGTGATGATACTCAGAAGTTTTTCACTGAAGAGAAATTGCGGTGTGCAGTAAACATGTAAAAAGATTCTTACTAATAAGCAGGTGGATGCAAATGAAAATCATCATGGAAAGGTTATTTTTAAAACTGGTTCTATCATTGCCTCACTTTACATATTACAGAGTTGTACATACTACTTTGTAAGGTAACTTTTCTTTTCAAAACTAAAGTCAATGTGAAAGAATGGTGAGCATTATTTTGGAAGGCCAGACTAGGAGGAGGTGGGAAGAAGAAGTCAGAGTCAGCCTGTGAACAGAGGCTAACCTTGGCAGAAGCCAAAACGGTCAGTGTTGTGTAAAAATGATCACCCAAGAAGAGCGAAAAAGCAAGGTGATTTGTGAAAGAGATTAGAAAGTGAAACACATTTGTACCTCTATGTAATAAAAATCTGCTTTTTGTAAACTTGGGCTCCTGGTTTTAGTTTCTACACATAGAGAAAGCAAAGCACTGGCAGGTTGGGTCAGGCAGCCGAGCACAGAGCAGGGAGCCCTGGGCAGTGGCCACAGCTCTCAGCTGGCCTATTCATGGGACCATGGTGGGTCTGTGGTGTGGGTTGGGCCTGTGGCGTGGGGTGGGCCTGCTGTCCACAACCAGAAAAACGAACTTAGTAGACGCACAGTGAAATTTTGAAACAGGAAGTTTTAGAGCTAGTTTCTATCATAGATTTTAGTAAATTCTATTTTGCAAAACCTTTTTCTGATGTTTGTTTTGTTTTTCTAATCTGATAATGCATATTTCATACATTCTGGTCTTTAACCAATGGAAATAAAGAGAACTAAACTTCATATAGTTTGTGTTAATGGAAAGAGCTTGGAATTTGTTCTCATAAAATTTCAGTTGCAACAGCTTGTTCACATAGATGAACTTCCAACACAGTAACTATAGGAATAAGAATAAAAGCCGTGTTTACTTTCATGGAGTTAATTAAGAATCAATGAGAACATGGAAGTTAAAACCTTTGTAATTAAAATGTAAAGTTCCACGCAAAGTTTTAAAGTGAGCATTTTCCAGAGGTGCTTTTCTAAGTTCTTGAATGCCCCTCCCTTTTCTGAGGAGGCTGCTTCATGGGCTATTGGTGTCTTTGGCAGGGGGTGAGTCTAGGGTTCCTGTTGTGGGTCCTTTGTTCTCACGAGGGCAGTGCCCGTTTTCCCCGTCTCCTGCTTGCCCAGAATGTTCCCGTGCACCGAGACTGGCCTGTTTGACCTGCAACTATGCTGTTTGAGCTGCAGCTGTGTAGCCTGCGCTGGCCCGTCTGGCTACACTCAACACCGTTTGCTGATCAGCACTTGAAGTGTATCCATCATAGCTGAGACACTGAATATTTTATCTGTTTAATTTTTATTAATTAAAATGCAGGTTTAAAAACTTGATTCCGTTATTAGGAAGCACTTAAGTATGTTTAGAATCACTTGGCCATGTGAGTCTACTTCGTCAACTGTGTATTTTATGAGTCTAGGGCAGATCAGATATTTTCAATGCAAATATCACTGTCCAAATTGAAATGTGCTACATATGTAAGCTACCCTGATGGTTTTTGAGGATTTAATATGAAATAACCTATGTAAAATATCTCAATAATTTTTCTTATAGTGATATCATGTTGAAATGGTAATATTTTCAATCTGTTGGGATAAGTATGACACATTATTAAAATTATTTTTATTTTTTGAGATGGAGTCTTGCTCTGTTGCCCAGGCTGGAGTGCGGTTGCATAATCTTGGCTCACTGTAACCTCTGCCTCTTGGGTTCAAGTGATTCTCCTGCCTCAGCCTCCCGAGCAGCTGGGACCACAGGCGTACACCACCACGCCTTGCTGATTTTTGTATTTTTGTAGAGACAGGGTTTCACCATGTTGGCCAGGCTGGTCTCGAACTCCTGACCTCAAGTAATCTGCCCGCCTTGGCCTCCCAAAGTGCTGGGATTGCAGGCGTGAGCCACCGCGCCTGGCCATTATTAAAATTAGTTTTATGTGTTTTTTTGTTTTTTTTTTTTACTTAATGTGACTAAGGACAATTTTTTTCCCCCGAGATGGAGCCTCACTCTGTTGCCCAGACTGGAGTGCAGTGGCACGATCTCAGCTCACTGCAGCCTCTGCCTCCTGGGTTCAAATGATTCTCCTGCCTCAGCCTCCTGAGTGGCTGGGACTACAGGTGCATGCCACCATACCTGACTAATTTTTGTATTTTTAGTAGAGATGGGGTTTCCCCATGTTGGCTGGGGTGGTCTTGAACTCCCAACCTGAGGTAATCTGCCCGCCTTGGCCTCCAAAAGTGTTGGGATTACAGGTGTGAGCCACTGCACCTGGCCACATTTATTAATACAACCAAGAACATTTTGAATTGCACCTGTAGCTCCATTGGTGTCCTCGGCAGGTGGCTCTGTGCTGTCCACACAGGTTGTCTCCTGTGTCTTCATCCTTGCTGCATGTGACTTTTTGGTTCCTGTGGCACGTGGGGTCCTGTATGGGACATTGGTTCTACAGCAGATTTGTAATAAGGATGTACGTACTTAAAAAATACAAAATAAAAAGAATAGACACAAACATAGTTATCACCTCACAAAAATTTTGGAAAGTAGAAAAAGAAAAATGCATTCGCAGCTTTCCAGTAGCCGATATCCAGGCTGTCTTCATAAGCATGGATCATGTGTCCCTCTCCCGCATGGGTAGACACTGTTTTCTCACCTTAAGTGTTTGTGAGTGAAGGATTCTTGATGTGTTGACTTGGCAGATGCAGTTGTTGAACAGTAGTTTATCTAAAGATCGTAAGAGACTTTTGGAGACATTTCATGTCCTTTTTTCCCTTGGAAAACGTGAGTTGGAGAAATCGCTGCTTGCCAAAAATAAGCCGTGAAACGTATTTCAGAGTAGATCGTTATTTACATGCTGGCGAGGAGCCACAGAATACCATTTACATTTGAAAATAGAGCGCTGTGAAGTTTTTATAAGTAGTGAACCCCATCAGAATTACACGTTTTGATTATGGCTCTAAATTTTATATTAAATAAACTAAAAATTTCATTGTATTGTATTACCGTCTCTTGCTCCTTCAGGTGTAGCATACATGTTAGATTCTAGACCTGTTTCTTGTGTTACAGTGGTGTTATCCAGGCAGGGTATCAGGTAGTGAAGGTGATGTCTGGTGGTGGTGAGCCCAGTGAGGGCGCATCCTTGCCGTGTGTGATGAGGGCCTGTGGGTTGCTATGGGATTCCCCAACCCTGGCTCCTCTGTCTCCTGCTTCTGTCCTTACTCATGCTGCTGGTAGTTTTTTCTGGTGTGAGCCACGGGGGCAAGTGGGATTGACAAGCCTGCTGTCACATTAGGAACCTGAGTTAAAGTGGAGCTGAAAGCATGTCCTCACTCTTGGTGTTGTGCAGAGAGCCACCTGTGCTCCTGGCTCAACGGGGCGGGTGGGGTGGGTCTGGAACCAGGCTCTGGTTGGGCTCTCCTCCCCTCCGTGTTCCCATGTCCTGTCTGATTTGCTTTCACATTGACATAAGAGTTAGTTTCCTTAGGCCGGGCGTGGTGGCTCACGCCTGTAATCCCAGCACTTTGGGAGGCTGAGGCGGGTGAATCACGAGGTCGGGAAATCGAGACCATCCTGGGTTTACATAGTGAAAGCCCGTCTCCACTTAAAAAAAAAAAAAAAAAAAGTTAGCTTGGCGTGGTGGCGTGTGCCTGTAATTCCCAGCTACTCGGGAGGCTGAGGCAGGAGAATCGCTTTAACCCGGGAGGCGGAGGTTGCAGTGAGCTGAGATCATGTCACTGCACTCCAGCCTGGCAACAAAGCTAGACTCTGTCTCAAAAAAAAGAGTTACTTTCCTTAAACACACAGAAGGTGTTATTTTCCTATCATAACCTTGGTGGGTTGGCATTGCAGACTCTGGTCCCACAGCCTGACATTCCATTACCTGCACTGTCTCTCCCTTGCTTCCTTGTGTTGTTCTCCTGCCCTTGTTTCTTGGTGTTCTGCTGAGGAACCAGAAACATTCACTGCTCTCCTAACTTTACCTTCTGGGAACATATGTTTCTTCTCTTTTCTTGTCATCTTCCAATGGCTCATGGCTCAAGTCACATCACAGTGTTGGAACTGGAGCCTCTTCTACTTTCTTCGCTGCCGTGCTCTTTGGGCACCTGCTTTGGTCTTCCTTCCTGGACTCCCTGAGCCCTCGGCACCTGCTGCATGGCCCACCCCAGTGCTGCTTGCGAGTAAGGGCTCAAGGTGGACTTGCAAGGCAGATGTGGCAATGCAGGCGAGTCTTGTCTTGAAGAGTAGTATCACATTGCTGTTTGAAATGCAGCTTTGGACAAAAAATAATGACACTGTGTTTGTTCTTTCTAGAGGGTCAGATATTTCTATATTAGCCTCATCAGTATTTTAAATTTCGTTGTCTTAATGTTTACATTCCTTAAACATTGGGAATGTGGAAGTATTCCTTTGGAAGCAAGATCTTCTGCAGTTTGGACCACTGCGCGCAGCTCCATAGGCGCACATTAGTGAAGCACGAGGGCATCATTATCTCTTTTGAGCCTTCCGTGCCCTTCTGCTCCGTTTTGGCTGAGGTTGCGCTTGTTGCAGATACATTGGACACACTTGGGGAGGGAAGCCAGCTGCAGGTCATCATGTATGATCTGTGTTTGTGATATTAATTTGTCATGATTTACCCCATCCCATTTTCTTTTTAGTAGAAATATCTTGTTTAATTTTGTAATCCTCTTCTTTCCTGTATAGAAACATTGCTTCTCAGACTGTAGCCAGATTGAAAGATGTTGCCCGTCGGATTTCATCATGTCTGGACTTTGAGCAACACAGTCGTGAAAGATCTGCTTCATTGGATTTGTTACTGCGTTTTCAACGTTTGCTTATTAGTAAACTTTATCCAGGAGAAAGTATTGGTCAGACCTCAGATATTTCTAGTAAGTTGCTTAAAATGTGAAAGTGTCTTGTATGTGATCGGGGCTCGTTACTTTAGGCTTTTCGACGTGTCCATCCTATATGCCCAGATGTGTAGTTGTTATACTACTAAATGCACCAATTTTGGGGCTTCATTTTGCATCCACTTTTTTGAGTTGGACCTTTCTATAATAGCCTCGTTAATATTTTTAATTTTGTTGCCTTAATATTTAAATTCTTTAGACATCAGTAATAGCATCCTGTATGTTCAGTTTAGTCTTACAGAAGATTTATCAGATTTGTTCCATGTGCTATGGAATGCTGGAGACTGGCATGATGTAGGAAGTAAACAGTGACAGCCTATTCATATGTCACATGGGGGAGCCAGCTGGGTGGAATGGGAAGAACTGTTGGAGAAAGCCTGGGTTTCAGTTACAGCTCGGCTTAATAGTTTAGACATTAGACCAAGTCTAATGGGGCCAAAGACTTCTCACCTGCAGACTTGGGATAATCCCTGAGGCAGCCTGTGAGAATCAGAACAGAATGGTGTGTAAGTGCTCAGTGCTGTGCACTGTTGAGGGAATGGTTCCCCTTCTTCAGCATCCAGGGCAGCGGCTGGCCCTCCATCATGAGGCTTTCTCTGTCAAGGATGGAAAGCTCTGCTGCTTCCATTAGTAATTTTGTAGCTGTTTTTTTCCCAAAGTAACTTAATTACTTTCTGAAGAGTTAGGCTCTTGTCAGTAATGGAAACTTTCAGGTTTCAGTAGGTGAGCTGATAGTTTGAAAGAGGTGACCATCTTAAAGACAAAGTCACAAGGACTGAAAAGCTATTAAGAACCATGTAGGAGGCTGGGTGTGGTGGCTCACGCCTGTAATCCCAGCACTTTGGGAGGCCAAGGTGGGCGGATCACAAGGTCAGGAGTTCAAGACCAGCCTGACCAACATAGTGAAACCCCGTCTCTACTAAAAATACAAAAAATTAGCTGGGCATAGTGGCAGGTGCCTGTAATCCCAGCTACTCCGGAGGCTGAGGCAGGAGAATCGCTTGAACCCAGGAGGCGGAGGTTGCAGTGAGCCGAGATCAGACCATTGCATTCCAGCCTGGGCGACAAGAGTGAAACTCGGTCTCAAAAAAAAAAAAAAAAAAAAAAAGAACCATGTAGACAGAAAAACTGAAGATTTTATGGAGCAGAAAAGTGCCTAACTTTGTTTTTTGGGAATAATTTACAAGCTTTTAGGAAACATTTGTGTACTAGATATAAAATTTTAAAAATTTAGAGCTGGGTGTGGTAGTGCATGCCTGTAGATCTAACTACTCAGGAGGCTGAGGCAGGAGGATCACTTGAGCCCAGGGGTTCGAGTCCAATCTGGGCAACATGGTGAGACCCCCGTCTGTTAAAAAAAAAAATCTTTAAATTAAATTATGACTTTAGTGTTCATACACCCAAAATTTCTAGGTACTCTGTAGTGCAGGGTATAAAACTTGACATAAAAACCCTGTCCCTCCAGTCACATGATACAGAAAGAGCGCAAGGACAAGGGTTAACAGGCTTCTGTTTGAGAAAATTATTATGGGTAAAAGATGTGTAGATGAGAATAGCATCATGGAGCAGTTAGTTTGTTTACAAAGAAAAATTTTAGTAGTGAAAATGAAAATTTCTCAATCCTTCTTCAAGGTCCAGAGCTAATGGGTGTTGGTTCCTTGCTGAAGAAGTACACAGCCCTCCTGTGCACGCACATTGGAGATATACTGCCTGTGGCCGCCAGCATTGCTTCTACCAGCTGGCGGCACTTCGCGGAGGTGGCTTACATTGTGGAAGGGGACTTTACTGGTACCTTTTGTTTCCTGCTTGTGTACATGTTTATTTTAGGAGATAGATGAAAGCTAAAGTGTCTTCTTTGCTGATCAGCATGCCTGCATTTACTCTCTAAATTTTCTGGGCCTCCTGCCCTTTCACCTTTGTTTTTTTTTTTTAGTTACTGACAGTTCTGTTGTTAAGCCAGCTGGTATGGGACTCATATCACTTTAAATGTAATTGGTAATTTAGATTTATACTTCCATTATTGACATTTCAATAATGAGGTCAAAGGTAATTGTCTAATTTTATTTTGACAGCATAATAAAAATTAGGTACCTATTTAAGGATCTTAAAAATTCTGATATTACCTGGTATGTTTTAACTTTTTGAGGTTAGAGCATTATTTTTTAGTGTTTTTTCCCTGATGATAAACATATCAATAAACATTTAATTTTCTGAATAGAAGACTCTTAGTTCATAGTTCTGTGATTGAAATACAGTGTTTTGGAAAATATTTTTGTAATTTAAAGGGTTCTGTTTAATAGCTATGCCTGTCTCAATATAAAATATAAGATAATTCTTTAGAAATATGCTAAAGGACAAACATTTCTTATTTTGTGACTTAGCAGAATTTAAACACAGAACAAGTTTACAAATAGCTTTTATAGGATAAATACTTATTTAAATCTTATTATTTCTTAAATGTAGGTGTTCTCCTTCCAGAACTAGTAGTTTCTATAGTGCTTCTGCTCAGTAAAAATGCTGGTCTCATGCAAGAGGCTGGAGCTGTACCTCTGCTGGGTGGCCTGTTGGAACATCTGGATCGGTTCAACCATCTGGCACCAGGAAAGGAACGGGATGATCATGAAGAGTTAGCCTGGCCTGGCATAATGGGTACGGCGTCTTAAAGGAGTTTTACTGAGGAAAGTTTTATTGTCCTTGTCTAACCTATTCTTGCCTTTCAATTTGAAAGAATACTTTACAAAGGAAGATTTGCCATTTCTACTGATGGTAGTATAAGTAAAAAATGGAGATAATCCAAATCAGAAGAAATTTGGGTCATATATGTATATATTAACCAAATATATGTGTGTTTATGTATGTGTGTGTGTGTATATATGAGTGTGTATATATATGTGTGTACATATATGTGTGTGTATATATATATCTGTGTGTGTGTGTGTGTGTGTGTGTATATTTTTTTTTTTTTTTGACACTACATCTTGCTCTGTTGCCCAGGCTGGAGTGCGGTGTCATGATCTCAGCTCACTGCAACCTCTGCCTCCTGGGCTCAAGTGATTCTCTTGCCTCAGCCTCCTGAGTAGCTGGCACCACAGGTGCACACCACCATGCCCAGCTTACTTTTGTATTTTTAGTAGAGATGGGGTTTCACCATGTTGTCCAGGATGGTCTCGAACTCCTGACCTCAAGTGATCCACCCGCCTCTGCCTCCCAAAGCGCTGGGATTACAGGAATGAGCCACTGCGCCCGGCTATATTTCGGTTATATTTAAGGAAGATTTTTCCATTAGTAATCCTTGTTAAGTACTGAAATGAAATTTTACAAAGTCCTGGTGCCTCCAGAAGGTGCAGTTGGGGTGGTTATCTGTGGTCCAGCTCAGGAGGCAGAGATTGATAATGGGAAGACTCTCCAGAGTCCTCTGGTTGTTTGATGTTAGTGAGATGCAGAATTCCTGGAGTCACCTGAGCACTTCTTACAGGCATTGCCTTGTAGTGCATCCCAAATTGGAATGAGACTTATCTTCTCAATGTTTTGAGTTTTGGGTTTTTGAATCTAAGTCACCATGCTTTCTATGGTTCTAGCTTCCTGGACTCAGAATCAATCAAAATCAGGGTTAAACTTTGATTTATATGAAATCTCAAGCTGGATGGGCTTTTTTTCTTCTCGTGTTTTAGACCATCATCCCCCTAACATGGGAGCTTAAAACAAGAGGTAGCAGTTGTCCTGAGGAAAACAGCCCCAGGACATTGAACATGGTTTTTTATTTTTAAAACAGTCAATACTTTGAGCACCATTCTTCCCCTTTTGTTAAGGAGTGAGCTTAGTCCTGTGTTATTTTGTCTCTCTACTATCATACTGTTGAGGGGCATTCATTTGATCAGATCAGCAGCTTACTCACTGTAAAGCCTCTTGAAATTGTGATAAGTAACACATACACAAAAGTACCTAGTAGATACCTGTAATTGATCATAGAGAGAACTGTGTCACAGCCATTCAAACCTTAGCCTGGATGGTGGCAGGACCCTCCCAAACTCGGACTCATTTCTCTGAAAAGTGCCCTTCCCCAGGCTGTGTGGTCATCGCCACCTTACTTCTGATCATCTTATACTAAGTTCTTGTCCCTACCCAACATCATTTTAATTCTGTCTGTTCTCGGACTTCATATAAGTGGAACTAGACGGTACGTACCTTTTGGTTTCTGAGCTTCACCCCGTTATTGAGTTCTTTCATTTTTATTGCCATATGTAGTATACTTTTGTTTGAATATACAACAACCTATTCATTCTACTTGTTGATGGAAATGTAAGTTGTTTCCAGGTTTAGGTTAAAGTAAATATGTTACCTTTTTTTTTGAGGCAAGGGTCTTGCTGTGTCATCCAGGCTGGAATGCAATGGTGCAATCATGGCTCACTGTAGCCTTGACCTCCCCGGCTCAAGCAGATCCTTCCACCTGCGTGGGACTGCAAGCATGCGCCACCATGCCTGGCTAATTTTTAAATTTTTTGTAGAGACACGGTCTCCCTCTGTTGCCCAGGCTGGTCTCAAACTCCTAGGCTCAAGTGATCCTCCCACAGTGCTGACATAAGAGGCATGAGCCAGCGCTCCTGCCAATACGTTAACATTCTTACATCTGTTTCTTTAATCATTCTTTCTGTTTCTTGGTGGGACTCTTGGTTTGTAGAGGATGCCTTTAATACAGAATGCCAGTTTTCCACGGTGATTGTGCTGCTACTCATCTCCACTGCAAAGTGAGAATTCTCAGTGTTCCACTTCCATGCCAAGACCTAGCATTGCTAGCACTCCCTGTTTGACCCATTCTGGTGGGTGTACACTGGTATCTCATTGTGGTTTCAATTAGCATTTTCTAGATTATTAGTGAGGTTTGATACCTTTTCCTGTGTGCATTAATCAGTTGGAAATTCTCTTTTGTGAAGTGCCAATTCAAGTTTTGTGCGCATTTTTCTATCTGGTTGTCTTTTTTTCTTTTTAGTCATTCATGTGAGTGTTACTGTGTATTTGGGATATGAACTTTTGGCTCTATTTCTGATGGAGCTTTTTCTCTCACTCAGGCCTGTGTAGTCACTTAAAAGTGTTTTCTGATGAACAGAAGTAATATTCGTGAAATCCAGTTTGTTTCTGTTTTAATGGTTGTTCATTTTGGGCCTTAAGAAATCTTTTTCTTACCCAGATTTTCTTTTACACCTTAAAAGTTTTATTGCCTTAACTTTCATGTTTAGAGCTATAGTGCACTTGGACTTGATTTTCATGCATGTTATGAGAAAGGGGTCACATGTCACTTTTTTTCCATGGGCATTTTGTCCATAGTGTCTTTGTGCCAGCACCTTTGGGTGAAAAGACTGTCCTTGGTCACTCTTCTGGGATGTCACCTTTGTCTGAACCAAGTGATTGTCTATGCTTGTGTCTGGTCTGATCTTGCAGCTTTTCCCCTAGTGACTTATTGCACTTGCTAGGACCTGTAGTGCATTGTGGAGTAGAAATGGTGACAGTGTACCTCCTTGCCTTTTTCTTAGTAGCAGAGAAAAAGCTTTCCAGATTTCACACACAAAGTATGATGTTTGTTTTAGGAGTCTCTTTGTAAGTACTTTTGAATCTTAAGGATGTTTTCTTCTGTTGCTGCTTTGTGATGCAGTTTTAACTATGATTGGGTGTTAAGTTTCATCACATGCTTTTCCTGCATTACTTGATCATATAATTTTTATTTTTTTTATTAATGTGTGAATTACTGACTTTTCAAATGTTGACTCAACCTTCCGTTTCTGGAATAAAACTACTTTGCTCATGATATTGGTCATATGGATAGATATTTCTGGTCTTGGTTTGCTATTTTTTAAAGACAATTTTGCATCTGTAGTTGTAATTTTTCTAGATTTTGCATCTCATTTTCCTTGTAATTTTTTCAGTGACCTGTAATTTTATTTTCTTGTAATGCCCTGCAACTTATTGTTATTGATAACCACCACCCCTTTACTAATAAAGAAGCTATAATTCAGGAAGAAGATAGGTCCCATGCAACCCGTTAGTTTCCATCTATCCACCAGAGAACGTTAGTTTGTCGAGGGAAACACTGGCTGATGGATCCAGTAGTAGGAAAACATAATAGACATTCAGGTTTTGGTAACCAAAGTTGTGCTAATCTTGTAGAGTGAGTAGGAGAATGTTCCTGCCTATTCTTTTCTTGGAAGGGTGTGTATAAGATTGGTAAAATTTGCCATTTAAGTGTACCATTTAGTGGCATTAATACATTCACATTGTTTAATAGCCATCACCGCCACTCATCTCTAGAGCTTTTCATTTTTCTCAACTGAAACTATGCATCTATTAAACACCAATTTTCCCTAGCACCTGGCAACTACCATTCTACTTTCTGTGTCTGAATTTGACTACTCCAGGTACTTCATATACATGGAACCATACAGTATTTATCCTTTTGGGATTGGCTTATTTCACTTAGCATGTCTTCAAGGTTCATCCATGTTGTGCAAAGTGTCTGAATGTCCTTACATTTTAAGGTGAAATCATATTCTGTTATATGAGTATATCACATTTTGCTGTCCATCCATCAGTTGATGACACTTGGGTTGTTTCCATCTTTTGGCTATTGTGAATAATGCTGCTATGAATGTGGGTGTGTATATCCATTTGCGTCCCTTCTTTTTTTTATTTGTTTATTTTTTTTGAGACAGAGTCTTGCTCTGTCGCCCAGGTTGGAGTGCAGTGGTGTGATCTCGGCTCACTGCAACCTCTGTCTCCCAGGTTCAAGCAATTCCCCTGCCTCAGCCCCCTGAGTAGCTGGGACTACAGGCGTGCGCCACCATGCCCAGCTAATTTTTTGTATTTTAGTAGAGATGGGGTTTCACCATGTTGGCCAGGATGGTCTTGATCTCCTTACCTTGTGATCTGCCCACCTCGGCCTCCCAAAGTGATGGGATTACGGGAGGGAGCCACTGCGCCCGGCCTGCTTTTACTTCTTTTGGGTATATAGCCAGAGGTAGAATTGGTAGATTATATGGTAATTTTATATTTAATTTTTTTGAGGGGTTGCCATAGTGTTTTTCGGAGTGGCTGCACCATTTTATGTTCCTGTCAGTAGTGTGCAGGAGTTCCAGTTTCTCCACATCCTCACCAACACTTTTTTTTTTTGATAGTAGCCATCAATGGGTGTGAAGTGGTATCTCATTGTGGTTTTGATTTGTGTGTCCCTAATGATTAGTGATGTCAAGCATCTTTTCATGTGCTTATTGACCATTTGCATACCTTTTTTGGAGAAATGCATATTCAAGTCTTTTGCCCGTGTTTTAATTGGGTTTTTTGTCTTGTTGGGTTTTAGGAGTTAATTATATATTCTGCATAGATATTATTTGCAATCTGTTTTGCATTCTTTCGGTTGCTGTTTCACTCTTGATAGCCTCCTTTGATGCACAGAAGTATTCGATTTTGATCAAGTCCAACTTACCTATTTTTTTCCTTTTGTTGCCTGCACTGCTTTTGGTGTCCTATTCAAGACACGTCACCAAATTCAGTGTCATGAAGATTTTCCACAGTGTTTTCTTCTAAGAATTTTATAGTTTTAGCACTTATTTTTAGGTCTTTTATCCATTTTGAGTTAGTTTTTGTGTGTGGCGTAAGGTAAGGGTCTACCTCCGTTCTTTACATGTGCATGTCTGGATTTCCCAGTACCATGCATTGAAAAGGCTCTTCTTTCCCCATTGAGTGGTCTTGGCTCCCATGTCAAAAATCGTATGACCAAATACGTGATGGATTGTTTTTGGGGTCTCCATTCTATTCCATTTTTCTGTATGTTTGTCTGTCCAGTGCCATACTCTTTATTATTGCCTTCTTCTTTCTTAGGGTTTAATCTGCTATTTTTCTTGCTTTTTGAGAAATGAATACTTATTAGCACTGTGATGTTTTTGTAATCTGTTTATTATGAAAATTTTCTAACATAGATAAAAGTAGAAAAATAGTAAAATGAATCTAGTTTTAACAGGTGAGTATGTTCCCCTCTCATACTTCTCTGTATTTTTGATTGATTGGATTATTTTTATTTTATTTTATTTTATTTTTTTAATTTTTGTTTTTAGACGGAGTCTCGCTCTTTCGCCCAGGCGGGAGTGTAGTGACGTGATCTCAGCTCACTGCAAGCTCTGTCTCCCAGGTTCATGCCATTCTCCTGCCTCAGCCTCCCGAGTAGCTGGGACTACAGGCGCCTGCCACCACGCCCGGCTAATTTTTTGTATTTTTAGTAGAGATGGGGTTTCACCGTGTTAGCCAGGATGGTCTCCATCTCCTGACCTTGTGATCTGCCCACCTTGGCCTCCCAAAGTGCTGGGATTACAGGCGTGAGCCACTGCGCCCTCTGATTGGATTATTTTAAAGCATAATTCTGTCTTTAAAACATTTTAAGGCATTTTACCTCTTAATGATAAGGATTTAAAAAAAAACCCTACAATATCATTATCTTGTCTATAAGATTAACAGTGATTCCTTAATCTAACATGCAATCCATGTTACATTTTCCTGGACTATCTCAAAAATGCCTTTTTTAGGTGGTAATTTTGAATTAGGACCTGAGCATGTTCTCTGTGTTGACATTGCTTGACATGTGCTTTCAGTCTTTCTCCCAACAACATGGCTCCAGGCCCTCCTCTCCCTGTGATCATACCGTTTTCTTTTTCAAAGAAGCAGGTTGGTTATTTTGGAGAACTTCACATTTTCTGAACTTGGTTGATTGCATTCTCTTATTCTAGACCAACATGTTCTTCTGTTAGTTACATTAATCTGCTGGTTAGATCTAGAGGTTTGGTTGGATTTGAATTCAGTCTCGTTGGGGCGGTGTTATGTCTGGGGTCATGCTGCATGCTTTCTGTTGGCTCAGGAGGCCTGTAATGCTCGGTGGCTCCCCGCTTTAGTTCTGTGAAGCTAGACCAGGGAATTC